>NC_000006.12:25817575-26120606 GCF_000001405.40 Homo sapiens
TGTAAGTGGCATACATTGCTGTACATGATCTTATCATAGAAATACAACATAAATATTAGATGTCATTCAACCCTTGATCAACAATGTTGGGCAGCATTAGTTATTCAAAAGTTTTCCTTATATGGAGCTGAAACCTCACCCCTGCTCCCCTGCTCCGCCGTAATTTCTGTATATTTGGGTTAGTTTTGTAATTCAAAACAGGTCTGCATTTTATTTATATAAAGTCCTACAAGGTATGTTCTCTCAAGTTTTCTCTTCTTCAGGCTAGACATTCTCAGTTTTTTCAGCCCCTTTCCTGATAAGGGGCTTACGTTCCATCACTATGCTGACCATTGTCTACTACTGAAGACTAACTAACACAGTCATTAACAGCAATGGAATTTTGAGGATGGAAGACATGTTTTCAGATTATGCCTCTGCCATCTGCTCACTGTATATATTGGATGTCTTCTGTTTGTCCCCCTAGATGTACTCCTCATCCTTCTTCACCTTACTTTGGCTACAGATGGCTGATGTGAATGAACATCAGTAGGCCCCCATGTCCTCTGCTTCCACCTGGATTTGGCCAACAGAAATTCCCGGCAGAGATGAGAGGGAGAGAATTGAGTGAGATCAAGGTGTCTTTTCAAACCCTGGTTAGCTCTGTCTTATGATTGCCTCAATCTATGTGTCCTTTTATGAAAAATCATGAGTTCTTTGAAGGCATCCTGCTCTATAGGGCTCTCCTAATGGATTCTGATAACTACTTCCTTGCTTGATGCCTTTGGACCTGGGGATGCTAGATATTCCGAGCTCCTGTATCGCTAGCCCCAGGTAACTGGACTATTCCTAGAATTTCACCGGATCTCATACCTACCTTTTTAAGTGATCACTTTGTAAATAAATTCTTCCAATTTTGCCTTAAGTATATGACTTTGATCAAGTTACCTAAGCCTTTTGAAGTTTCCTCACGTATCAAATGGACATAATAGAACCTATCCACATTTTCTTATTCACAAACCTGAAACCAAGATCAGAGAGCCGAAAGTGATTTTATCACTTATTTGTAAACCTTATTTCTTTATAGTTTTTTTGTGTGTTCTAGTTTGCACAGATTTCATTTTTTACTGTAGAAATTAATGTGTTTGATTATGTGGTAGTGCTCCACATCATGCTTTGAATGTTAAGTATAAAAAGTAACATATTTCTGAAATCTGTAAACTTATTTATTCTGATCATCCTTTTCCTGGAGAGTTTCATATAAAAGCATATGCATCTATATCGCCTACATTATAGAATTATAAAAGTTATGTACAAAAATACATGTATAGTCCTAAGCATAATACCTTGCTTGTGATAGGAACTTAATGAGTATTGACTTCTCTCTTTCACTCAGTGGAGTTCATGATTTTTAATATTAACTTTATATGAATTATTACATTATATTGGGTTTTAATGTTTAAATTTTTTTAGATTCTGAATAATAACTAGGATTTTACAGAAAGAGACTCACCAAAAATATAGAAGACCATGGGCCAGCCCAGAGATTCACAGATAACTCCAGTCACAAGTAGGACAATAAAGGGTCCCAGCAAAAACCCTAATCAGTAGGTACAAAGAACACCCCTAATTAATGCAGGCATCTGAAAGCAGAGATAATGTAGCCTCACTGTAGCAATGAACAATTTCCTGTGAAACAAATTTGTGTATCATAACACAAACATCAGAAGAAAATAATAAAAATATTTTCTTTTCTCTCTTTTTCTCTGTTGTTTGAGATAAGGATGGCTCTTCTCCATTCTATACAATTCTCTCATCTTCATAGCAAGAATGCTGAAACAGATGATTTCCAAAGCCCTTGACCATTCAAAACACACATTTCTTATGGCTCTAGGGAAGAATGTAATACAATGAGATGAAGATAGGATTCAAACATTCTAGGCTTTAATTCTTTACCTGATGTACTCATAGAAGTAAGTCGGCCTCGTTCCAGGGGAGGAGCCCATTTGACATATATTTCAAACTGGGCTGTTGCAACTATCCCCTGAAATGAGAAAGGTTTGACATTTAATCTCTAATACTTCCTGTGAATTTAAACTCTGTTCAGTTTTAGCATTATTTTAATACCTGGGCTGCTCCCTGAACTGCTCGACATACAACGACCCAAGCTACTCCAATTCCAGCTGCTGGTGGGATGAGCAGGCTTAACACAGAGCTGAGGCATAATGCAAAGCCAATCATTTTCTTTGTAGAATATATTCCAGAGAAGTATCCAACAGGAACTTGGATGATGATGACACCATAGGAGGTGGAACTCAAGATGATTCCCTGGATATCTGGGCTCCAATTATACATAGGGTTCTAAAAGACAAGGGGGGACATGTCGAATCACTCTGCATATCAGAAATTTACTGTGACATTTAGGGATTCAGGGAAACTGTTCTGGCTCACCTCATGGAAAGTAGCTCCCCTCTTACTAGTATTCTTTATCACAGGACCTTCTTTATTCTTTTATCACACCATTTTCTGTACATATTTACATTTTATCATTGGAGTAATGTAAAGTCCTCACAGCCAAGGACACCATCTGTACCTCCCTCCAGTACCTTTCACAGCATAGACATTTAATGCTTGTTTCTTGAATGTTGCTAAACTGCATGTAAACTCCTCCTGTGTAGCATACATACATTTAAATAGTTAATTTCCTGTACTTCATAGTACTACTCATACTGCAGTTGTGAATTTCCTCTTCCCTGTTTGCTTTCTCTAACTCCTCCATTAATTTAAGCTCATTCGCAAAATCACTTTTCCCCATATACATATTGCTCCCAGAGAGCAAAGTCATGAAAGAGAGAAGATAAAACCATGAAGAATTCTCAGACTGAACTGTGAAAACAACTGCACAGAACAATAAAAAGAAAAAGGCCATTTCTCTTCCTTCACTTGGTTCTGATGTGGCATATTTTTTCCAGAAATGTATTTGTTAGTCCATTCCTAGGTTAGAGGGCCTTCTATTGTTTCTTTTTACATTATTAAAGAATGATGGCCGGGCGCGGTGGCTCACGCCTGTAATCCCAGCACTTTGGGAGGACGAGGCGGGCGGATCACGAGGTCAGGAGATCGAGACCATCCTGGCTAACACAGTGAAACCCCGTCTCTACTAGAAAACCCCATCTCTACTAAAAATACAAAAAATTAGCCGGGCGTGGTTGCAGGCACCTGTAGTCCCAGCTACTCGGGAGGCTGAGGCAGGAGAATGGCGTGAACCTGGGAGGTGGAGCTTGCAGTGACCAAGATCGCGCCACTGCACTCCAGTCTGGGCGACAGAGTGAGACTCCATCTCAAAAAAAAAAAAAAAAAAAAGAATGATAAAAGAAAATCCTAATATTGAATTTATTGTTGAGACTATGAGGGACGAGGTTGCACAAGTTTTTGGACCCACTTAACAGGAAGAAATCTTAATGGTAGTAGAGGAGGACAGGATAAAGTTTATTTGGAAGTGTCTAGGATAGTGGCATTTTCTAAACTTTCTCTGTTACTTGCATAATTAGGAGGAACATATTAAATAACGAAGAGTTTCCTGAATAAACAGTGAATGTGCTGGATGTTATTTTTGGTTGAATATTAAATAAAATAGGTAGGAATCCATATGTTTGTTGTCATCACTATTATCCCTCCATTCTTCTTTTTTCTCTCCTTTTCAAGTCACTGTCACCCTATAGCTGTGGCCTCTAGAGTGTAATATTTCTCTTGGATGGAAAAGGACTTCCATGGAAAAATCTGGTAGGAGTGACTCTCTGAGAATACCAAATAATAACCAGTGAGGCACATCCTTATAGTAGCCTGGGTGCCAGGGAAGTTCCAGATCTTTTCCACTGAGAGGAAGGAGGCTACACAGAAGATGAAGCAGAATGCTCAGCCAGGTTTTGTTTTGTTTTGTTTTTCTTGTTTTTAATCACAGGAAGCACCAAGGAAGTCAATATTCACCCTTACCCATATCAGGTGGGCCAGCAGGCATTTGTTCTACTCTCCCTGTGCATGTGAACACATCACTCAAAATCTTGGATAGTTTTTCTTATGGCTTAAAGCCATCACTCTCCACAGCAGAATGTAGAAAATAAAAAAAGTTCACCAGAATTGGTTTAAATCCCCTGAGCTCATACTGAAACTACTCACACCAGAAAGATAAATCCTCAGTTTATATTTTTCTATACAGTGCATTAACTAGTTGCCATTGAACAAAGTACTCCACATATAAATGTATAAATGACTCTAAGTAAATCTTAGAAATATATATACTCATTTGTATGAGTCATATAAATGAATAAGAAATATATAATACCTCAGTAAGGAAAATGTATCCAGGTATCAATAGATAATTTATAAGAGAACAAAATGGAAATGATCAATAAACATAGGTCACAGAAATATACAAATGTGTAATCCCATTAGTAATAAAAGAATATATACTTTAAAATTATGGTAGAATTTCTAACTGTCAAGTTGGTACACTTAAAAAAGAATAATGACACAATCTCCTTGACTTTGATGGAAGAGGGAAGACTGACTACAGAATATTCCTCATCTACCTTCTTTGTCATCTTCTTTTCTATAATCAGTGTTTCTTACTGTGGTAAAATATCTGTGTGTGTCTGTTCCGTGTTTTTCTTATTTCGTCTTTTTTTCTAAAATGTTTGTTTTGACTTTTTCATATTCCTTTCCTGTCAATTTCCTTTTTTCATTCATCTGCTCTCCAAGCAAAGCCTCTTGTGGTCTGGCCATGTCTACTTTGAGTTATTGTAGATACTGCACTATGGTGTTCCTTCCATAGCTATAACTGCTTTACTAATTTTTAGGTTATTTTGTAATGTTAGACTACAATTTAGATCTGCTTTGTGGAATAATTTTCTGGTGTGTTTTTCTATTTAGAATAATTATGTATTCTATTTCTTCATTTTTAAATGTAGTACCTTATGTAGCAGTAAACTGAATTGTGACAGGAAATTTCATGGGATGGCAAAAGGTTTCATGGGGTGGCGGGCTGATGCATGTGCTAGAGAAATCTTTCAAGCTCTATAGCTCAAGAGCTCCCTCCTCTTTTAGAGCCATAGTGAAGGCTCTAAAATACAACTCCCGTGAGTAGCCATTTCTCTAGAATATGAGGTTCTCAGTATTTAAACCAAAGCACTGGAATATCATAAATATTTAAGAATATAATTCAAAACACTTTATATGAAATAGATTTTATACAAAATAGATTTCATACAGAATAGATTTTATGTAAAATAGATAATTGACACAATAAACTGTATCTATATATATATTTGTGAAGCTATCACCACAATTAAGACAGTGAACATATTCTTTATCTCCAAAAACTTCCTCCTATTTTTTTTGTAATTCCTCCCTCCTGCCCTCCCCCACCACTGATCTGCTGCCTGTCGCTGTAACTTAGTTTTCATTTTCTAGAAGTTTTATATTAAGGGAATGCTACGGTATGTACTCTTTTTTATTGTCTAGCTTATTTCACTTGGCATAATTATCTTCAGTTTTATCTATGTTGTTCTTTGTGTCAGTAGTTCATTCCATTATACTGCTAAGTAGTACTCCATTTTATGGATGTGCCATAGTTTGTTCAATCATTCACCTACTGATGGACATATAGGTTATTTCCAGTTTTTTGGCTATCAGAAATAAAGCTAGACAAAAATGTTTATAGAACATTTATGTACAAGTCTCTGAATGGACATATGCTTTTATTTCTCTTCAGTAAATAACTAGCAGTGGAATGGCTGTCTCATATGGTAGGCATATGCTTAATTTTTTATGAAATGACAAAGTGTATTCCAAAGTGGTTGTACCACATTGCATTCTCACCAGGACTGTAGGAGAATTCTAGTTCCTCCACATTCCTGCACACACTTTATATTTGCAATCATTACAATTTTAGCCATTTGAATCAGTGTGCAGTAATTTATCTTTGTAGTTGATGTTTGTCTCCAATGTCAAATGATATACAGCATCTTTTCATGTGAGTATTTTTCCTCTGTGTATCTCCTTTGGTGAAATAGCTGTTCACATCTTTTTTTTCCATTTTTGTATTGGGTTGTGTTTTTTAATTGAGTGTTGATAGAAGTTCTTTATAAGATATGATTAGCAAATATGTGCCCCTGTCACTGGCTTGTTTTTTCATTATCTTAACAGTATTTTAAATTCTGATGAAGTTCAGTTTTATGTTTGTTCTTTTGCATATCTTGAAAAATCAGTTGTTCATATGTGTGTCAGTCTCTCTATTATATTTCATTGATCTATTTTCTGTCTTTACACTAATTCTACACTGTCGTTATTACTATAACTCTGTGTAAGTCTTAAAATTAGCAGTAGGTAGTGTTACACCTCCAACTACTAATTTTCCATGAACATTCAGAGGCAATTCAGTGGAGAAAGAAAAGTTTTCTCAACAAATTGGGCTGAAAAAAATTGTACATCCATATGTAAAAAAAGATATTTAATGCAACATGTACAAAAAGTAATTCAAAATGAATCATAGATTTAACAGTAAAATGAAAAATTATAAAACTTCTAAAACACAGAAAATTTTTTTTGATCTTGGGTTATGCAAAGATTTCTTATATGCAACAACAAAAGCACAACCCACAAAAAAATGTTAAGAGAAGTTCTTCAGGCAGAAGAAAAGTGATATAGCTAAAAAATGTGGATCTACATTTAAGAAGTAAGACCATTAGAAAAGAATAAATGCCATTATCATGTGTATGCTGGTCATCATGATCAGTGTGGTACAATTTTTAAAAATAAACTATGATGCCCTTCATGCCATTAAAAAATAAATAAATAAACAAAAAATTTAAAAAAGAATAAATGAAAGTGGAAAATATTTTATTTTGAATTGATCTAAAAGATAACTTTTTGTTGAAGGAATGTTTTGAGTATTTATAACATATAGATACATAAAATGAATAACAGTAGTCACAGAGATGGGAGAGAGGAATTGGAAATATTCTGTTACGAGATGCCTTCATGATACATGAAATAGTATAGTGTTATTTGGAGGTAGATTTGTATTATTACAAATGTATATTATAAAACCTATGGAAGCTATTAAAATAGTTTTTTCAGGTATAAATGATATATCAAGAGAGGAGATAAAATTCAGTCATATAAAATGCTCAGTTAAACCCAGAGAAGGCAAAATGTGAATGAAAAAAAAATTAACAAAGAACAGATTTAACAAATAGAAAACAGTTACCAAGTATGTATTTTTCTATTCTTCCTTTCAGTTCTCACAGTTTTTGCCCCCTATATTTTGCTGCTCTGTTGTTAGGGATACACATGTTTAGAATCATTTGTTTTTGGATAATTCACTCTTTTTATCATTGGGTAATGCCCTCTTTATCTCTGGTTATCTTCATTGCTATAAACTCTGCTTTGTCTAAAATTAATATAGCTACTTCAGTTTTCTTTTGATTTGTGTTTTCATGGTTGCATAGTTTACATCTTTCTTCATCCCTTTACTTCTAACTTATCTGAGTCTTTATATTTTAACAGGATTTCTTGTAGATAGAATATTTGAGGATCTTTATTTGTTATCAATTCTAACAATTTCTGTCTTTTAACTGGTGTGTTTAGAACATTCACATTTAAAGTGATTATCAATATAGTTGGATTAAAATCTACCATCTTTTAACTTTTCTTTTGTGGTAAGCCTGCTGGCAGTAAATTCGTATATATGAAGGGAAAATTGAAGGACAAAAATTGAAAGACAATAAAGGCTTTCTCAAGTTATAGCTACAGCTTGAAATTTTACAGTCTTTCAGTTTTGTCAATAATTTTATTGAATACAGAATTCTAGGTTGGCAGGGGTTTTCTTTCTTTCAACACCTTAAAAAGTTCACTTTTCTCTCCTTATTTGCATGGTTTCTGATAAGAAGTCTGCTGTAATTCTTATATTTGTTCCTCTGTAGGTATTTTCTTCCTCTGGTTTTATTGAAATGTTCTTTTTGTCTTGGTTTTCTGCAATTTAAATATGGTATGCCTAGGTGGCTTTTCTTTGTTTTTGTTTTTGCTATTTATCTTGTTTGGTGTTCTCTGAGCTTCTTGGATCTGTGGTTTGATGTTTGTCATTAATTATGGAAAGTTCTCAGCCAATTTTTGAAAAAAATATTTCTTGTTTCCTATTCTCTCTGGCATTCTGGTCATGCACATGTTACACCATTTGATACTGTCTACAATTTGGGAAAGATCTGTTAATTTTTTAAAATTCTCTTTCTCTTTGCATTTCAACTTTGGGAGTTTCTATTGACCCATATTCATGTTCACTAATTATTTCCTCAGTGGTGTGGAGTCTACTGATGAGCCCCTCAAAAGCATTCTTTGTTATAATTTCCTTGATTTCTAGTATTGCTTTTTCATTCTTTTTATAGTTTCCATCTCTTTACTGACATTACCTATCTTGTTTTTATTTTTTGCTGCATCTACATCTTCTGGTAGATAACAACTGATTATCTTCCAGAGATGAAATTAATGAAACATTTAAATATCCTGCAAGTCAAAAACTTTAAAAATGTAATGTGTCTTCACCTTCCACTCCTAATTTAAAATGCTTTCCCTTTTTTTCCTCTTGTCCAAATTTCTTGATTGTAAAGAAGCCCTAACTCTTGGGTTTTATTCTCTCTCACATAGAAGGATTTACACAACAAGCCCTTCAGAAATACTGAGGCATACTTTAATCATGGGACATTTTATTTAGGTCACTCCTGGCAAGGTAGATGAAGACTTGAGCTTCTTTTTCAAATATAGTATCATATCAGTACAATTCCATATCTACACAAATTAGTTAGCAAGACAGGCTTTTAAACATTTGACTGTGGGGAAAATTATTGATGTACCTTTATATTATCCAGGAGCTTCTTTGTGGAGGTGTTGGGCAAACCATGTGGATCTGTGCTATTCACCATGACTACCATTGTGAGGTTCAGGCACGCACGCTGTGCTGTTATTATAACATTACAACAGTGCACAAGGAAAGACAATCCATAGCGAAAGGAACAGAAACCTGGAACTACAAAGTAAAACAGAAAGTCGCAATTGCTGACAGAGCTGAGATAAAAACATACTTTAACTATAGGAGGGACATTCAGAAATTTGGAGCCCTAGATATTAATTTAAAATTTTATTGTACTTAATGACCTTTGATAATTATTATATAATAAGAAGATGTGAGACTGATATAATAATACCATATTCTCCTTAAAATTGTATTTCCAGCTAGAAGTTCCAAGAAAATCAAGCCAATCTTTCAAGTTCTTTGGCTCAAGTCTATTTTTTAAAAGACCCTTTATAAATACCCTGTGTTACTCTTGGACATAAGTCCCCCTAATTACAACAAAGACATTTTCTGTCAAGAAAACTATTCCTTTTCCAACATTTAAAAAATACTCTGGTTGAAAGACTTATATATGCCCAATGCAGAGAAAAAAATGGCATTTTAAAAAAATGTAATTACTTATTGATATAAGCTAGAGTAATCAGTTGGTGTACAGCCAAACAAGTTCATTGATGGAAGAAAGTAGGGAGTCCAGAAACAGATACACATATATGGTTAACTTTTTAAAAATAAATGTACTAATGCAATCCATTGGAGGAAAGTAAAGTGTTTTTCAACAAATGGCATTTTTTTCAAGAGAAATACAGGTATATGTCTACAAAACAACACATACAGAAATGTTTATAGTAGATTTATTCAAAATAGCAGAATGTTTGGAAAGAATGGACATATCATGGTATGTTAATACAATGCATATTACTCAGAAATAAAAGGAAAGAACTACTTATACACAACAATTTGGATAAATCTGGATGAATTTCAACAAAAACATGTTCAGTTAAAGAAGCTAGATACCAGACAGTATATACTATAGGAATCTAGTTTTATGAAGTTCAAAAACAGGCAAAGTTAATCTATATGGCCCCCTCCATCTCCAAAATCAGCAATGGGAACCTACTTTATGTTGAATCCCTCTCACACTTTGAATCTAGCTACTCTGCCTCTGACCTGTACAACCAGATTTAAAGGGCTCATGTGATTAGATCTCTCCTAACTGCATAATTTCGCTATTTAAGATTAACTGATTTGGGACCATAATACATCTGCAAAACCCCTTGAAGCAGCACCTAGCTTAATGTTTGCTTAAATAACTGGGAGAAAGTGTGTATACACCAGGGGCTGGGAATCTTGAGAGAAAACTTAGAATTCTGCCTACTACAGTCCACCATCTGGCCCTTAAAGACTCATGTTCATTTCACGTGCAAAACATATTCACCCATTTCAAGCTTCCCAAATTCTTCATCTTATTACATTATCAGCTCAAGTTCAAAACCTCATCAAAATCTCATAGCACAAAGTCCAAAATCTCATCATCTAAATCAGGTGTGGAAGAGGGGCCTATGATTAATCCCTCCTAGGGCACAATTTCTATCTGTGGGCTTGTGAAACTAAAGAGACAAGTTATATGCCCCTAACACTTTTACCACGTAATGGTGGAACAGGTGTAGGATAAAGCTATAGACATTCCAGTTCCAAGGTGGGAAAAATAGAGGAGAAAAGGAGTCATCGATCCATAAAGGTTCTGAAGTTCAGCCAGGCCAATGTTGGATTTTTCATAAGGTCTGGAGATAATTCTTGTGGCTCTTGGCTCCACCCTCTGGGCTTTGGGCTGTATCCTCTGTGCTCATTGTTCCACCCAAGAATAAAACAGGGGCCAGGGAGCTTGGGTGCCATCTTGGAATTCTGTCTACTGCACATTCATAGTTAACTAAGAATTTTTTATTGCAAATAAATATTAATATCATAAATAAATAGATTTTTTATATCTATTGAGATAATCATACTGTTTTCCTCTTTCAATTAATTTGTGTGGAGTGACATGTATACATTTTCTAACATTAAGTTACTCTTTTATTTTAAGAATAAACCTGACTTAGTGTTGGTGGTTGCTTTTTTAATGTTTTTATAAATTCTTAGATTTGTTTTGTTCTGTTAATATTTTATTTAGGATTTGGTGTCTTTATAATTTTCATAAGACTATTTTGCTTTATATATTGGAAGCTATTTTATTAGATAATAAATATTTTACATCATCTTACCGAATTGAATTTTATATCATTTTGCAACATTCTTATAGAATCGTTTGAACTAGCAAAAGACTGTAAACAAATTAGATGTTTATAAATCAGTGACCATTTAAATAAATTATAATATATCCATCCATACCAAAGTCATTTGCAGCTATAAAAATGCTAAGGAAAATCTCTGCCAAAAATTGTGGAATACTCTTTAGATAAACTGTTAAATGAAAAAAAGCATTAGTACCCAACAAATAGTTGGCTAGTTTTCTGGCCAACTGAGCTTCCGTTGTTAAAAGATAAGAATATTAGATAAAATATGCTTAAAATAAACCATTTTTTTAAAAGCATGGGTGATCTAAGAGGAAAGATGAAATATTCAGGCCAAGGGCTTAGTGAAGATGGGGGCCTCAAAACATAAGTTGGGCCTTGAAGTCAGATGTTTCACTGTGGACTTTTGATCTTGGGATTTTTGGCCTTCCATGATATGGGGACAACAGGAATCAAATACCAAGGTCCTAGCGATGCGATAGTGTATAGTAGGAGACCCTCTCCTAAAATGCTTGGATGTCAAAGATTTACATGGTTCAATGGAGGATGAACACATTGCCCCCTTATCTTGTCAGTGGACTGCCAAGAAATTTTGTGCCATATGAACTTAAGAGCTGAATAGAAGGGGGTAAAAGAATACCCCTGAGAAATTTAATCATCAGCCAGCCCTTCCTTTGATTTGCTGCCTAAACTCAGTATCATAGGGAAGTGAATGGATCTAGAAAGCTATCAGAAACTTTGTAAACACACCTGCAGGAGTCTCTACATGGTAAAAGGGAAGTCATTGTCACCATGTCAGAGAAGGGCTCATTGTCTTAGTCATTTAGGGGTATGCTTTTGAGTTTTACTCATTTCTCTCCTCCACATTGCTCCAGGAAGTCCATGAATTATGTCTAAACAAGTTTTAAGTTAAAAAGAAGACCACAGGGGGAATTCTAAAGTGTTTGGGATTGAGTAATAAGAATACCGCATATCAAACTCATGGACAGAGTAAAATGTGCATCTGTAAATATATTTATCAAAAAAGAAAGAATTTAAACACTTGGAAACTGAGCAAAGGAACAAACCCAAAAAGTCTAAAAGGAATTAAATGCATAAGGGCAGAAATGAATAATATATAGAAAAAAACATATATATATAAACTTTGAATGCAGATTAAATGGACAACTTAAACAATCAAAATAATTAAGTATCAAAGTTGATACAAGAAGAAATACATAATTTAATATACAGTAACTTTTTCATAAGTTGAAAAAGTATACAATCTATCGCTCATCTCCTTTTCTGGGATTTTGTCCCCTATGACATTGACACAACGCTAAACCAATAGCAGTAATCCTTTATTGTCATTACACTACCCTGCCTAAAATAAACAGCTTCTCTCAAAAAATATTCAGTACACATTCAGCTGTTGATGTCCAAGAATGCAGGGACTCAAGAACATTCATCCTGCCTTACTTCCACTTACAGATCTATCTCTCTTTCTCTTGGAGATGGAACCAAAATAGCCCAGTTTTTTCTG
Organism: Homo sapiens; assembly: GCF_000001405.40. Classification (NCBI taxonomy): domain Eukaryota; kingdom Metazoa; phylum Chordata; class Mammalia; order Primates; family Hominidae; genus Homo; species Homo sapiens. Next base: position 25,830,270 of record NC_000006.12, read on the forward strand.
ATATTTTCCACTAAATGATAAACTGACAAGTGCGCAAAAATGAAAATAAAGTGTAAGCCACCAGAGTATGTAGAATCTTTTTATTTAGGGCTTTTCTGGTGGAAAACCATAGTAGGACTGGTTTCTTCTACCTTCTTTTCTGAACATTTTTAAGACCCCATATGTATATCACAAAAATATTCTTCCACATGGAATCTGTGATGTAATATTTAAGAAAAAGAACACCTGTTTAATGGAACAGAATAAAGTGCTACCTTTTTTGGGAGGCAACCGGTTATCCATTTGCATACACGGCTGAAGTTGCTTCTCTTCTTGCTGAAGGGTTTTGCCTCCACCCACTGTGAGTGCAAAACACGTTGATGTCAGCATAATGTAGAGAGGCAACTGACCAAACACTACCCAGTACTCCTCTCTGATTTAAAACCGCTTCCAAGGATAACTTGCTCCATCACAGCAGTGCCCATTCACCTCCATTATGTGCTTCCCTTGATATTTATTTTACTTTTGTGATTGTTTTGGTTGATTAAAAATATATGGAAGACCTGAAAACTACAGAGAACAAACAAATAACCCTGCCAATCCAGAATTCTAAATCCGTGATAATATTCCTCCAAAGTGAGAAATGGAAAGAATTCATTGCCAGTAGACCTGCCCTGTAAGGAACACTAAAAGAAGCCTTTCAGGCAGAAGGAGATTGCTATAGGTCAGAAACTCGGCAGTATGAAAAGAAAGGAAGAATGTCAGAAAAGGAGTAAGCAAAGGTAAAACAAATTCCTTTTTTCCCCCTGTATCTTAATAGAGCTGGAAGATACTATCTGCTTATTGATAAGATCAACTCAAGCAGAGGCTAATCATTCGTTACACGTCCACATGCCCCTGTCCGTATCTTCAGTTTCCGTGGATAGAGCAGCCACTGATGCAAAGCTTTATGGCAGGAAGCTCAGTGGAGAATCAGAATGGAGCAGTCTCCTATCAGGCAACCCCTTACCATCAGAATTCAGCACCAATATGTGCTGGTCAGGTTAGACCTCAGGATTTTACCATATCAGATTATATGATACCTAGTGCCCCAAAGATACCAAAGTCCTGAGATTGGATTTGCAAAATATTTTTGAATAAGCAATTTGTCAACCATCATTATCACACATTGGAACCTCTTCTGGGGCTGCTGTTTATTTCAATACATATATACATACACACCAAATGCACACACAAACCACCCATACGTATGCACCACATACATACATACAACATAAACACATGGTACAAACTCCCCTTATGTTCTCCACACATACACTCCAGACACATAGCAAACCAAACATATAAATACGTTACAATACTGCATCCTCAAAACGGAAGTACAAACTACAAACACCACACACATAACCACACACACACATAAATGATGGGCACAGATGCACCAGGCGTACACAGTGTGCCACACACATTACAGACACAGCACACCACAGCTATACAAGCATCACACACTGTACAACACATACTTCTCTTTCCTTGTGTCCCTGTGAACCTCACACTGATTGCTAAAAATATGTTCTTTTTTCTCTTGTGAAAAGCCTCAGAAGATAGGGCATATTCCACCCCTCCCCACATTTTCCCCTATTGCTAAGTACTTTCAATAATATCTTTGCCAGGGAATGCCCCCTTACGGCCCTCTGGGGAATCAACTGATTGCTCATTTCATTTAATGAGCCCCGTAGACTAACCTGATTCGGGACAAAAAAGTGATTTCTTCTTCCGCTGTGAAGACTTTTCTCTCAACTTTACACAATATTGACTTTCTAGGATTACCAAGTTTAGCCCCATAAATCATTCACCAAATCTTTTGACATCACTGTGTCGAAGTTAAAAGCTTAATTTTTAACTTTACTGTTACCTTTTCCTTAAAGCTTCAGGGAAGGTGTGTGGGTCAAAATCATCCAGTGGACCAGAAACTGGGAATCTGCCAGTAATTTCATGGCATAATAAGCAGACACCCTTAGTCTCTCTCCCTGCCCAGGAGGTAGAGCTTGCCTGCCATAAGTGCTCTCAAGATTTCTCTATTAAGGATGGCTCTGAGTATACAATGCTGTTCTCACAGGAATGTTGTGGCTTTCTAAATGCCCCATAAATGCCATATTAAATTTTTACTCTTAATTCCCTTCCTTCCTTTCTTCCTCCTTTTCTTCCTTTTTTCTTTCTTTCTTCCTTCTCTTTCCCTTCTTCCTTCTCCCTCCTTCCTTGCTTTCCCTCCTTCCCTCACCCTGTCTCCTCCACACTCCTCTCTAAACAGTACATCTGTTTGACATTCAGCATACTCAGAAAGAGGTACATTTTATTGAGGCATGTCCTCTGGAAGGTGTGGCTTCTCTCATGGCTCTTCCTGCAATTACTGTAGGTTCTGGTTCATCCACTTGGTTATAGCAATATCCAGAAACATTAAAAAAAAAACATAGAGAGACAGGATCTCACACTGTCACCCAGGCTGGAGTGCTATGGTGCAATTATAGCTCAGTGCAGACTTGAACTCCTGAGCTCAAGGGATCCTTCCACTTCAGCCCCAAGTAGCTGGGATTACAGGTATGCAACACTGTACCCAGCTAATTGGTAGAGACAGGGTCTTGCTGTGTTGCCCAGGTTGATATCAAACTTCCTGCCACAAGCAATCCTTGTGCCTTGGCCTCCCAAGTGTTGGAATGACAGGCGTGAGCCGTCGTGCCTGGCCCCTAATACTTTTAACTTAGAACTCTTTGAAGGTAATCTACTAATTACTTAAAAATATCCAAGCACTAAAATCAGTGATTTTGCATTATAGGTAATTTATTTCATGCTTAACAAGTTTTTTTTTAATTTTTATCATGCTTTTAAAGTGCTCATTAAATGTTTGGCACATAGCAGATGCTCTGTAAATTCAACCAGTTATTTTTTTCCTCTAAAGAAATGTTGTAAATCTTTAACCCCTTTGCCCAGGAGACTTTGATGTTGTTATTCAGTTAGATTTTTTCTTTTTCAAAAGTCCAGATTCTGCTGGTCCTCTTCTGTGTGTTGCAGAATGTTTGTACTGTCCTGTTTCATGCTGGGCAATTTCTGGCATTTTCTGAAAGAGGAGCCCTTTTAGTGATTGAAACCCCTAGGTCAGCAGTTGTTCAAAGTCCATGTGTTAAATAATAACACTCCCATCTGCCATCAGTATCCCAGTTCTGGATACTGATTACCTGAAGGAGAACCATCTTTCTGTTTGCTGGCCCCAAAGCTTTCTGCTGCTCTGTGAGATTCTTTGAAATTGTTTCTTTTGGATTCTGTGTTTTATGTATTAAATTTTTAAATTTATCATTTTATTATGGAAATGTTTAAGCATACAAAAAAGTAGATCAGTTTAAGATAACTGTGTACATATTCACCCACTTCAATAATTATCAATATTTGGCCATTTGAGTTTTCATTTGGCCTTTTGAATGTTATCAACAACATTCAATGGTTGTTTTTTGTAGCATTTTAAAGCAGATCTCAGACATTATGTCATTTCTTCTATAAAACATTCAGCATGGCTATCTAATTCATTAGGACCTTAAAAGATATAACTAACATGGTATCAGCACATCTAGTAAATAAACAATAATCCCTTAACATCACCTAATATCCAACCTTTATGACAATTTTCCCAATTGCTTCAAAATTGTGTCCTTTATATTTGCTTGATTTAAGTGAGGATTTGAATAGGATCCACATAATGGCGCTTAATTGTTACGGCTGTCATGTCTCTTATTTTATAATAATCCCCTCTCCCAGTTTACATTTGCCATTACTTAAAAACAACAACAATAAAACAGGATCCCTTGCAGAGTGTCTCTCCTAATTGGTTTGGCTAATAGCTCGCTTTTAGGATTATTTGATATATTTTTGTATTTCCTTACATCCTGCAAACCGTGAGGTTTATATAGAGGCTTGGTTAGATTCAGCACAAAAACAATTCACAGGGATATGGGATGATACAGGGTACTATCGCTCCGTGTTGGGAGGCACATAATAGCAGGTTGTCTCACTTTTAGTGGTAGTAAGATTAATCAGTAGTTTCAGATATTCTTAGCCTGACTTATTAATAAAGTTTTCACCAACATTTCACCTATGGCTTTTAGCTACAGTTAGTAAATGTTGCCTAGATCTATCATTTGATTAGAAGTTATAAAATGGGCCGGGCGCGGTGGCTCATGCCTGTAATCCCAGCACTTTGGGAGGCCGAGGCGGGTGCATCACAAGGTCAGGAGATCGAGATCATCCTGGCTAACACGGTGAAACCCCGTCTCTACTAATAATACAAAAAATTAGCCGGGCATGGTGGCAGGCGCCTGTAGTCCCAGGTACTCGGGAGGCTGAGGCAGGAGAATGGCATGAACCCGGGAAGCGGAGCTTGCAGTGAGCAGAGATTGCGCCATTGCACTCCAGCCTGGGTGACAGAGCGAGACTCCGTCTCGAAAAAAAAAAAAAAAAAGAAGTTATAAAATAGTGATTTTCTAATTCTATCATGTCTCCTTCATTTATGAGCTAGAATTTTTTTATAAAAAAGGAAATTTACTTTATCAAACATTTGGTAAGCTGGAAATACAGATTTAATAGGAAAGTTACCATAGTTACTTGATAAAGTTCTAAAATAAGTTAGTGTCTTAGCAAAAATGACCAAGTACTATTATGACCTCATGGATTTTATTTGATGTTTTACAGTCTATTGCAGTTCTTATTCCTTTTCGATGCTCCAATTGTTCCTTCTTTGGTCAGTGGGAGTCCCTTCAAGCTGATTTCCATGTCATTATGATATGACTCTTGTGGTCTTGAATAGCTTTCTTGTCTTCCAACACACAAAAAACTTTCCAGCTTCCTCTTATATATTTTCTTTTTTTTCTTTTCTATTATCAGATCTGGGCTTTCTTAGGAAGTGCTGGCTCCTTTCAGCAGGAAATAATGTTTAGAGACCACACTCTGAACACTAAGTGCTCATTGTTCCTGGCTCTCACTGCTTTTAGATGTTTTCAGTGGAAGAACTTGAAAAGGGTATTTTTTTGAAAAGAAATTATAATTTTTTCCTTGTATTTCTAATTCAAATTTAGGATTAGGGCTATTCTCAAAATTCCTTTGATTTTATAGTCTTACATATTTCTCTTTTGTTGAATATCTTTGTTCCCAATGAATATACTTTTTTGCTTTATTATAGCATGCCTGTATTAACATGAAAATAATACTAATAGGATTGCCAAAATCAACTGCTGCCTTCCCCAGAAACAGATCCTGAGATGAAGATTAATGTTAAAGTGATGTAATGGTATTTTCGGGAAAACAAACCAACAACAAAAATAGTAAGGAGGTTGGGAAGTGGGCAGGGAAAGAAAGGAGACCAAACAAGGGTACAAAAACAAGCCAAGTCTGGAGGAAGGTAATTTTGGACTAATGCTACAAGAGAGCAGTGGGAACAGTGTAGTCTGCACCTCAGATTCATCCTAACCAAAGGTACAGAAGTTAGAGTATTTATATGCCAGTATCCATCAGTGGTTGGCTACAGGGTATCAGGTTTTGAAGGGAAGGCATGGGTTAAAGAAAGACATACACACACACACACACACACACACACACAGAGAGAGAGAGAGAGAGAGAGAGAGAGAGACTGGCTTAACAGCAAATGCTGGCTTTATGTCCAGCATTAGACCTACAGATGTGGGAGACCAGCTTAATGTCAGGGCCCACCGCTGCTTAAAGACTGGGGCAATTTATAGCTCTGGGCAGGAGGGATCTGGCAGGGGCGCGGCCTAATGCCTGGGAAAATGTTGATTACGTGTTCCCAGGATGAGGCCGTTCTAGCCCTTTTTCCGGCTGAATGTGGTGTTCTTTGCACTTTCACACTTTCTCCCAGCAGAATATGATAAGAGGCAGGCTGTTTCTTATGGCCCAAACCCCCATGGAATGTTTCACTTTGACCAAGGTCTGAGAAATGGCGGTGGGGGAGGCTTACAAAGTGGTGTAGTTTGGACTAACATTCTTGCCTTCTACTTTAATATAAAAGGGAAAGGGGTGTTGTTGACTATCTGGTTGCTTCCTGCTGAACAGGGGCTCTGTTATCAGGGTTGGGGTTTTGAAGTAGTGGGTGTCCAACTTCAGAGTTGTTTTCCTGGAGCTGCTGATACCAAACTTGGCAGAGGAGAAGGATGGCATCAATGGGTTTCTGGGTGGTTGCCTGGACAAGGGAGTTCAGCCTTCGGGAGATAAAGCAGGATATGCAGGTGAGTACACATGGGCCAATTGTTAGTATTTGGAGGAGGAAGGTTAGGGGTCCTAAGAAAGCGGTTACCCAAGGCGTATACTTTAGGAGGGATGACCCGTGCTACCAAGAGTTAGTGACTTGATGTTGGATTTCTGCATCCCTGTTACGGAGCCCATGGGCTTCTTCGCGAACAATACCAGATTCATAAACATTAAAAAGCATTCTTCTTGGAGATATACACATGTGCCCCCATTTTCAGTGATTAGCAGGTCTAGGACCCTTTGGTTTTGGAGAATGACTCCCACAAGAGAGTTTATCTGCCTTGGGAGGCTTGCAATGGAAGTATGCATGTCCTCTAAGGTATTATAGAGGACTGTAGAGATTTTTTCAATATAGGGAAGTTGAGGTTGATATACTTGCTATTCCAGTGCCAAGTGCATCTGAGATGCTTAATCCTGTTACCAGAGGAATAAGATGTAGAGCCCGCTTAGTGCGTGTGGAGGAAGATGAAACAGAAGCTACCAAAGGAACCTGGATGGTCTGGTTGTTTAGCAAAATGCTAATGTTTGAAGATTGAAACCAGGGTGTACGTTCTTGACCAAATTGCCGGCAAGCAAAGATAAGAGTTTGTGCCATACAGAAAGAAAAGACCGGGGATTGAGAGGCAAAAGTTGTAAGTGAATGTAGCGAGCTATGAGAAGATAGATAGGGGTTGAATCCCGGACAAACTTTTTGTTCCGACATTTTGTTTCTCCAGGTTGAATAGCTATTAGCAAGGGAAGCCCCTGTGAGGGTCTGATAGGGAATGTTGGTGTGGGAGGATGTGAAGGCTGTTTGGTTTTGGAGAGAGAGAGAGAAATGGGTTTTTGTTAACTAACAGCCATTGTGGCCCTGATGGGGCAGAAGGATATAGATTGCAGTTGAGGGAATTGTGTGTGCATTTTTTTTACCAGGGGGTAACCTTGGGTTGGATACATGAAAAGCTGGGCCAGCACAGAGGGGAGGGATTGATAAGAGGTGTTTTATGGAATCGGGCTTGTAACATGTTTAGTTTAGAGGTTATGAGGTGAAGGATGGTGACGACCCTATGTGTGATGATGTGAGTGGATTTGATAGATTGGAGGGAAAGGTGTTTAGCTGAGAAAGATTATAAACAGATTTCAGGAGTGGATTGGCTGAGTAGGTAAGATGCAGGTTTATTCTGGACCAGGGTTATGTAGTTAGGTTAACAGAAAGGGCAGTGAACTTCTGGATTTGTGTGGACTAACAAATTTAACAGTTGGAAGAAAGACGGGTGTGTGACTGATTTAAGAGGCAATGTGTGAGGTTGACGACGGGGGCCTGACTGCCAGAGGTTGGGTGGGGTGGGGGGAACTTAGAGTACCCCACAGACAAAGAAGACAAAAGGAGAAAAAGGAGATTTGAGAAGGAGTGAATATTTGGAAGGCCCTGCAGCCATAGCTCCTGGATTAATGTGAGAAATTGGAGTTGACTATTCAGGGATCTGGGTAGGGAATACCAGGAAATATCTGAAACAAGATATGAGATAAAAGATTTACAACTGGAGTTGGAGAGTGTTATGGACTAGGGCCTTCTGGATTGGCAACTTCAGGAATTTTTAAGTGCAGTGAGGTTGGTCCTGTGAGGGAGGAAGAATATTTTGGGGGTGAGGAAATTGCTGAATGTGGATCTGGTGCTCTTTTTAGTTTGGAATGGTGTGTCCAGTGTGGAAAAGATGTTAGCTTTGCCTCTGTGGGAGTAGCTAGGATAACCTGGTGAGGGCCCAACCACTTAGGTTGGAGAGGGGCAGAGGAGTCTGCGATACAAACCCAGTCCCCTGGTTGTAAGGACAGGGAAGAGTGTTTTGAGGATGGACTTTCAGGCTGGGGCAAGTAAGTGTTAGCGTACTGTCTTATTAGATGTGTGATATATATTCCCTCTAAAACTTGATGAGGTTTATACCTTTTTTTTTTTTTTGCCAAGTTTTGTGATTCTTTCTTAGTGGTAGGAGTTTCAAGATATAACTTGTTCTTTACCTTGGAGATGATATTCTGGCATATTTGAGACCACTGGATCCCTGAAAACTTCACTTATGTGGCTAGTCCCTGACACTTTGTAGGCTTTCTCTCCCCTCCCTTGGGAGTGTATATATTTTTACATGGCATCCAGAGTCCTTGTTCCTTCTTGCTATTCAGCTCTAGTTAACATAACTGCATGCTTATAGTGAAACAATGTGATGTTGCAGATAATCAAGATCCTTTCAGATTGTGTTGTGAAAGAGGCTGGCAAGTTAACACATTCCTTGACAAAACTGTGAAAGAAGTACTGTTGTCTATCCCAAGTCAATGCAAACTACTTATAATCCTCCTTTCCCATGGCTCTTCCAAAGAACACACTCGCCATACTAATACCTGTATAGGAAGTGACAAAGCCTCTGTTGATGTGTTCCATCTGGCACACCATATGCAATTAAGGCTACCACTGGATCCCATCTGTGGTGGTCCTCTACCATCTGCCACAGTCTATTTATTCTGGGGCCACATTGGTGAGTTGAATGGGAATACAATAGAGATCATTACTCTAGCATCTTCTACATCTTTACAAATGGCATTACTGTCTGCTATTCCACCTGGGCTGTGGTATTGCATCTGAATTACTAATTCAGCAAGAGTGAACTGTTTTTGAGCATTTTCATGTAAGCTTCAATGATATTAAATCCTGAGTCACAGCAATGTGCCCTCATATTAACAAGATCTCCCTTATCTGGACTTACCTTCTGCCCCCAACACTCTGGTCCCATATTCTAGGCATGCTCTCCTTGTCCCTTCCACTTTAGCAGGGCCAGCACTACACTATTTGGACCATCCTAAGCCCTGACCTAGCTATTTGTCAAGTATTCAGGTTTACTATTTGTTAAGGTAATAGAGAACATGAGGATAGAATTTGAATAAGCAAGTATTGTCTTGCAAGGCATCTGTATCAGCTGTGTTTTCTGCATGGGAATCTTCAGGAAACGGGATGCTGCCATCCCGCAGCATGGGGTACTGGGATAAGGATACCAATAAGTTTGAGGGTAAATTTCAGGCCTTGACTTTAGCATGAGACTTCCCAGGACTTGACTTTAGCGTAAAGTCGAGTGTTTGTCTTTGTGTTTTCTGCTACTCTGACAATCAAATCCTGAGTCTGATCTTCAGAACATGTCTGCCCTCTGCTATTGGAGATCAGGATATCTTTAAATGCTGCCAGGGAAATTTTCTGACTTTCACACCATTCTCTGATGTAATTGGCCATCTTGAGTACATCGGTGATCATGACCACCATCAAACAGCCAACTTCAAAGTTGTTCTAATTGCCATTTCCACACATTTCTCAAATGCTAGAGTTATTGACCAAGCCAGTGCCTTCCCTTACACCTGTATCCCATCTTTCATTCCAATGCACAACAGGACAGAGTCAGCAGTTGTAACGCTACAGCAGGCCCGGGTTATCACCAATGCTTTTACAAACATCAAGGGGGGGTCCCTGGGCCGCCTGGCTTGTCAGTGATATAACTCTGGAAGTTATTATAAGAATCTGCATCCTAGGTCTTCTTGTGGAAACAACTGGCTTAGGTCACATTCTTTAGAAGCAGACCCTGAGATGAGGATTCCTGTCAAATGATTCATTAGGATGTATTTCCAGGGAAACCTGACTGAGGAGAGCATAAGTAGATCTGGAAAGGATATAAAGTAAGGTCCAGTTCACTTCTTAGGGGATTTGGGAGATCGTGTGGACCTCGCTTGCCAAGCAGAAGCAAAGGGAGATGGAGCATTTATATCTGTATAGTGATGCTTTGAGTAAGAGCTGTTCCCGGGCAGACACAAATTCCCAGGCACATCCAGGTTGGCAGGCAAAACTGGCTCCTGCAGCCTGAGGGAGCCCTCTAACAGAAAAAACAGGTTCCAGGTGTTGGGAATGAAAACTCATCAGGAGCTGGTATGCAGCAAAATGGTAAAGGGAACTGAGGGGATATTGGTGGAGTATTGAGTGTGTGCTATAATGACTGAATGCAACTATTTTTAAATTTTGATGGGAAAGAGCCTCTAGATTGATTTATTTCTGCACTTCTGCGCATATACTCAACATGTAGTTAATGTGGGCATTGTCTCAGACTGAATCTAAACTGTTTTCATTGCTAATATTCAATAACATCGATACATGCCCGATGTATGGAGAAGTCTAGTAGAGTTGGAGTCACTAGGAACTTCTTCATTAGTGACTAGAGAGTCCCTGGGAATGAGAAAAATCCCTAAGAAACTTACCCAAAGGAATAATGGAGGCAGGCACACGATGTCAGTATTAGCGATCTGGTAACAATGGTTAGGTAAATAGAAAAGAGACGCAATTAATGGAAGAGTAAAAGTGAGTGTAGGTTCAGACTCTAGAATCTCATGGAAGAGAGTGGCTGGTGGGTCAGAACTAAAGGATTGGCTTTACCAAAAACCTCTCCAAGACGTTGCAGACAAAGCAGTTCTGCTTGGAAACTCAGGCAGTGAATTGGAGTGAGATATTTGGAAGATGCCAATGTTTCAATTTCGTTCACCAGATATTCATTAAGTACTGACACTGAGGGCTCAAAGAAGCATGGCTCAGCCTTGGAACATCACAAGTTTCAGCTCATTGACAAGGTTAAAGATCTTTCATTTGCATGGACCATTTCCAAAGTCCTGGTGGGGAAGAGGGCACTAGTGACATGTTCATATAGTCCCATATTTTTGAAAATTTCTAGAAGTAAGCCATTTTAACCACAATTGTTTAAAGTTACTATCTCCATCCTATTGGGTACCATAGTACTATGGAGTTGCTCTTGGCATTTTTTGATATGGTGAAGGGAAGGCTGCAGTGGGAATGCATTTCATTGGACCAAAATTTGGGATACATTTATGTGGTTTGGGTTGATAAGGGGAATTGTTACATTATTGCTAGGTACTTTGGTATAGAAACAGCTTCCTGGAATACTTAAATCATCCACTGTGCCTGTGTAATGGGATATCCAAATAATGGAAAAGAGTAAATCAAGTGAACATATTGGAAATGGTTTTAAACTTCATATTGACTTGACACACAATCTTGACATTACAATGATAACACAAAACTCATAAAAACAGTCCTTCATTAGGATTCCCAGGAATATTTAAACTTCATTGGAGACTGAAGATTTGATAGAAGCAAACTGTGACTGGAGTCACACAAAGATAATTTTTCCCCCCATAAATGTGAATCATTACCCCATCCCTGTCCAAGGTTGGTACTGCCTGGGGAAACAAAGGTTTCACAATGCATGTCATTGTCTTTGAATATCACCTAAAAATTTCCTGTCTTAATAAAATAGCTCACTAATTTTACCTTTAAACAGTTCACTCTCAGTATCATGTGATTATACCTATTTAAAAATTCACACTAAAAATGACTAGATGAAAGACGTGGTACTAGAGGCTTTGTATATGCCTAGAAATGAATTTCTGAACATGAGATCATGGGAAGGGAGATTGGAGTATATGGATAAAAGCAAGAGTACAGAAAAGAATACCAAGCAGAAATCCATCCTAAGTTGGTGCATCTCCGGTCATATGTGTGCTCAAGCAGGGAGGCCAGGTAACTGGATCTTTAATAGAAGAAACTGGTCACTTCTGGACAAACAACCCAAAATGCAGAATTTGAAATGTGATGAAGGTGAGCACATATGAAGAGCAGAAGGGGAAGTGTCCCTTGCCCTTTGTTAGAACAACAAGGAGGTGAGACCCACACTTCGAGAGGAGAACTTTCTCACGATGTTGAGTCAGACCTTGATGGCTGACCCTCAAGTGCCCTCCTTCCTTCAGGATTCTACACTCTGATGGTGAAATACCAACTAATGAAATATCCCTCTCTGCTATATGCCCATCTCCCTTTATCAAATTTTGTGAAAAGATTTCTCTTACTTTCTCTACCCTCTCATTCCCTTTCACTTACCGACAAACTGCGAACTGACCTGTACACTCATCTCTCTGCTAAATGTACCCTGAAAAAGCTACCAAGAATTCCTCATCACAAGGAGGCTAAGTTCCTTTTCTGACCTCATCTACTTGAACTTCTTCACTACACTTGTTATTGCTCATCAGCAGTCTTTCTTAAAAGGCCATGCCCATGAGTCTTCAATGAGAGTTGTACTCTCCTGTTATTTCTCACACTTACACACCTGACTCTTTCATCTCTGTTATGTGTGGGCATTTCTTTTTTTGGCCCTTCTTAGATGTTGGCATTCTGTCTTGGCTTGTGGTTTTCCATCCACAGGCTCTTACTGAGGCATTTGGTCTAAACTCAGGTCTGCGGTACTGAACATTTGCATTTTTCTCCTTTATCTTTTTCTCCATTTCACTCTTATAGTTTCTATAAGTTTCAGATTAGTGATCTGGCCCCTTATTGAGCTTGCTGCTATGGCTTGAATTATGTTCCCCCAAAGGATGTTGAAGTCCTAATACTCAGTATCTGTGAATGTGATTGTATTTGAAAATAGGGTCTTTGCAGATGATCAAGTTAAGATGATGTCATTAGAGTAAACCCTGATGTGATATGACTGATGTCCTTATAAAAACAGAACATTTGGACACAGAGACAGATGTGTACAGAGAAGAGATGATGTGAGGACTCAGGGAGAAGGCCATCTACAAGCCAAAAATTGTCTGAGACTACTAGAAGCTAAAAGAATAAAAAAGGCATAGAACAGATTCTTCCTTATAGCCTTTAAAAGGAACCAACCCTGCCAACACCTCGATTTTGGACTTCTAGAGCTGTAAGACAATAAATTACTTTGTTTGAGCAACTTAGTTGGTGGCACTTTGTTAGAGCAGCCCCAGGAAGCTAATACACATGTCCACATGATTATCCCACTATTACCATTAACTCAACATGTCCCAAAGTCAAATCATGATCTTCCCCGCTGAAAAGGGCTCATCTTGCTACATTCCCTGGCTTAGTTGTTCAGACCACTCTCTATTCAGTCTCTCACATTAGAGACCCAGGACTCCTTGACACTTTTCTTCTCCTGCATCCATCTAGTCAAAAACCATGATCTTCCAGTTCTATCTTATAAACATTTTTCATGTCTCTCTTCTTGTCTTCATCTCAGCTTTTTCTGCCCTCACCACTGCTGAGGTGAGTTCAGTCCTCACTACTGCTGTGTAGGCCACTGCACAGATGGTCATTTAACTAGTCTTCTTGATTCTCAAATTAGGTCAGAGTGTTCTATCTAGAGAGAAAATCTGCCCTTGTCAGTATTGATATGATTCCTATCATACTGCTTGTAGGTTATACCTTGAACTCCCTAACACAGCAAACAAGACCTCCTTACTCTGGCCACTCCCACTTCCCTAAATCCACCTTCTCTCCTTTCCTAACTGATTATGCAGGCAAGTGATTCCCTTCAGAATCCATCCTGCTTCTTACTTTTATTCTTTTGTGCAAGTTGGGCTCCAGTGTAAAATATCTTACCACTTGGTAAGATTTTACCATCACTTGGAATCGGCACTCCTCATCTGGTCTTTCATGATGCCCTACATGTTTCTCTGCTATTGTACCTAAAACAGTGTAGTGCTATCAATTATTGTGTCTTTCCTCCACTTTAGGATGGAGAATGACTGTGCCTCCTTTACTCCAGTGTCCCAAGATTCCAGATTCTGGAACATAACAAGATCTAAGTAATTGTTGTGGTTATTCAAGCTTGGCCCTCTAAATCCTTGCCTTGATTTTTCACTTAGAACTATTGTCTATCACATTGCCTCTATATGAAATGGCTCAATGCCTCTAATCTTTATTCTACATGGTAGAAATTAGAACAGGGGTCAATCCAGACCATAGTCCTGAACTCACCAACACCTACAAATTATCATTTTACAAAAATACAAATTCATTCATATTTGAGCTTTATAAGTAATTGAACCACTGAACTATGTGGATCCCAGAAGAAGAAAAATGACAGACTTACAATGGGTAATTTGTGAGCATTGTTGAAAATGACAATTTACACAGGATTAGGCAGGTGGTAGGGAAACCACAAGGGATTCTGGAGAACCGAACAGCTTGCCAAATAAAGGCAAATAAAAAAGGCTGAAGGGACAAGGAAGAGAGAAGTTATGAGAACATATGGAAAGGGCTGCCTTCCAGGAGCTGTGAACTGTAGAAAGCTCAGCCATCTGCACACCCTAAAAGAGAGACTGTCAGAGATAAACACCGCCTGACTCTACCTATCTCCCTTAAAAATCTAGCAGAAGCCAATGGACAAGGGAGTACAGGATGCAATCCATATGGGTCAGCCTCTTGGAGCCTGAGCAGGATGGAGATAAATGGAGGACATATAGGGAAGAACACATGGACAATACTCAACCCAATAAATAGAAAGTAATATTAATTTTCACAAACAGGAAAAATCATTGCCCTAGTGAGTTTGTCACCCCGGATTAAAGGTTTTAAAACATTGTTTCTTGTATCCAGTAATGGAATCTAACATACTGGGTCCCACACAGCAAGCCCTCTTAATCCATTGTTAATTCTATGAAGATGACAACTGCATTCTTAGTTATCATTTTATTTGAATTTTTATTCATCTTACATTTCTCTCAAAAAAAAGTCTGAATAAAATAATGAACTGATCTCATAATTGAAAAGAGCCACAGGAAAAAAAAAATCTTTTCACTGGTATTTTCATCACGGAAGCCTTCTATTTTATGCAATACGGTGCCTAATGACTTTTCCATCCAAGGTGGGATAACTAAGAAAGGAAAATGATATAGAATTTAAAACTTCAGCTGCTTCTATGGCTATAACCATGCATAAAATCACTATCCTTTACCTTCATAAACGAGTGAGTTTTCTCTCTTTAGCCCATTCTTGGACATCTGCTTCTCCAAATATGAGGTAGAAGAGTAGTCCTAACAGGTTAACGGCAAACAGCAAGAAGAAGACATTCCTCCACCCAAACTCAGGGTCCTGGAGACACAAAACCCCAAGTATATATTACCCCTTTCATATTTTCCTATGAAACATTATATTAATAGTTCAGATGACAACATTCACTGGTGGGTTTCCTTGTAGAAATTCATTTCCTGAAAGTGGCTTGATAGTTAAATGCAAAGGATTTCAAAATACATTCAGTGTTCTTAATAAAGGGTATTTGGGGAACTTTGTGATTAATCTACATAAATGCATTTGTCACTATTTATCCAAGTGCCATACATTTTCTCTTTTGCATGAATCTCGACTATATAAACTATGCTGAGAATCCTTTCAAGATTCTTCTTATGTTGTGCTGGAATTGTGAAAAGATTATGGGCTTTTGAGCTATACATGTTTAAGTTTGAAGAATTCTGATTGTTCATCCTTATTGTGGAAAGACTTATGCTAACAGATTTTCAGCTTGTTAGGGAATGAAAATAATAAAATTCAATTTTCACAACTGATGTGAGAATCAATATCAATAGTTAAATGAGTTTACAGCATATGAAATACCTATGCATACATCACACACTTAATGTTTGCTTTCATTATCCCCTTTTTGGCATGATTATGCAAATGAAAATTTTTAATGTATAATTATTTACAATTTTCTAGAAATTTTGTTTTTTTAAATCAATTAAATTTTAAAAGGAACTATTTTATCACTATTTGAAATAGATAACCAGAATTACTTGCCTTTAATAAAAAACAACCATAATGAATGCAATGAAACCAAAACACTGTTATTCTAGTGAAAAGAAAACAATGTTCATAGCAGCCTTATTGATAATAGCCAAACAACTCAAATGTCCATAAAAGTACAATAGATAATTTGTGATTAGCCACACAATGAGACACTACACAGCAATAGAAAAGAACAAGCTATTATAACTTCCAATGGATGAATCTCAAAAACATGATGGATGAAATAAGCTAGGGTAGGTACTATATGATTCCATTTCTATGAAAGGCAAGAATGGGAAAATATAATCTATGAAAACAGAAGTCAAGGTAATAGTTACAACCAGGAGGGGTACTGAATGGAAAGGAGCACAAAAGAACCATCTGGGTGATGGAAATATTCTTTTCTTTTCTTTTCTTTTTTTGAGACAGAGTCTCACTTTGTCGCCCAGGCTGGAGTACAGTGGCACGATCTCGGCTCACTGCAGCCTCCGCCTCCTGGGTTCAAGCAATTCTCCTGCCTCAGCCTCCCGAGTAGCTGGGACTACAGGTATGCACCACCACATCCGGCTAATTGTTTTGTATTTTTAGTAGAGACGGGGTTTCACCATGTTGGCCAGGATGGTCTTGATCTCCTGACCTCGTGATTGCCTGCCTCGGCCTCCCAAAGTGCTGGGTTTACAAGTGTGAGCCCACCGCACCTGGCCGGAAATATTATTTTCTAAAAACAACTTTTAGGCTTAGAGGCACATGTGCAGTTGTGGTATATAGGTAAACTCATGTAATGGGAGTTTGTTGTACAGATATTTCATCACCCAGGTACTAAGCCTAGTCCCCAATAGTTTTTTTTTTCTGACTCTTTCCCTCCTCCCACCCTTCACTCTCAAGTAAGATCCAGTGTCTGTTGTTCCCCTCCTTGTGTCCATGAATGCTCATCCTTTGTCTTCTACTTATAAGTGAGAACATGTGGTATTTGGTTTTCTGTTCCTGCGTTAGTTTTCTAGGATAATGGCCTCCAGCACCATCCATTTTCCTACAAAAGATATGATCTCATTCTGAATAGTATTTCATGGTGTATATGTACCATATTTCTTTATCCAATCTGTCATTGATGGGCATTTAGGTTGATTCCATGTCTTTTCCATTATGAATAGTGCTGCAGAGAACGTAAGTGTTCATGTGTCTTTATGGTAGAATAATTTACATTCTTTTGGGTATATACCCAGTAATGGAATTGCTGCGTAGAATGGAAGATCTGTTTTTAGCTCTTTGAGGAATCACCACACTGCTTTCCACAACGGTTGAACTAATTTACACTCCCACCAACAGTGTATAAGCGTTCCCTTTTCTCTGTAACCTCTCCAGCATTTGTTATTTTTTGACTTTTTAATAATAGACATTCTGACTGCTGTGAGATGATCTCACTGTGGTTTTGATTTGCATTTCTCTAATGATCAGTGATATTTAGCTTTTTTCATACCTTTGTTGGCTGCATGTATGTTTTCTTTTAAAAATTTTTTATTTTATTTTATTATTATTTTTTAATTTTTTTATTTCCATAGGTTTTTGGGGAACAGGTGATATTTGATTACATGAGTAAGTTCTTTAGTGGTGATATGTGGGATTTTGGTGCACCCATCACCCAATCAGAATACACTGAACCGGATTTGTAGTCTTTTAACCCTTACCCCCTTCCCACACCTTCCCCCTGAGTCCTCAAAGTCCACTGTGTCACTCTTATGCCTTTGCATCATCACAGTTTAGCTCCCACTTGTGAGTGAGAATGTATGATGTTTGGTTTTCCATTCCTGAGTTACTTCACTTAGAATAATAGTCTCCAATCCCATCCAGATTGCTGTGAATGCCATCAATTCATTCCTTTTTATGGCTGAGTGGTATTCCATCATATATATGTATACCACAGTTTCTTTATCCACTCATTGATTAATGGGCATTTGGGTTGGTTGCACATTTTTGCAATTGTGAATTGTGCTGCCATAAACATGTCTGTGCAATTATCTTTTTCGTATAATGACTTCTTTTCTCTGGGTAGAAACCCAGTAGTGGGATGGCTGGATCAAACAGTAGTTCTACTTTTAGTTCTTTAAGGAATATCCACACTGTTTTTCATGCTGGTTGTACTAGTTTACATTCCTACCAATAGTCATCCAGGCCAACAACAATGGCCAACCTTGCAGGAGTAAGGTAATATCGCATTGTGGTTTTGATTTGCATTTCCCTGATCATTAGTGATGCTGAGCATTTTTTCACATGTTTTTTGGACATTTAGTAGGGAAAGGACACCTTATTCAACAAATAGTGCTGGGATAATTGGAAAGCCACATGTAGGAGAATGAAATTGGATTCTCATCTCTCACCTTATACAAAAATCAACTGAAGATAGATCAAGGACTTAAATCTAAGACCTGAAACTATAACAATTCTAGAAGATAACATCAGAAAAACCCTTCTAGACACCGGCTTAGGCAAGGATTTCATGACCAAGAACCCAAAAGCAAATGCAATAAAAACAAAAATAGCTGGGACTTAATTAAACTAAAGAGCTTTTGCACAGCAAAAGAAACAGCAGAATAAACAGACAACCCACAGGCTGGGAGAAAATTTTCACAATCTATACATCTGAGAAAGGACTAATATCCAGAACCTACAATGAACTCAAATAAATTAGCAAGACAAAAATAAACAGTCCCATCAAAAAGTGGGCTAAGGACATGAGAAGACAATTCTCAAAAGAAGAACGTGTATGTCTTCTTTTGAAAAGAATCTGGTCACATTCTTTGCAAACACTTTAAAGGGTTCATTTGTTTTTTGTAAACTTAAGTTCCTTGTAGATGCTGGATACAAATTCAAAGTATTGCCCAAAACATAGCAGGTTGGCATTTATGCATGGAATCATTATCCCAAGACACCTATGCAGCTGTGTGGTTTCAGTTTCAAAGACAGCAATCACTATTTAGTTCTTTGCTTGAGAATGAACCAGGCTTTAGGTCACCAAAGAAATGATTCTATATTTTTCTTTAGCAGGTTCATCTTAATGACAAATTACCCAAAATTTAACTTTATTTTTCAGTCTTTGAATACATGCTATCACCTTTATAAGTGGATTTAGCAGAGCATCTTTGGAGTCCTTCATGACAAAAAAATTGTACCTGACTAAGAAGAAATCCACTGACAGTGGGTACAATGACAGGTGCTATGCTCGAAAATCCTCTTGATGCTCCCATGAGAAAACTGGAATACCTGTGGGTGACAGGAATGTTCCGGTCTAGATCCAGAGATGTTTGACAGTATCCTTCAGCCCTGATCCATGTATGAATCTATAACTCAATTATATTTCACAATTATATATAATTATAATTAGACAATTATATCAAAAAGGACTTGCACTATGTATATTCAATGAGAGGGATGAGGACAAATCAATACCCCTTCCTCAACATACCTGAAAAAAACGGCCACAGGTCTATCTGTGGTTCTTCCCCTATGGTTTATTCATTTCCTAAGTTTGGGGATCCCAGAAAGCTGAAAGCTAAATCTTTTAAAGAAAATGTGAAACTGATAGTGGAGATCAGAGTCCTACCTTGGAGCAATATCTAAGACATTGATATAAATCCCTGACTGACACAATGTGCTTAATCCGCAAGAGAGCGTCAGCAAGGCAGTTGCTGTGATATAGCCGGAATTGAGGTAAGGCAGAGACACAATGAGTGCTGAAGAGGGGAGACTTCCTAGGAAATGAAGAAGAAACCAATTAAACAGTGAGATGCATTCTTTGGCTGTTGTATGCTACGCAAATTATCTGACCCTCAAGCTCTGTTCTTACCTAAAATTGTGGCAATTTTCCTCACAGTGATGAGTCTAAACTTTTTGGTTAGAAGGAAATCTGCCAGATAGCCTCCCACCATGCCTATGACCCAGGCAACAATAAAAGGAAGGGCAGATAGAAGTCCATTCTAAAGAGAAAAGATTGAGTAAATTACCATAATAAAGGCAGTGAGACCACAACTTTTGTTGATAAATTACTACTAATAATAATGACATTCTGAAATCATACTTTCTTAGGAAAATCAGTAACCTCTTAAATCATACCCCAGAAAAGCTACTGGCATGAGTATTAAATATTAGATTATTTTTGGTAATAAGAAATACATTTCTCAGATGGAATGATTAGTGAGGGCAGAGTAATTGGTCAGCCATGCAAGCAGGAGAAAGGAAGGGAAGGAAACATACTCACGTCTCTGATGTTAACATGGTACACAGAGCTGATGTAAGTTGGTATGTATACAACCATTGTGCTAACTAACCATTGATGGCTGAAACAGCCTAAACATATGGACCAAATGGGTAGAGATCTGAGCATAGCTTTGATGGGAAGAGGCTGCTTAGAAGACCCGACCTGAAAACAAATTTACTGGTCATAACGGTAAATCCGACAGATGCTCACACACTTAGTCACCCTTAAAAATCCAGATTTAAGGCCTCAAGAAAATCCAGATACAAGGTCTCAGAAAAGTGTTGGTGTCTTTATATGTACCTGTTGTTTCAAGGAGGATATGATGTATTCTTTTTCTGAGGTGCTTATCCATGGATAGGAAACGGGGTCATCATAAATCACAACAAACCAGAGAAGGCAGCAGACACAGCCAACACCTCCTGTAAGCACAGGGTAAATTTGGTAAATGGGCTGTTTTCTGCTTTTTGGGTGAACTTCTTTTATGTTGGGATATTTTCTGTTATAAGTTCTAGGAAAAGCTCATGTTCATTATATCCCTTTTCCATTTCTGAAACAATTCACCCATTTTACATTTCCTGTTTATTTGTGTGTGTGGAAATTACAGAGCCTAGAAGTGGCACCACACTTGATATCTCAATATTTTTAATATTAGCCATTCTGATAGGTGTGTGGAGATATCTTATGGTTTTTATTTGTATTTCTTAAATAACTAAGGATGAGTTGAGCATCTTTTCATGTGCCTATTTTCCCCCTATCTTTTTTTGATGAAGTGTCTTTGCCCAATTTTTTTTTTTTTTGGTTTTTTATTATTGAGTTTTGAGAATTATTTACACATTCTGAATAAAAATCCTTATTATACATGTGTTTTGCAATTATTTTCTCCTGGGATCAGCATGTCTTTTTATTATCCTAACAATGCCTTTTGATGAGGATATATTTCTAACTTTGATGAAATCCAATTTATCAATTAATTTTATGAATTATGCTTTTGGTGTCATATTTAGGAAATCTTTGTGTAAATAAGAAAGATTAACGCCTATGTTTTCTTCTAGAAGGATAATAATTTCAGGTTTTATATTTAGGTCTGGGATTCATTTTGGTTTAGTTTTTATATATGATCCAAGGTATGGATGGAAGTTCATTTTTTTGCATGTGGATATCCAATTTTTGAGCACCTTCTGTTAAAGAGACTATCCTTTATCTATTGAACCTTTCTCAAATATCAGTTCAGTTTACTTTATATGAAGTAAATAGAATCATGAGTCTATGATTCTATTTTGTTTCATTGATCTATTTGCCAATGTTTATGTCAATACCACTCTGTCTTAAAGACTATAACTTTATAATATGTCTTGACATCAGGTAGTGTTAGTCCTACAACTTTGTAATTTATTTTCAAAGGTGTTTGGCTATTCTAAAATCTTTGCATTTCCATAAAAATTTAGTTTTCAGTGCACAGCCCTCACATATCTTTTGGCAGGTTTATCCCTATGTTGAATATTTTTTATGCTATTGAAAATCGTACTGTTCTCTTTAATTGACATTTCTTATTATTTCAGCTTTTCTACATCTGAAAACATCTCTATTTTGCATTTGTTTTTGAAACTTTTTTTTTTCACTGGGTCTAGAATTCCAGGTTGACAGATTTTGGTTTTTGTTTCTGTTTCGGTTTGTTTTTTTGCACTACTTTAAAGATGTTGTTCCACTGCCTTCTCTCTTGCACTGCTTCTAACAGGAAGGAATGCTGCATTCAGCATTATCTTTGTTCCTCTCTCTATAACACATCTTTTAGCTTTGGCTACTTTAAGATTTTCTCTTTACTTCTGGTTTTGAGCCATTTGATTAGAATGTAACTTGATGTAGTTTTCTTCATGTTTCTTGGGCTTGAGGTTCATTGACTTTTTTGGATCTGTGAATTTATAGTTTTCATCCAATTTGGAAAATTTTTGGCCATTGTTTCTTCAAATATTTTTGAAAAATGTTGTTTTTGTTCTCCCATCCTACTTTTCTGTTTTGGGCACTCCACAACTTACTGATGTTCTCATTTTAATATTATAATTTTCTCTGTGTGGTGGGTTTTGGATGATTTCTATTGTTGTTTTTAAGTTCATTAATCTTTTATTTTATTGTATCTAATCTGTCATTAACTCCATTCAGTGCATTTTTCATCTCAGATACTGTACTTTTCATCTCTATAAGTTTTATTGGGTCTTCTTTATATTTACTATGTCTCCACTTAACTTTCTGAACATACAGACTTATGCTATAATGTAGCTATAGTAACTATTTCAATGCCCTTGTTTACTAATTCTAAAATCTCTGTCAGCTCTGGGTTAGTTTTGATCAATTTATTATTCTCTTCATTATAAGTTGTATTTTTCTCCTTTTCTTCATGTCTGGTAATCTATGGTTGGAGCCAGACATTATGAATTATATCCAGCTGGGTGCCAGATAGTTTTGTATTCCTGTAAATCTTATTAAGCTTTGTTTTGGGATATGATTAAATTATGTGGAAATAGTTTGCCCCTTTTAGGTCTGGCCATCACCATTTGTTAGAGAGATCCACAGCAGTACTCCCTGTAAGACTAATAATTTCTCACTACTGAGGAACAACATTTATGAGTATTCCATCCAGTGACCCATGAATTATGAATTTTTCAGTCTGTCTTATGAAAATGAGTACTATCTCTGATTTTCTGTGAGTGTAGGCACCGTCCTCAGCCTTCACCAATGATTTTCCCCTGCCTACATGAATGAATGAAAAAGTCCTCTTTTTCATTCTTGATATTGGTTATTTTTCTTTCCTTTCTCTCTCTCTCTCTGTTTATCTCTCTTTCTCTCTCTCTCCATCTGGCTAAAGATTTGTCAATGCTATTGATCTTTTCAAATAACCAATTGTAAATTGAACAAAATCTCTTTTTTGGTTTAAATCCATTAATTTCTGCATGTTTTTTTTTTTTTTTTTTTTTTTTTTGGAGACAGAGTCTCGCTCTGTGGCCCAGGTTGGAGTGCAGTGGTGCGATCTTGGCTCACTGCAAGCTCCGCCTCCCGGGTTCACGTGCCATTCTCCCGCCTCAGCCTCCCGAGTAGCTGGGACATTAGGTGCCCGCCACCACGCCTGGCTAATTTTTTTGTATTTTTAGTACAGAAGGAGTTTCACCGTGTTAGCCAGGATGGTCTCGATCTCCTGACTTCATGATCCGCCCACCTCGGCCTCCCAAAGTGCTGGGATTACAGGCGTGAGCCACCGCACCCGGCCTTCTGCATGTATTTTTGTTATTTTCTTCCTTCAGTTTGATTTAGGTTTACTTAAATCATCTTTTTCTAGGTATTTTAAGGCATAAGCTTAGATCATTAATTTGAGAACCATCTTTTCTAATATAAGCATTTAATGTTAAAAGTTTCTCTCTAAGCTTTGTTTTAATTACATCCTACAAAATTTGATATATTGATTTTCATTTTCATTCAATTTGATTAAAAACTTTCCCTCGTGTCTTTTTCTTTAACTCATTGGAAGTATGTTGCTAAGTTTTTAAATATTTAGGGTATTTCCAGAGGCTTTTCTGTCACTCATTTCTAGTTTAATTTTATTATGTTCAAAGAACATATTTTCTATTATTTTCAACTCATTTAAATTTGTTCCATCTTATTTTTGTAGGCCATAAATTGTCTATCCTGGTGAATGTTTGAAGCACACTTGAAAATAAGTACTCTACTGTTGTTGAATAAAATGTACTTAATCTGTGTTCTTATTCTATTGATTATTAAGAGAAGAATATTGAGGCCTCCATCTTTAATTGTGGATTTGTTGATTTCTCCTTACTCTTCTATCAGTTTTTGCTTCATGTATTTTGAAGTTCTGTCATTAGGTGCATATACATTTCAGATTGTTATATCTTCTTGTGAATTGGTAATATTCCTTGTTCTGAAGCCATTCTTATCTGATATTAATATATCCCCCCAGTTTTCTCTTGATTAATGTTTCCATGGTAACTAACATCTTTGTTCCCTGGACTCTGTACAGTCCCAAGAACCAACAGGACTCTATCTCTGCCCTCAAAGAGCTCACTGTCCAGAAGGGGAGTTAAATGTATAAACAAATGAATGCAAACTAATGAAAGGTTTGAAAGTAGAATGTAAAAGCTACTAAAGTGGAAGTTATGGAGGGAGCAGTTCTTTCTCAATTTCTAATAACTAAATGGAAGGCTTTGGGACAAATGCGGAGGTTGGCAAAATTCATCCTCTTGGTGTTTCGTGTTTTCTCCTCTCTAAGAAACTTGAGCCTTACTCAGGATGCCTTGCTCCTGTGCTACTCAGGATGCCTTGCTCCTGTGCTTACTCTGAGACAAAACCCACAGCAGCACCTACCTGTCTGGATTTCTTCCTTCCGTGTCTTACCACTGACCTGCAAGCCTATCCCCTACTGCCTTCAATGGCAGCAGAGTATGACTGATTACCCTGTGATAATAACACAATATGGTGGGTTAATAGCACTTTATAATAGGCAGGAGAACTTCCAAATTTTTTTATGGCATTGACTAATTATTCCCTTAGATTAAGATATTTGGTTTTCTAGGATTTATCTGTCTTGACTCATTTCCTTTGGAAAACTATACACAAAATATACTTACTGAGGAGAATCTTTCTGCATATGAAACTCAGGGAACTGGGAGATAGTAGCTTACCAAAGATATAGAAGACAAAGGGCCACCCAAGGGTTTCACTAATGAAGCCACCTATGAGGATGGCAGTAAAGCATCCCAGTAACATTCCTGCAAAGAGAGAGAAAGTAAGCTGTGGGACTCTAGACTTCTACCTGGAAAACACATACAAATTGATAGATGACATATTATAGAGCAGTAGCTTTAAACCATAAGGAGACGAGCATATTAGAATGCACAAACTTCAAATTTATGATTTAAGAACATATAATTTCATATGTTCTCCTGAGAGCACATTTTTCTGGTAGTTCCCTATAACATAGCAGATGACTGTCATACTTCCTCTCATGTTCTTTTAATTACACAAGTTATATATGCTTATTGTAAAAGTAAACTACTACAAGGAGCCAAAGTTCCCCTCATGTGCCTTCCTAGCCATTCTCACTCGTCTCTGTAAAATTAACCATTAGTAACAATGTGTTATATAATACATAATTGCATACCTTTTCTTTTCTGCACACATAAATAATATATATCTACACATAGTCATCCTCTTGGTAAATGCATTACGTAATATGTAGACAGAAAGCTAGATTTTTCTATAAATGTGCTAATAAATATTTTAACTTTTATAGCTTTTCAGAATGTTCTAACATGGTAGGGCATGTTCGCTTTTTATTACTTTTTCAATCATTTCTAGATGATTGTGTTTTTTATTTTCCAGATGAACATTAATATTAAGTCATCAAATACTATATATGTGTATAGGTATTATCATTTTTAAGTAAACAGGATCATAATGTTTCTATTGTTTTGTGACTTCACTTTTTATTCAACAATTAGTCTTGTAAGCGTTTTTATGTCATTCTAGAGTCTACGCAGTTACTCTGAACATAGACATAATTTATTTCTGCACAATAGAATAGCAGAAGTGGACTTGCTAGGTCAAAGTCTAGATCAAAGGCTACGTGCATTTTAAATTTTGGTAAATACTGACAAAGTACCTTACTAGAAGTGTGTAGTACCAAATTAAATTGCCAAAAATATTGGGTTTTTTTTTCTCATCTCTTTGACAGCATTTAATATCCTCAAAGGTTTTTTCTTGTTGTTGTTTCTTTTTTTGTTGTTTGAGACAGAGTCTTGCTCTGTCACTCAGGCTGGAGATTTATTACAATGGTGCAATCACAGTTTACTGTAATCTCAAACTCCTAGGCTCAAGCAATCCTTCCACATCAACCTCCGAAGAAATGGAATGACAGGTGCATGCCACCACACTTGGCTAACTTAAAAAAATTCTTTATAGAGATGGGAATCTTGCTGTGTTGCCCAGGCTGGCCTTGAACTCCTGGCCTCAAGTGATCCTTCCATCTTGGCCTCCCAAAGCACTGGATTACAGGCATAAGCCACCATGCCCAGCCCCTCAAAGTTTTTAAAAGTTGCCTTTCTGGCCGGGCGCAGTGGCTCATGCTTGTAATCCCAGCACTTTGGAAGGCCGAGGCAGGCGAATCATGAGGTTAGGAGTTCGAGACCAGCTTGGCCAACATGGTGAAATCCTGCCTCTATTAAAAATACAAAAAATTAGCTGGGCGTTCTCAGGGGCACCTGTAATACCAGCTACTGTGGAGGCTGACGCAGGAGAATTGCTTGAACCCAGGAGGCGGAGGTTGCAGTGAGCCGAGATTGCGCCACTGCACTCCAGCCTGGGCGACAGAGTGAGACTCTGTCTCAAAAAAAAAAAAAAAAAAATTACCTTTCCAATATTAATGAAAAAGTGAAAAAGAGAGCTAGGGGTGGTGGCTGATGCCTGTAATCCCAGCACTTTGGGAGGCCGAGGTGGGAAGATCAGTTGAGGCCAGGAATTCAAGTCCAGCCTGGGCAATGAGTAATATCCTGTGTCTACAAAAAACAAAAAGTAAAAAATTATCCAGACATGGTGGTGCCTGACTGTAGTTTCAGCTATTCAGGAATCTGAGGAAGGAGCATCACTAGAGCCTAGGAGTTCAAGGCTGCAGTGAGCTGAGATCATGCCACTGCACTGTAGCCTGGGTGGCGAAGGGAGACCTTATCTCAAAAAAAAAAAAAGTAGAGTAAATAATAAAGAGTATCCCATTTTAATTTCCTTTTTCATAGTAAAGTTGCACGTTTTTCTATCTTTAACTATTATTTTTTATTTCTTTTGTGAACTGTCTGTTCATAATCTTTTTATCTTTGTTTCTTTTGCTTGTTTAATTTTGCCTTAATTTACAGAATCTTTATGTATTGTGAATGATCCTTTGTCTGTATGCTGGCTGCAATTATCCTCCCATCTTTAATTTTTTTAATGTGGTGTTTTGTAATTCAACTGTAAGTTTTTACGGAGCCAGATCTCTCATTCTCCTCTATAATGACCTCTACGTTTACTCTTTTGTTTAGAAGATCTTTTCCTACCACATAACGTCAAAAAAAAAAAAAGAAAAAAAAGTCACTTATTTACTTGTGTTGCCTCATTTAAGCCCTAGTAGTCAGATTTATAATTGAGTAAATAGAGAGAAAAATTAAATAACTTGCCAAAGGTCACATTGTTAATAACAGGGGAAGGTAGTGTTGGAAATGAGACTGCCTGACCCCAGGCCACAGATACATGGAGATGGAAAACAGCATCTTTTTCTACCACTAAGTCCACCAAATTTGCATCTTTTCCTTGAACTCTTTGCCTTTGCTTTGACTATAATGGGGGACAGGTTCCTGCATTGCATCCATCCAAAGCCAGGTCCCTTCTTGTCCTCTGGACCCCATCTCCTCCAATCTATCCCAGGTTTGGACTCCTAAGAGTATGTATTCTCTCTCTGCATCCTCACTTCCCTCCTCAACTCTTGAATGTTTCCCATAATTTCTGAGTACACAAGCATATGTTATTCATGAACTTTTTTTGGAGGGGATGGAGTCTCATTCTGTTACCCAGGCTGGAGTGCAGTGGCATGATCTCGGCTCACTGCAACCTCTGCCTCCTGGGTTCAAGCGATTCTCATGACTCAACCTCCTGAGTAGCTGCAAATATAGCTTCCTGTGGCTCATGATAAAAACAAAACAAAACAAAACAAAACACACCCTTCAGAACCCCCTCCATGCACTTTGACATTTCTCTGCCTCTCTTCAAGGCAAAACTTCCCAAAAGGCTGTGCTAACTGCCTCCATTCTCTTTCTTCTTATTCTTTCCTCAGCCAACTCCCAACACACCTCCATTTTCACTCTCAAAACACTGACACGGTTCTTGTTAAGGTGTTTTGTGACTTCCACCCTGCTGGACTTGTGGCCACTTGCTCAACCCCAGCAGCATGTGGTACAGTTGGCCTCTGACTGACTGTTGTCTTGAGGCAGCTGTCACACACACCTACCTTGTTTTCCCACTGCCTCATGGGAAGCTTCTCAGAACATTTGCTGGCCTGTCATTCTCTTCTGTCTAAGTCCTGAATGCTGGAAGTCCTCACAGCTATTCCCTTGATTTTCTCCTCTTCTCCATCTATGTTCTTTCTCTAGGTGGTCTTGTCCAGGACCAGGGCTTTAAATACCATTTCTATTGAAATACTGAGGAATTTTCAGTATGTCCTGTTTTTTCTCATGTCGCTACCAAATTCCAAATTATAAGCCAATCTCCATTCAGATGCCTAACAGTTCATGGCTAATAGTTGATTTACATTGGCTTATTTAATGCTCAAATACACACACACAAATACATATACATGCATTCACATCTATCATAGGTTGATATCACATGTATTAACCTGTGTGTGAGCTGTATCATATATATGTTCATATCTAAAGTGTATTTGTTTTGTTTTTATGTTTTGGGCTTCATTAAAGTTGTATCATCCTGGATGTCCTTTTCTAAGACACTGTAATGTGTTTGCTGTATTATATGAGAATATTCATTTCTACCTTAGAAAATAAATAAATTCACCTTATAAGACATTAGTCAAATATCATAAGATGTGTTGGGTATTGATTATAACAAAGTCAGTAATTTGAGAGATATGGATAGATGAGATTCATAAACTATGTAAATTAAAGATAAGTAATTTACTAAGAATACCATGTTTATCTTTGAATATAGATATAAAAGGATATGAAGACCAAGAGACAAATAATATTAGTCAGGCAATGATTTTAAACATGAGTCTCTGAACATTCATGGAGGTTTAGAGGCACTCAATCAGGGAAGCACTGAAGTTTGTGAAATTCAAATGTGGCCATCTCTTCCCAACTCTGCGTTCAGTGACTTGACTGAATCTTGAAATCAGCTATGGTGGGAGTGTTTAGAGCACAGAAACTGATAAATACTATAAATGAGCTTATTTTCCCCCCTAAAAAGCCTGTTTAACAACACAGCACTGCTGACTCAATATTTGTCTGGGCCTAATTCAGTACCCACTGGAGATACCCATTCTGTCTCCATGTGCTCAAGAAACACAAAGCCATGGCAGTTAGTTAGTTCTTTAGGGAATGGAGCTGTGGCCAGCAGCACTCATCCTTGTGTTTTTCCCATACAGCAAGTGCATGTCATTGGCCCTGATGCCTTTCCTCTGGACACCCCTGTTTGAACCTCAACTCTGGTTCTCAGAACCACACCATCAGTGGTAAGGCTGGTGCAGCAGAAAGACAGAGAAAGGATGTTTGAACACTTGAACATTCTGCACACTTGATTCAGGTCATGCGATCCTTCTACCTGCTTGTACTCTATCTCACATGGGATAACATACCCCATTTCCACTCCTCCCCCTTACTTTTTACCCTGTGTTTTAAATTGACTGTAACTGTGCAATTACAGCACCTAATGTGGTCTGTGAGCCTATCTGTTCTATGACCTCTGGGATAGCTTGTCTGGTAGTGTACCTTAGGCTACCAAAGTATCAAGGCATTTTCCTCCATGATAGATGTGCTTTATTCATACAACATTTGTGTTTCTAAGATTAATCTATGTTGTTTCATGCAGCTACAGTTTCTTCATTTTCACTGCTGTATGATATTGCATTATTTTTAGATTAAAGGTGTTTGGGTTAATTTTTCTTATCAACTATTAAACCTGCCTTAAATATGAACTACCAGTTCTGTTTGGTCTGCTCAGTCCCTTAAGTTACTAAACTCCTTAAGTGGCTGCAAAGTTTCCTATCTACAATAGGTGCACCTTTCTAGGCTCCCTTAGAAGACAGTACACCGTGTCCTAGAGGCTGGCAATGCTTGAGCCCTTCCACTAAAGGCAGGTGCCTTCTGGGGTAGTCCTATGCCAACCTTATAAGCTGAGCAATTCCATCCACCAGTACAGTCTGCAGAGGAGCCCCAGGATCATCAGAAATGGCAATTTCTATAAGATCTACTGAGGAAAGCAGGCAGGTTCAGCTCACTCCACCTGCCGATGGGATTCTCCAGTGGCTTTCTGTTGGGTGTCTTCAGACAATCATGGGCTCTATGCTCTCTAAACTAGGTTTGGAGGCCAGAAAGGATCACCTGCCTGGAGCCTCTGAAACAGCCCTTCAACACCAAAGATGAGAAAACTTCTGGAACCTGCACCCTTTGTAGGCTACTGAGATTCGTCTAGATACTGTCATTTGACCTATTCTGGTTGTTCAGTCTCTATATACTCAGAAAGGGAGTTGCTACTTTCCATAAGGTCACTGTCTTCAGTCCAAGTCTTTTAACTTTTCTTTCATGCTTTCCATCTCCTGATTTTCTTGTGCTGTATTCTGAGATAATCCCTCAGTGTGATAAACAAAGTGAATTTTCTGATTCCCAGTTCTAAATGGCAGAGACTAATCCTCCAGAATTGTGAGGGCTTTAGAGTGTGCTGTCAGTCAGGGTGTGTGTGTAGCTTATTTTCTGGACTTGAAGGGTCCCTGGCTTCTTGGTACTCATAAATTACCTGGAGAGTTACCCTTTTGTTTCTCACCCAGCACCCACTTTAGCAGTCTCCTGTTTCTTAACCATACACTGTCCATTTTCCACACTTCCCCAGTATAACTTAGACTTCTTCCTCCAGAATATTCATTCAGAGCACAGTATCCAGGCAGATCATTGTCAGCAAGAAGTTCTCAGGACAATTGAGAGCAACTCCAAAGAAGATTAAGTTGAATCTTGACCTTCCACTGAATAATAGTAAACTCCCAAATGTCAGGAATTAATATATAAAGATAAAACCATATAAACTGAAGAAAAAAAAGCATGGGTGGAGTTTTTTTTATAACCTTTCCATCTATGACTCAAAATCCAGATGCCATGAAAATGATCAATTTGAACACATAAAAATACTTTTTAAATGCTCCAAGTCATAGTAAAGGCAAAGTCATGCCACAAATGACATCCTAGGGAAAATAACTGAAAGTCATGTCATAGACAAAGGACCAGTCTTTTTAATTTAAAAATACTTCACTGACATTGAGCAGATGATGAGGAACTATGCAATGAAAAGTTGTCAAGGAACCCAGTGGGAAAATGTTGGATTGTAGTGTACCCATTTGGATTACATGTCCTTACCTGATAAAGCAATGCTGCAGAGTCTGCTTCGTTCTTGTGGAGGGCCCCACTTTTCCCAAATTGCAAACTGACCCCCAAGTATTGAGGACTGAAATTAAAATGATTAGAGTTCTTAATGTGTGGTGCCATGTAGAAATTCATATCCAACTCAGATTTATAAAATATTGGGTACCTGGCTTAGGCCCTGGACTATTCGAGTTACAATGAGCAAGACTATTCCAAAGTCAGTGGCCAGAGGGATGCATAGAGTGAGAAATGAAGTTGCAAACAAAGAAATGCCAACCACTCGCTTTGTTCCTACTCTTCCAGCCAGGTATCCACTGGGAGCCATTGTCAGTATGCCACCATAGCCAACAGCACCAAAGATGATGCCTTGGATTTGAGGAGACCAGTCATACACAGGAGCCTTAGAGAAACAGAGAATGCTGTAGTAAACCTTACACAAAAAGGTTCTTACATACCCTAGAAAGCTCCTTTAGACCTTTTGCTTGCTTTCAAATCACTATTTTCTCCATTAAAGTTTTTAAACATACATACTCTAGAAAAATAAATATCCAAGCAAATAAACAGCAAAAAGAAAAGCACAAATTTATATCTTATGTTGCTTACCTTTGCAGGAAGACTCTTTGGGGCTTTACTTAGGCCACCAAATGAGTCAACAGGCAGCACCTCAGAGGAATCATTGAGCTGGGATTGAGGGCTTGTGCTGTTGACCATGGCTACCATGGTGATGTTCATGATGACATTTTGTGCTATCGTTGTGAAATTGCAGAAATGTAAGACGAGGGCTATTCCATAGCGAGCAGAACATAAACTTGGAACTGGAAATATTATGACATCATATTAGTGTTTTTTAAAATTGAGCTAACATTAGTTTTTCACAAGATATGATTTAAAAAGTACCTGATCACTTAACGATTTAAATCATTACTTAAATGACACTTCTGTTGGCTTTATGAAAGGAAGATACAAAAGGAGATCACTGAGTTGAGCTAAAGGACGTTTTATACCACAGCTTTGTAGAGCCTAACTTGATCTCGGGGGTTCTGTTCATCCTAGAATTTTGTATCTACCATTCCTAGGTCATTGTGTTCTACAGTTGATGAAATTACTCACAAGTAAATGCATATACATATGTGTGTGTGTGTATATGTAACACATATATATGAAAAGAAAATATATACATATGAATATGTGCACATATTTAAATAGCTACATATAATTTATAATATATTACATATACTTTGTATGTATAACTATATATACATGTATAGCATATAATTTATATGTGACATGTATTGTTATATATTATGCACTATATATTATGTATAATATGTATAAATTTTATGTATGTAAATGAAATGTAAGTTACACTTTGAAGAGAGTTGTCCATTGGTATAGGTCATTTATATTTTTCACTCAAGTGAAAAATAGTGGAAAAAGAAATGAGCACAGCATTCAAATAATCTGTATTTGTACAGCCAGGAAAGATGGCAACTAAAACGCAGAAATCTCATTCTCCGTTTTCCAGATCCTGGCTAAATTGTCCAAAAAATGTAGTAAAACATAGGGAAATCGGCATTTATGGTTGAAATTAAAGAACTCTTCAGAAGTTAAAATCTGGGGAAAGAATCAGATGAGATTGAATGGTATAAAAGTTTCAAAGGTTAGGTCTCTACTCAACTTCTTAAAAAGTCTTGCAACATTATATTAAGTGAGTAGAAGGTATCCTGGCAGAACACAGCTAACAGTCCAATTTGAAGAGCAAATAAAATATAAAATGTATGAGCCAAGAAGCTGTATTTATCTGGGCTCAGATTTATTACACAAGGACTTCAGGCAGAGCAGCTCTTTGGAACTCTCTCCAACCCTTTCACTTTTTTCTGTGTGGGAAGAAAAGGGACTTAGATCAATGAGATTGGGTAAATAAATGGAGCATGTGTACCCTTTCACTTTTTTCTGCGTGGGAAGAAAAGGGACTTCAATCGATGAGACTGGGTAAATAAATTGAGCATGTGTAGCTCTGTATCTTCTCCAGACTGCCTGGAAGCTGTCTACTCTCCTACCATGTAGCTACTTTAGCAGAGCAAGCCTGGGATTGTCCAGTTCACCCTATGCTTGGGTGGATAAATCTATTCAATGCAGGAGAAATAGCAGGGAGCTGGATTGACCACTCTTCTAGGCCACGTCCTCCAGTCCAGATTTGACATCTTCAATCAATCATCGAACAAAACACTCATCAATCACCTCCAATATTGGGCCCTAGAAGTGTAGCAGCAAACATAGCACACAAATAGCCCTGTGTTTGGGGACCTCACATTCCAGAGAGAAGCACAAAATATGAAACACAAACAGTAAATCAAATAATGTATTAGAAGGTGATAAATGCTGTAGAGAAAATAAAGCAAGAAAGGAGGAAGTCCCAATGACATACCAGAGAGGTGGTCATGCTGACCTCTGGGGAAAGAACATAACAAGTAGAGGGAACACCCCTGGAGCTGGTTGGAGAGCGCCTGGTATGTTCAAAGAATCAAAAAGAGGGGATTATGACAGAATGGAGTGAGCCAGGGGTACAAGAAGAGATGTCAGGAAAGCTAGATCATGAGGCCTGAATTGTTCAAGACATGTGGGCCATTGCAGGTACTTTGGCTTTTACTTTGAGTGGGATGGGGGCCACTGGAGGGTTTTCAGCAGAAGGGGGACATGATATGACTTACATTTTGAAAGGATCTCTTTGGCTGCAGAAATGAGAACAAAACGATAGGGAGGAAGTACAGTTAGGAAGCTATTGCAATAATTCAGAAGAGAAGTGAAGCTATCTTGGATTAGGGTCATGGCAGTAGCTAAGATGTGGTCAGACCCCAGATAAATCCCAGCGTGGAAAAAACACCAAATAAGAGTTTCAGTTTTACAGGTGGGTGGAAGGCAAGGAGAAGGGGAGTTTGAGAGGTTCTTGTTCTAAACAACAAGAAGAATGAAGTTCTGCTTTCCTAGGAAGAAAGTTCTTGGAAGGAGCAGGTTTGTAAGGTAGGGTGGTCAAGAGCTTCCTACTGGACTTGTTAAAACAGAGATGCCTCTTAGGCACCAAAGAGAAGATGTTGAGCATGTTGGATATACAGTTCTTAAGTTTAGAAGAGAAGTAGGAGTTGAGGCATAACATTGGGAGTTAATAACCTACAGAAGATACTTAAAGCCATAAAACTTGGGAAATTGAAATAAATAGAGAAGAGAACCAAAGACTAACTCTGGGGCTCTTCAGTGTTTGGAGGTTGAATAGATGGGGGAGGAACAAACAAAGGAAAGTGAAAAGGAATGGGTGGTGGGATAAGAAGAAAACCAGGAGAGTGCGGTGTCCTGGAAGCCAAGGGGACAAGAGTTTCAGGGAAGAGGAAGTCAGTAGGTACTTCAAATGTCTGTGATAGGTCATGTAACATGATGTCAAATCCTCACAATAACGCTATGAAGCAGCTATTACTACTATTTTACAGATGAAGAAACACAGGCACAGAGAGACCAGCTCACAATGTAGCTCATGTGTCTATGCTCTTAACTACTGTAGCACATATATATGGTGGCTTCTGTTTTGTCCAAGATGATTCCATGAGAATACTTCTGTGATTAATACAATCCACGTGCACCCAGCTGTAGGGTTTATGTGGCTCTGTGATGTGGGATAAAGAGGTGCCTTGAGATTAATAAAGGAGGATTCCCCTTATGGCTATGCTATCTTCTATTGATGAAGTACAAGTCTTTGTAGTGAATTAACTGAAACATAGTATCTTTGTAAGGGTTTTTTTCAATCTGATTCAGCACTGGTGGTGACTTCCTCTATCAATCAAGTCAACTAATAATTTGTGAGTTCTTGTGGCCTCTGATTTTCCCAAGTTCCCTTGGGATCCCAGGTGTCAAAAGCTACCAAAAAGGGTATCAGCAAACCAAGAGACTAATGGCTTACAAATGAGGAGGTTGAACATTTGCCTCATGAGAATGTTGAAAGATTAACTAGAGAGTGTATTTAAAAGGCTTAGTCTGGTGCTTGCCAGATGTTAAGTGTTTCCTACAGCCCACTATTTGTGTCCTTAAAAGTTATTTGTGTCCTGTGTCCATTCTGAATGAACTATACCAGTTGTGCCTACTCTAATAGATTGGTGCCAGTGATGTGCTGTCTGTTAAATTTTTTTGTGATCACCCCTAGCTATACAAGAATGTGTGGGTCTGTATGCATGTGAGAAATTGTAAATTAAGAAGCACCTGAGGGTATTCTATTTAACTACTGGAAGAGGGCACTGACACCATGAAATCATAGGTTTTTGAATGTGAGAGGTTATATTAATGAATTCAGTACTACTGTACTCAGAATCCAGAAAGCTTATTTCTTAATTTGATGTGACAGACAGACCTTAAGGTGGCCCCAGTGATTACCACCTCATGGTATCCTCACTTTTATCTAATTCCCTTCCCTTGTATGGGGCCAGGACCTTTCACTTGCTTGTATCCAACAGAATACGGCAAAGGTGATGGGACGTCACCCCCATGATTACATTATGTTATATAAGACTCCATCTTAGCAGACTAAAGATAAACACTCTTCATGTGGGCTTGATGAAGTAAGCAGGAAGTTGGAGAACCTAACACGATAAGGAACCACAAACATCCTCTAAGACCTGAGAATGGCCTTCAGCCAAAATCTAGCAAACAGCCAGAGCCCTCAGTCATACAGGTATAAGAAAATGAATTTTTCCAACAACCTGAATAAGCCTGGAAGTGGGCTCTTCCCTAGTCTATACTGCAGATGAGAATGCAACTTAATCAACCAATCAATTGTAGCCTTGTGAGACCCAGAGAAGAAGAACCAGTTAAGCCAAACTGTGCCTGGAGCTCTGAGCCACAGAAACTGTAAGATAATAAATGTATGTTGTTTCAGACTACTATGTTTATGGTAATATGCATGCAGAAATAGAAAATGAGTACAGTTGGCAAAAAATAATAAAGCCTAGTTGAATGACTATACAAGAATTTTGGGAGGTATTGAAAAATATTTGCATTACAAAATTTATCATGAGACTAAAATGTTAAGACATTATTGTATTGAAGAATAAGAATACTCAGAAAAATCTAAGGAACAATAGAAAAACATCCAAAAGAATCATGCAGTGTGTAAATGGTGTTGTGGCAATTAATGGAAGAAAACTAGATCATGTAATTAGTACTGCTAAGATAATTGGTTACATAAGTGGAAAATACTATTGGTGCAATAGCATGTTTTAAATTAAAATAAAGCATAGATATAATACAATAATACTGCATTTTGTCAAACTGAAGACACCATTGATACATCGTAATTTTTGTTCCACTAAAACTCAATTGATCAACTGATTAACAGATCAAACTGAATAGGTCCAAAACCAAACTCTTGAGCCCTACCACCTCAAAACTTCTACCCAGAGTCTTCCCCAGCTCAGTTGATAGAAATCTCATTCTTCCAAACACTTTGCAATCCTTGATCTGGAATGTACTATGGTCTTCATATTCAAAATGTGTATAGAATCCAACAACTTCTCACAAGGGCCACTGTTATTTTTTGGCTAAGAGCTAATTCCATGTGGTTCTAGTTACCAATATCTCCTGCCTGAATTTCTGCAGTAACCTTCAGCTTGGTTCCTTGCTTCTAATCTATTCTCAATACAGCAGTTGGAGTATTCTCACCATACCATGAATAAAATCACCTCCTCTTCTGCTCAAAATCCTCCCTGTGTTTTTATTTTTGTTTGGATTAAAAACTAACGTCTCTGTAGTGAACAAAGGAAATGAAATACGTAAACTCTTTGCCTCACAATTTTCATTTCTTAGGAATAAACCCTGAAGAAATAATTCCAATGTGGACTAGTGTCATGTTAAATAATATTCATTTATCATCATATATCATAACTTACATACATAGTTCATAAACATCTAATAACCTAAGTAACATATATAGTTCATATATAGATATAATAGCCGAGTAACAAAAGAAAACCCTACAAATTAAATATCCAGTCACAAGAAGATTTTTCAGCTAAGAAATACTTCATCTATTGGATATGTTGGAATATAATGTGTATCCTTTAAGAATCCATATTGCTTTATAAGATTCACAAAGATATTCACACTTTGTGAATCTAATAAAGCAATATGGAAAACTATATGCTGTCAAGTTAGAAAATATACAACACAATACATAAACTATAGAACTATTCAAAATATGCATACAAAATAAAGGCAATAAAATTAAATTATAGTCATTGAATTAAGCTTATGACAATCTTTTTATTTCTTGTTTTTTGAAGTATCTATAATTAGTTTTTTTTACTTTTTTAAATTAAGCAATACAGTTATGTTTAAAATATTACATGCAATCACAAGCAGGACACACAATACTATGTGTAGACAATTCAGTAGCAATTATCAAGAATGTAAAGATTGGATAGATACAGATTGAAAGATAACTGTCAAAAATAAAACACTTCTTTTTAGTAATTTTTATTTCCTTCATATTTGCAAAATATGTTAATTTCACTGGATTTGTAAAAAGAATTAAAGAACTTAAAAATCACAAATTCATTTTTATAGTAATACGTTGACAAAAAGAATTCACTGTAAAATCCTAAAACCAAGCAGTTGAGGTCAAATTTACCTTTCCTGGGGATCAGTGTCTCATCCACTTGCATATCTTGTGCGTTCTTGCTCTCCCTTGCTGTGGGACTCAACTCTGTCTTGGTGGCCATTGTGTTTCTCCTCTCCTAGTGAATGGTTTTCACCTATCAGGGAGATATGTAATTCACATGCATCAGTTGAGAGAAAGAGACTCCCCGTTGAAATATTTAAACAAGGGCACCAAGGAAAAAAAAGCTGGCCCATTCCATCTGGTTGGAGACAGGGAGGCTCATTATCCCCTCTTGGCTCAACACAACAAGCATACTGCACGTAAGGTTTGGAATTGTTTATTTATTAGGATCTAGAGTGCTCTTGGTGTGCCAGTTTATGAGCAATGGCTTTGGAGTTAAGCATTCCCAAGTTCAAACTCAGGTTCATGATTTACTGTGCCAAGTGCCACTAGGAGCACATTTGTGTGTTTCAGTTTCCTCATCTGTTGTTAATAACAACAACATCTTCATCAAAAAGTTGCTGTTGGCTTAAACAGATTGCACATGCCTAGAACACTGCCAGACACCCAATAAGTAAAAGCTGTATAATACAGTTTATTGTCATCATCACTGGAGCTACCATAGCAGTGGGTCACCTCAGAGCTATGCTCCTCTGGAATCCTCTACCTGCACCTGAGAACCTGGCTTCTACTACCCCTGACAACTCCCACACTGCTTCCTCATTTGACTCACTGTAAGTATCGCTGATATGTGTGTCACTCATAATTGGGGACCAAAGTTGCATAGTGAGAAGATAACATTCAAATCTCATATTATTATTGTCCATAGGTTGATGATGTGTCTGTAGAGTTCTAGAAATAACTAACATGGAGGTTGTGACCTTTTTGCATATAAGAGAACTGAAAAGAACCATTACTACATTACAATACTAGGATCTTCAATGCCCAAGGAGATTTTTATGTGTTACTATGTGTAGAATTGTAATATTTGTGCTATGTTTAGTGCTCATATTATTAAATTTATGATTCTCTTAAAGAAAAAGTCTCAAAATATATAACTGCTTCTACCAGTAATAAACCAAACTTGTTAGCTTAATAAATTAAATCCTCTTAAACGTCTAAGCACTAGTACTTAACCACAACTGCCCTGATATCATTGTTGCAAACTAAGGAATAACTTCTTAGTATCTCTTTATAATAAAAGTTTTATTATTCAGAGGTATGTTTTCACCAAGACAGGAGTGACATAAGGACATACCCAAGGCTGGGTAATTTATAAAGAAAAAGAGGTTTAATGGACTCACAGTTTCACACGGCTGCGGAGGCCTCACACTCATGGCAAAAGGCGAAGAAAGAGCAAAGATACATCTTACATGGCAGCAAGCAAGAGAGCTTGTGCAGGGGAACTCCCATTTATAAAACTATCAGAACTCATAAGACTTCTTCACTACCATGAGAACAGTATGGGGGAAACTGCCCCCATGATTCAATTATCTCCACCTGGCCCCACCTTTGACACTTGGGTATTATGTGGACCACAATTCAAGATGAGATCTGGGTGGGGACACATCCAAACCATATCAGGAATTATAAAGTATGTACTCACTTTTCTCCTGGTTTATTTCACTCAGTATAATTATTCTAAAATCCATCCATGTTGTTGTACATATTAATAGTTCATTCCTTCTAATTACTGAGTAATATTCCACCCCATGGCTATATCACAATTTGTTTATCCATTTATTTACCTTTTGATGAAAAACTGCATTGTTTGCAGTTTTTTGACATTACAAATAAAGCTGCTGTGAACATTAATGTACAGGTCTTTGTATAGACATGTGCTTTCATTTCTCTCAGATAAACACTTAGAAGTGGAATACCTGGATCGTATGATAAGTGTAGTATTAATGTCTCTTCAGATCTTGGCATTGGGCATTCTAATTCCATGGTGTGGCCAGTACATTTTAAAAATAGGTCTTCTGTTTCTAGGGAAATTGCCCTGGTTCTATATTCAAAGATTGCCTGGGAGATATTTTACCAAATGACATAGCTGGGTCAACCTGCATTGTTTTGTGCTACATGGCAATGCTAAACAAGAATATGATGTTTCCATTAGCAATTTTTCTCCCTTGAATGATACTTATTCTCACTCCCCTGCTCCTTTATGAGGTGAATTTAATGTGACTCTATTGCTGTGAGACTTTATACCCCCTACTAGGGGCTCTGCTTGGATTGGAACATTCTAAAATGCCAGGTTTCCATTCTGAAGCCACTCCAAGATTATCCTGAATTAAGCAGCAATGGGAGTTGCCCAGATCTATGGCCTCTTCACAGCACATCAGCCTCTGCATTCTTGAACTTGGTTATATGACAGAAAGACTGGGTGCTGCATCATCAACCACTGGCAAGGAAGAAGTGCTTAGTGAGAACCTGATAGTTGCTAGAGGCCCCTACAACATGGACTCATGACTGCCTGAAATGAACTGTATTTCTGTCATAAACAGGATCTGTTTGGTTAAAGTTATACCCTCTTATTTTAGTAACAGGTAGTTGTGTTTGTGAAGCTGCTTTCAACTGACACACAGCATGAAAAACTGATACCATATATGTAATCCAGAAGGGAAAATGAAGGTAAAACTTGAAGATCAAAATGTTGTCTCTTAACAATTGGGTCTGAGTTCAGAAATGATGTCCACATGTTTGAATACGCCCCATGTTAGCAGCCAAGAATGGTGGCTTAAGACTCTGGGTTCTCCACTTTTACACTGTTGGTGGGACTGTAAACTAGTTCAACCATTGTGGAAGTCAGTGTGGCGATTCCTCAGGGATCTAGAACTAGAAATACCATTTGACCCAGCCATCCCATTACTGGGGATATACCCAAAGGATTATAAAACATGCTGCTATAAAGACACATGTACACGAATGTTTATTGTGGCACTATTCACAATAGCAAAGACTTGGAACCAACCCAAATGTCCAACAATGACAGACTGGATTAAGAAAATGTGGCACATATACACCATGGAATACTATGCAGCCATAAAAAATGATGAGTTCATGTCCTTTGTAGGGACATGGATGAAGCTGGAAACCATCATTCTCAGCAAAATATCGCAAGGACAAAAAACCAAACACTGCATGTTCTCACTCATAGGTGGGAATTGAACAGTGAGAACACATGGACACAGGAAGGGGAACATCACACACCAGGGCCTGTTGTGGGGTGGGGGCGGGGGAGGGATAGCATTAGGAGATATACCTAATGTTAAATGATGAGTTAATGGGTGCAGCACACCAACATGGCACATGTATACATATGTAACAAACCTGCACATTGTGCACATGTACCCTAAAACTTAAAGTGTAATAAAAAAATTAAAAAATAAAAAAAAGACTCTGGGTTCTCTGAATTATTGATGTTGGAACAAGTTCTTAGTTTCCCCTTCCTTAGATAACTTAGATGAGGGCTACGTGGCATCTGACTGTTGTCTCAATCCAAGAAATTCAATAACTTCTTGATGGGAAGGATGGTTGGCTTTTTGTTTCTAAGGTTAAATGAAGATCCTAAAAAGAGAAATGAAACAACCAAACAGACATATCCAAGTATGGTAAGTTATATCAGAGGGAAAAATTATGTAAATAGATAAAGGCATGGAAGAACCTGAATTAAGGCAGGGAATTAAAACTATTCTCAGAAAGAATAGTGCACAGTAGGGCAATGATGTACTGGAACCAACTCACTTGGGGCCAAAAGAGCTCATTATTAATGTTTTTAGAAATTTTTCAAGCTAGTTGTTGAACATAGCCATTATCCATTAAATGATATGAATTTAGAGTTCAATTAATTATATTTTTAAAAGGTATTATTTTAACTTTATGACTTCATAATTATTTCATGGCATTTTATTGTAAGCTCCACTCTTGAGGTTTTTTACATCTCTTGTATCTATATGGTGGGAATACTGTATAAAGATGTGCTATTGCACATCTCTCCCCAACTCTGAATTCAGTAATGTCATGATGGTAGCTTGGAATTGGCCATAATACGAGCTTTAACGCCAAAAAAAAAAAAAAAAAGGCAAAGGCTACAAATTTGGGCTTAATTTATTGTTTTATGGACTTCTTGGGCTTAAGAAATTTATCAAACAATGTTCATCTAAGTGTGTGTGTCTGTGTGTGTGGGTGTGTTTGTATGTATACACACTACATATCTATATCCACAAAGACACAAAGACACACACTTACATAAACATATAGAAATAGATATGTAGTATGTATACTACATTCATTACTATATATATGTATATTTTATACATATATATATATTTATATATATAATGAATGCTTTTCAGGCATGAAAACCCTGAAACATGAGTCAGACTTCACTTCCCACTGATTTCCTTTGCAATGATGTGACCTCTTCTGCAAAGCATGGGTACTCTTGCTAAGATGACATCCTTCATACCCAGCCCTGCATCTGCATTGCCACTGCCTCTATTCATCAGTATCATCTCCAGTCTCCACAGACAGGTCAACGTCCCCTGATTCCATACCGATCTTCCCATTTGTCTCCTGACTTTTGAAAATATTAATACTTTTTAAAGCTATCTAAGGTTTCACATGACAGTCTACCACCTGCACACAGCTTGTACCAACACCCTATCTCTAAGTGAACCAGGATGTCACATCTTCTCCTGCCAGCAGGTGTGGTCTACCCACCTCACCATGACAGACACCTACTGCCATGGTAACCTCAAAACATTTCACTGACTTAAAAAGCTGGATTCAAGCTCTGCTGACCCTTCCCACACCCTGGGGCTATAACTAGAGGAAAGAGAAGTAATCTAGAGGGAAATCCCAAGGCACCCACAGGTGAGCCAAGAACAGGCTCAAGTAGCACAACATAGAAAATGCACTCTCATTATCTTCTCTTAAATGTGCCCTTCCAATCAGTCTTATAGCCTGTCTACACCTTGGCTTTACTCAAGTAAATCCCTTTTGTTTTAACAGCTCTCTTTATTTTCCACTAAAAAGCTATGCTGGTTATCTGGGTCAGAAACTATATATTGCACTCTGAGAAGTTTCTGGTCCAAAGCAGTGTTCATAGAGAACCACATTGAGGATCAGCTTTCAGTAGAGATGGTTAGTTTAAAGGCAGGGAGTGTTCTAACAGCATCTTCCCACACATCTGTGAAGTTGCAGCTGCCACAAAAAGTTGTACCTTCTCCATTCTGGCCTTGAGGACTCCCTGATTCCCTCCTTCCCACTGCCCTCAGCCCACCTACCATCTTCTGCTGACTCTGGTGACTGTCCCATTGCCTCATCTCTCCATTTCCTCTTCTATCCCTAGCCATTTTAGTTTGGTTAAATTTCACACCAACTCACTGGATCTTGATGCAGCATTTCTCCAGATGCTTTCTTGGACCAGAGCCACCCTAGCCATTGGTATAATAGAAATAATTATTATTGCCACTCTTATAAATTACTGCACCAGCCAGTCTACATCAATCCCAGATGGAGATATTACTGACCCTCTTCCTCCAGGTCACCCAGTTGGTAAATGAAAGAGATGATATTTGTTCAGAAGCCAGTTTGACCTGCAAAATTTTGCTTTTAAACACCTCGCAAGAGTGCCTATTTCTTGGAATTATCTTCCATAGCTGCTACTGTCTCCACTAGCTAGTTTCAAAGCATATGGATGATCAGATACAAAGCTTCAGCTTCCTGCCACTTCTCCCTCACTTTTGTCAGTCTTGTTAATATGGATTTTTACATTTTTCATTTTTATTTTTATCATATGAGGAAACTTGGGGTTGGGGAGTATATAAAAATTGTCCATTGCTATACAGAAAAGAGTTTTGGAGGTCTTCATCTCAATACCAAGAGAAGTGACTTACCGACTTAATGTCTGTGGAAGGGCTTCAAGTTGAACCCAGCGTTTCCTCCAAGCTTACTCCCTTGGACTTTTTGGAGCAGAGAGATGAGGATTCTTTGCCACCCTAGGGCTTAAGTTGCTAATCATTAATAAAAGTCATCAAACTACAAAGTTGACTCAGAAGGGCTTCTTGCCAAATAGGCTTTGAAGAAGCATTCGGAAATCCAGCCCAATCCCCTCTGCAGTTCTTTCTGCTTTTTGGCTGATGTAAGCTTCTCCACCTTCCCCTTGTGAGTGTCTCCTCAGGACCTCATAGGTGTCCTCTGGTTCAGACACTTGCATATAGCTATTTTGCTTTGCTTTGTGGTGTCTTCAATGTCTTTAGTCTTTTTTGAAAAGGTTAAAAAGAGATAAATTATAATTAAAGAGTTCAGTATTTTTGTGTTTTTTACTTTGCTATTTTTGATTTTCCCCCTTAATTGAAATTTTGTTAATTTTTTTCTTCTTTGAAATATGTGAATTGTAATATTATGGGTAAACTTGAACTTCATTCACT
The DNA here is from genome assembly GCF_000001405.40 of Homo sapiens. Classification (NCBI taxonomy): domain Eukaryota; kingdom Metazoa; phylum Chordata; class Mammalia; order Primates; family Hominidae; genus Homo; species Homo sapiens. The sequence continues at coordinate 25,874,701 of NC_000006.12, forward strand.
CTGTTGCTTTCTCTTTCCCTGGGTCCTTGTCCTTTTCTCAGCAAACCAAACCAAACCAAACCAAACAAGCCTGGCATAAATATAATATGATTTCTCCATTTTTTTCTATTCTTACTATTTATATGAGTATTCACAAACTATATGTAATAATGCTTTGTATTATTTCTAAATTTGCACACATGCTATCATGTAGCATTTATGGGCCATTCTGTAACCACTTTGGAAAATAAGTGGCATAAATTTGGCATACCTACATGTGCACAGTGAAGGCCAAACTCTTTCAGTTTCTTGTGGTTAACTCTTGCGCTAACACCCAGGAAGTCAAAAGCACTGTCACTGCTTTCCAAGAATGTGTATAGTTCTGCTTGTCCTTGTCTCATAGATGAGGCAAAGCCTTCAGACTCCTAGCTTTCTGTAGTTTATTTCCAGCTCTCTGAATGCCTTGGGTTCATAATCCAGACTCCTTTCTTTATATGAGCATTAGAGTCAGCCATGGAAATTTACACCTTGTTCTGTGCTTTAATGGCTTTCCTGGCCTTAGCTCATACTCATCACTTTGACTTTAAATCCCTTCTTACTTTATGGCCCTGAGGAGATCTCCTTTAGATTCTAAGTTTGACTCTTTATACCTATTTGAACTGTATTGTGAGAGGAGAGTGAGTAAACTACCTCTCAACACCCTGGCTGAGAAGTGGGAGCCTGGCAGTATATATCACAGATCAAGAATTCAGAAGGAGGAACCCGGGTCCTGGGGAGTCAGAGCTACCATTTACTGCGCATTTATTACATGTCATCCTCACAATGCTTTCAGGTAAGTTTTATTATATTCTTTATAACATAAAAGAAAAAAAACAGATTTCTTCCATCTGCACTTTAAGAATTTAAGTATGGAAAATTTAAGCCCGTTATCGTGTGGGGGTAGTGTCAATTTCACCTTTCTAGGTAAAAGATTTTTCCCTGAGTCATTTCTGAAGGACTCTGGACCCTGGGATAAATAATGATCAACTTTGGGATTCACATATCACAGGAAATGTTTCTGACCCTGAATTATCCAAGTCAGAAAACGTTACTTGGTTTTGCAATTTAATGTTTAACTTTATTTAAAGTGCTCCTGAGTTCTTTACATGCTACTTGGTTTGACTTGGTAGAAATAGACCCAAATTGTCTCTGTGTAGAAAGAATAACAATTCAGCTTTTCTTCACCTCTATGATTAAACACTTGAATATGAATTGAGATATTTCCTTGACTTAGGTTGTAATATCCATCTCTTTTAAAAAAAGAATTTTACATTTTCCTTTTGAATAAGATTTATTTTTAAACTGCTTTGTTTTAGCCATGGGGATCATCAGAAAAGATAGAGTACACATTTCTCCTTTAACAGTTATCTTTAGCCAGGCGTGGTGCTTCACGCCTGTAATCCCAGTGCTTTGGGTGGCCAAGGCCAGAGGATTACTTGAGGCCAGGAGTTTGAGACAAGCATGGGCAACAGTGAGACCTCCTCTCTACAAATTTTTTTTAGAAAATTGGCTGGAGATGGAGGACGCATTTGTAGTCCTAACTACTCAGGAGGCTGATGAGGAGGATTCCTTGAGCCTAGGAGTTCAAGGTTACAGTGAGCTATGATCATGCCAGTGCACTCCAGCCTAGATGACACAGCAAGACTCTCTCTAAAACAAAACAACAACCAAAAAAAAAAAAAAAAACAGCTATCTTCAGACTTGTTTCATAAGACTGTGAACATTGTTGTTAATAATCAGTCACATGACAGCTCAGCAGGATGCAGGCTCTGATTCTGGGTTACATTTCAGAGGACTCCAGTGCACAATCCTGTTGTGATCATAGGAAACCTGTCTCTAGTCTTCCTAGAGGAAGCCCAGGATGGGTCCAGGGAGAGGAAGCACCTTTAAGAGTCAGACCTTCCCTCAAAGCTCACAATGTCAGCAGGGATTCTGATGAATCAGGGGTAGCTGTCAAGCAAACACACTGAATGAGCCTAAGTCTTAAAACAGAAGACTTGACTAAATGGCAGTGGTCATTCACTGGAGCTTGGCTGGTTTTTCACACACACTCTGGTCTAAACAATGAACCCATATGTGATGTTATATCTGCTCAGAACCTTACATCTTCATGGTTCTGGCAAATCCTTTTTTCTCCAAGTTCAAGTCAGACTCCTGTTTTGCCTTACCATCTCTATGACAAATGGGGTCAATCTGGTCACTGTAGTTATCAGGCTGACATCATCTGGTCATGGGCTTGGAAGTCCATCTAGAACACTAGTGGAACACTCCATCTCTATTATTTTGTCTTCTATCGCTGAGCAAAATGGTGCATTTTTTGTTATCTACACAATGCATTAACTTATGTCCTAGATTGCCATACTGAAAACACGTCTTACTTTTTTCCTTACACATGTCTGCTTTCTAGTCTACTTTCCAGTTTCGATGCCATTTCTTTCAGCAACTATTTTGCCAGGAATGCCCAGCTAAAACTGCAAAATCATATATTGAGGACAATGGCTATGGAAAAGAAGAAAGAACAATTGTGACAAGTATAATCTCTAGGAGAATACACAAAAAAAAAATCAGGAGTGCTTATGGGCTGAGGTGTTATATGCTTTCAGATAGAATAGTAAACAAAATTGATATCTGTAGTGCATAAAGGATGTCATAATTATCAAGTGAGAAAGTGTTGCATTCTTTAACCAGCACAAGTTACAAAATTATACCATGCTGAATTCATATCAAGACAACTTCACCTACTACCAGGGACTTAGAGTAAATGTATTTTACTTTGTTGAGTCTCACTTGGAGATCATTGAAAAAAATTAGGAATAAATCATGAAACAAAATGAAACCATCCACCATACTTTGCATATAACAGAAAATCAATCAATGAAGGTCATCTGTCATAATTATCATTACCATTATTATTTCTATGACCACCTCTGAGACGTCATGATTAATATTCATGATTGAAATAAAGCAATTAAAAATCAAATTCATTCAAAATAATCAAATATAATTTAATTAAAAAGTTGGAGGCAGTCAGCCATCAGTCAAAAAATATTGTTACTGTATGCATTCCAAAAAGAAATGTAAAGGGATAGCATTCCCTAGAAACAATGAATAAAATAAAATTCCCTGTATTTAATAAACAGCATCTGTAAAACCTACAACAAACATTCCGAAGGTGAATCTTCCTGTTACAATCAGATACATAAAAGAGGTGTTTGCTACATCTATTCACTGGAAGGCCTAACTAGCACAATAACACAAGAAAGAAATGTGAAGCAATTAGAAAACAAGTAAAACTATGATTATTAACAGATGATATGATTGTCTACATAAGAAAACAAAAAAAATCTGTACATAAATTACTTAACTAATGTGAGTTTGGCAAATTTGACAGATGGAAAAGTGATATTCAAAGACTGACTGCATTTTAATTACCAGCCCAAAACAAAAAAAAAGATATTATAAAAAGAGATACAATTCACAATGGCAATAAAAGAATGTAACAGCCACAAAAGGATATAAAACCTAGGAATAAATCTAATAAAAGATGTAGAAGATCGTTACGCAGAAAATTGTAAAGCTTTATTGTAAGGTATTGAAGTCGAACTAAATAAAGAGACATAACATTTTTATGAACAGGAACATTCAAAAATGTAAAAATCTCGTCTCTCCAGACTAATCCATATGCCATTCCAACCAATATTCCAAAATAATTTTCCATATAATTTAATTTACTAAATATATCCTCAAATAAAGATGGTGGTTATCTCTTTCTTTGTAATCATTCTTCTACTCTGCCCCTCACCCCCTTTTCAGAGACTCCTTGTAATAAGGCCTATTTAACACTAAATACGTGCTGAACACTATTCTAAGCACTTTACATACAATAACACTTTTACTTCTCATAGCAAACTTCTATGGTAGGTACTATTATTATGCCAGTTTACAGAGAGGTTAAGTAACTTGCTAGTAAGCTACGGAGTCAGGAATCCAACCACCCAGAAAGTCTGGCTGTTGTGTCCATTCTCTTACCCTCCAGACTATTTCATCTGTTACGCAAACATTGAAACCAACTTTCAACATCAGTTTCCTATAAAATTTCCCTCTCATTATTCTTCCTTTTGTATCTTGGCATTACTGTGAATTTCACCTGTATCAATTTTCTTCCAAATTCCTGAGATCACCTGCCTACCTTCCTTCCCTTCCTTCCTTCCTTCTTTCCTTCTTCCTTCCTCCCTCCTTCCCTCCTTCTCTCCTTTCCTTCCTTCTTCCCTGCTTCATTTTTTTCTTATTCTTTCCTTCCTCTTTCCCTTCCTTTCTTATTTCTTTCCTTCTTCCCTAATTCTAAGGATATTTGTCATTTCTAAGAAAACCTTCCTTTTCACATATCTAATTTTTGTTTTAAGTATGTCAGCATATATTTCTGATATTATTCATTTATTTATGTTAAATATTTATACTAACATTCTTCTAGTTTGGAGAGGGGTTCTAGTTTTTCTGTTAATTTTGGTGCTCTGTCTTGAGGATGTTGAGTTGTACTTGTCTATTGGTTTTTGTTACAAGCGATGGTGTTGAATTGCCAAATAGAAGAATACCTTTCCAAAACTTAAATGTTATTTACTACTGAAGTTCAGGTTAATGAACTTTCTGATTCTGAGAACTTGTCTTAGCAGATGAGGGTGAATGTTGGTTGTGCTGCCGGGATGGGTGTATGAGGTGCTGGCATTTTGAATCTGGGAGCTCCATGTTCTTACCTGAAACATTTTTATTTCTTAGCCCCTAGTGACCACATCAATCACTTAAAGTGTAGCTAGATTGCAAGTCTTAGCTTGGAGAAAAATGAAAAGGGTAATTTCTCTCTTATTCTCCTCTTTTTTATTTTATTTTTTCCCTCTGCCTCCTTTATGAAGGGGAGTTTGCTGCGGCTTGACATGGCTTTTCTCAGCTTCCAACATTTACACCAAAAGCTCTTAATTTGGCTCAGTTCCTTTTGATTCCTCCCTCTCCCACTCAGACTCTTATTTTTCTCTTGGTGCTAAACCAGGATGAGGAGCAAGATCATGTCAATGTTGTTACAAGAGAGGATTAAGGGCCAAACCTATTTATTGGCCTTTGTATTGCAGAGTTTAGTTTTTATTGTACTCAGTTGTGGCTTCTATTTGTCAGACACCTGTGCTTACAAGTGATAGAAGTCCAACTGAAATGGCTTTGGAAGAGAAAGAAAGAGAAAAAGAAAATATGGAGACTGAGGTAGGTCACAGAATATAAGAATGAGCAGCTGTAACAAGCACAGTTCCAGGGACCAGAGACTGGAATTAAATCTCTGCCCCAAAATAAATGAAGACCTTTGGAACTCTTATTTCAGCTGTTCTTTTGCACCTTCTCCCTTCTCTTAAATCTACTCCAAGAGGCAACAGACAAGTCTGTTGGCAGTTTTGGAGTCTCATTCATCACATCCATGAAAGCGAAGAAAAAGCAGCTGTGTTCAAAACCTAGGAGAGGCTCTTATTGGCCCAGCCCAGAGTACTTTATTACCATTTGAACCAATTGTTGCAGCCTTGTGGGTGCAGTGCCAAGTTGTCTGATTGGTCACTCCCATCATCCCAATGATTTTCAACCTACAGGTCATTACTCTTATCAATTTAGCACCTCTTATCAATTTAGCCACTATGGTTTTTTAAACAAGATGGATGAGGCCCAAATAGAATGGAACAGATCATAGTGCATCCCACTTAGTAAGAGTCAGGATTATTTTGTGAAACTTTCGATGCTGCAACACATGTGTTTACATATAAGCCTATATATTAGTATTGCAGCACACTTTAAAAATGTATATTTTTTACTCTAGGTCAGTCATACTCCAAAAGGGTTAAAATTCTTCTCTTTACTGCACGTTTTATGTATTTTATTTCTATTGATAATGCCTCTGATTCCCAGACATAATGCTTTTGGTTGGACTTTCAAAAAGGACGGCCTAGAAGATAATTGTTCAACCATGTAATTGCTTCACTTTTCATTACCCTGTGGGTTTATTGGGCAGCTACATCTATTTCTCCTCTGGACTCCAAAGTCAAAGGTTGTGTTTTGTACGCATGCTTCTTTCTTTACTCTAGGTCAAACTCTATTCCACAGTCCAGTCTGGGAACTGACGTAAGCTTCTAGTTGTTAGACAATGGTAGCCATCAAAGAAACTTAAGGTGATCTAAAGTTAGGTTTAATAAAAGTAAATTTTAGACTAACATCTGCCATATGTACAGATATTTATGAAACCATCTAACCATCAGATTGCGCCAAATGTTCATTCCTAGCAGATGCAACACCATTCCAGAGACAGGATTTTGTTACCCTTAGAGTTAGTATCAGGCAAAAGGAAATCAATCTAAACCAATGCTTTGGACACAAGCTTATCTAGAAATGAAGCCTAGGGTATCCTCCATAAAACTACAGGTTACAGACCTTACTGAACTCTCCAGATCTGGACTCTGCAGAGTCCAGCTTTGGCAGAAATGTGGCTGATAGAGGCCATTACAGGAGCGTCCTTTGGCCTGTAACCCTCTTTTACATCAGCCTGGCTGACCACCCTAGAATGAGACCTCTTGGGAAAGCTGACAGCCCACAGAGTGAAACCTTCAACCAATTGGCACATACATACCTCCCTATAGTAAAATATCTAAAGGCTAAATACAATCTTAAACATGCCAAATAAAAAGCACTAAAGCATGTCCCTTAGGCTTGAAGAAATTAATCATCAGTTGACAAATTCATTATAACTTGATGGCAAATAAAACAGCCCACATGAACAAAACTGTTTTATAAGTGCTTTTCTGGATACCACATAAAAATCTCTTTCACAAAATTATTAGGTTAATGCAAAAGTAATCGCGGTTTTTGCCATTAAAAGTAATGGCTTCCCACAACCAGATGTCCCATGCAAAGTAGTGCCCTCTAATGCCAAACCAAAAGCAGAGGTCATAAAGACTATATCCCTTACACACACACACACACGCGCGCGCGCGTTAAAATAATGGCAAAAACCGCGATTACTTTTGCACCAACCTAATACAGCTTGCATTGAAATCCAGTGCTAAACTCAGCTTTCAGGAAACCAATGTGACATAATATTGGTAAAGAAAACAAAGTGGAGAGTATCAGGGTAATGAATGAAAGGAATGGAGAGACTTTGTTGAAATACTCTTGGGCATTATCTGCCTATGCTTTTACTTGAACTCGTGGCTGGCTTTTGGTTTTACTTTTTCTTTCCCCTCGAAAAGTAGGTCATCTGCTCTGCTGGGCTTTATTATCTGGGGACGTTACTTGCCCTTGGCCTTGTGGTGGCTCTTGGTCTTCTGGGGCAGAAGCACGCCCTGAATGTTGGGCAGGACACCGCCCTGCGCGATGGTGACTTCGCCCAGCAGCTTGTTAAGCTCCTCGCCGTTGCGAATGGCCAGCTACAGGTGGCGCAGGATGATGCGGGTCTTCTTGTCGCGGGCCGGGTTGCCAGCCAGCTCCAGGATCTCGGCGGTCAGGTGCTCCAGCACGGCCGCCAGGTACACCTGCGCTCTGGCCCCGACACGCTCGGCATAGATGCCTTTGCGGAGCAGACGGCGCTGGAGCCCGGCCAGGGAAGACCAAGTCTGGGACTTCAGCGCCAGCCTCGCCACCCTGCTTCCCACAACCAGATGTCTCCTGCGAAGTAGCCCCCTCTAATGCCAAACCAAAAGCAGAGGTCATAAGGACTATATCCCTTACACACACACACACACACACACACACACCCTAACGGCTAACTTCTCTGGAAGGTGCCTCATCCAAGCAAAGCAGAACTGAAGATACTTTTACATGCCTTTTTCCGTTATTTTTTATCCAATCAGACTTTTTCAGACTTCCTTTGAATACAAGTATCTGCAGGATTTTCCTTGTCACCTGTAGACACTTTTTCTCTTTTCAAGGAAGCTAGAAACAGATTTTGATATGCCTAAAGTTTTGAAGTGTTCTACAATCTCTAGAAAGGGCTCCAAGAAAGCCATATGTAATATGCATTTTTTGTATAATTTGAGAATATTTATTTCCTCTATAGAGAGCAAGAAAATGAATGGGAAGTGGATGTATGAAAGTCATGTGTTATGTATTCATGGAAATTAATAAGTATATCATACATAGGTTAAGAAATGGGAGGACAAAGAGATAACTATATTCATGAGGCCTGAAATAAACAAGACACCTGGGCACAAGATACTTATGATATACTAAATATACAGCTAACACTAGATATCCAGGGTACACTGAAGGTTATACAAGCACCCAGTATTTTCAAGGCCTTGATTCAGCCACCTACTGGGGACACCCATTCTGTCACCATGTGTTCTCTGTTCAAGAAACACACTACTATTCAGCCTTTAACAATAAGGAAGTCATGCTGTTTGTGAAAACATGGGTGAACCCAAGGAACATTAGGGTAAGCAAAAAACAAAACAAAACAACAACAACAACAAAAAAAAACAGGCACAGAAATGCAAACACTACATCATCTCACTTGTATATGGAATCTAAGTATATCAAACTTATAGAAGCAGAGAGGAGAACAGAGGTTACCAAACGTTACGGGTTGGGGAAATGTTGGTCAAAGCACACAAAATTTTAGTTAGACAGGAGGAATAAGTTCGGTTCAGGAGATCTATTGTAAAACATGGTGACTGTAATTAATACAATGTATTGTATACTTGAAAATTGCTATGAGAGTAGATTTTAAACGTTCTCACTACAAAAAGAAACGTATGTGAGGTAATGGATAATTATCTTGATTTAGCTGTTCTACAGTGTATACATATATCAAAACATCATGTTGTACAACATAAATATATATATATACAAGATTTATTTGTCAATTTAAAAAAAGAAATAAATAAAACCCATGGCTGTTTAGCATGTCTTTCTCATAGAGCAAGTGTGTGTCATTATCCTCTCCTACGGCACTTCCTGTCTGTGGGATCCCTTGCTGGAATCTCAGTGCTAGTCCTTGTAATCATACCATTAGCTGGGAAAGTTAATGTGGCAGGGAAAGACAGGATGTTGGCACATTCTGTACTTCCAGGTCAGCACTATGGTCCTACCATCTTGCTTGCTCCCTATTCTAAGTATGTAAAATTATGCTATCTTTTTCCCTTGCTTCTTGCAGTGGATTTTAAATTTATTTAACCAACCATGCATATCTATCATCTTTATTTGGCCTGTGAGATTTTCTGTTCCATAGGTGGCCTGCCTCCTTATAGCAAACTTGGAAGCTCCATTGCATCAGAATATTTTCCAACAGGATGCCAGGGTTAAGATCAAGAAAGACGAGAGAAATAGAAGTTCTGCTGCTCAGAGACTCTAAGTGAACAACTAGTAATCTTGTAGGATGTTGAAACAGATACACTGGCATCTGACCCAAGGCCATGTGAATCATAAATTCCTTTTGCAATGGCATCCTCGAGTGGATCACTGGTAAGGCCTCCCATCTGGCCCATTGTAACAGATGATTGACCATACCTCCAGGCAGTTCAAAAGGCCAAATGCTTCCTACTGCCTGGGGTGCTGGCCAAGAACACTATTGGCCAATACCAAGTACACTAGCTGCCAGTGAGTTCCTTTTATCAGACTTGAACATCATATACCAAAGACAGTTTCAGAACTACCTTGGTTTTTAAAATTAGAGTTCTAGTTAATGTTTTTGCTAATAATATATTGGTTGTGTTAGTAATTAATAATTCATGGATTGTGAATCACCCAATCAAGTAGTACATTAACACAGCAGGAGGTGGGGGAGAAATTTTAAATTTCTCTCAACTTTAACATGTTTTCTTATGTGGTTTGCTTTCTTTAGTGGTTTGTTTTTAAGATTATAGAGTACTGTGTGCATGTGCTCTAATGTACCACTTATGAAGTGACAGCCTCTGTTCCTTTGCTTTTTCATTAAAGTCTTTAAATATCATTTTGTGCTCTGTTTGAAGTTTAAATATCATCTTCATAATGTTCTCAACCTCTTATGGTATCTTGGTTTAATCTGTTTCCTAATTTGCTAGTCCAACTCCTTCTCCATAATTTTTAAAATAATTTTTCCAATTTACTAAGATTTTGAATCAGTCCTGGAGACACTGGTCCCTAAATCTAAGTGCCATGTTTTCCAGGATCACTTTTCTTTTCCAGGTCAGATAATTCCTGCTCAAGCTAGGGTTCACTCAAAAAGGCAGCTTCTGACAGCAGTTGATTGTAGGTGGCTGGATTTATGACCCAAACTTGACCAGTGTCATTTTTCATAGACTTAGGTTGAGGAGGTTAGTTTCTCTCAAGTAGTTGAAGCTGAAACCTACAAAATTTAGGTGCTGTAGGAAGAATCTTTTCAAAGTACTCTTGGTACAGGCCACACTCGGGTACTAGGCTGTCTGGTGTTGCTTTCTGAGTGGTTCATGCCAAATATGAACACTATTAAATCAGAGTGGAATTTGATCAGCTCATTTACATGCATTATTTAGTTTTCGTCCACTGAGAGATTGGGTTGTCCCTATGCTTTCTTTGAATATGGCAACTATAAATAATTCCTACTTGGTACTGGCTGCCAGTCTTTTTATCTCTAAGTAGTGTGAGGCTGAATCTACTATGCCTGGGTCTTCCTTTAAGTAGTTTGCTATTGCCATAATTGACTTTAAGAACATTGGTTTGCCATCTCCAAAAACAACTCAAAGAAATTTTACCAAAACTCAGAAGATTAGCATGAGAGATGCCCTACAGAGAACTACTCCATCTGCTTTAACAAGGTCTTGAAACAAGTGTGCTCCAACATGGGCATTTCATACAAGGCAACATGTTTTGAGAACTATTTTATCAAGGATATCGTCAAGCACACAGTAGGACAAGACTCTCTCTAGGCCCATTGTAACAGATACTGCACTATCGCCTCCAGAGAGAGCTAATGATCTGTGCACCTGCTCCTACCCAGGGAATTGATTAGGCATGCTATATCTGAGGACATCAAGGCCATTATTAACTACACCAATTCTATCCAAATAAGCTGCTGTTGAGGATTCAAAGAACATAAGACAAAGGCTCTGTTCACAGCCATCAACATTTTCTGTTAATAGCTACCTCTTAATGTATTCATATTTCTGATGGATAGCCCTTTGTATTACCTCTTTGTGAATTGTTCAGGATCCTATATAATTGACTTAGTAAAACTTTTCTCCTTTCTACCTTAAATATTAAAAAGTAGGTCTATTTTGTTTATGATTTTTCCTAATGAGGGATAGCACATGCTTGTATGTTTGTGTTTCAAAAAACATACTATGTGGCCAAAAATGGTCTCAGTTCACCACATGATTTAGTGAAGGCCCCTGTATTAGTCTGTTCTCATGCTGTTAATAAAGACATACCTGAGACTGGGTAATTTATAAAGGAAGAATGTTTAACGGACTCACAGTGTTTCACAAAGAGAGTTTCAGAACTACCTTGGTTTTTAAAATTAGAGTTCTAGTTAGTTCTAGTTAATGTGTTTTAGCTAATAATTTGTTGGTGGTGTTACTAATTCATGGAGTCAGCATGGCTGGGGGGGCCTCACAGTCATGGCAGGAGGCAAACGAGAAGCAAAGGCATGTCTTACATGGCAGCAGGCAAAAGAGAGCTTGTGCAGGGGAATTCCCACTTACAAAAACATCAAATCTCATGGGACTTCTTCACTGCCATGAAAACAGTATGGGGGAAACTGCCCCCATGATTCAATAATCTCCACCTGGCCCCACCTTTGACACATGGGGATTATTACAATTCAAGGTGAGATTTGGGTGGGGACACAGCCAAACCTTATCAGCCCCATTGCTTTTAATGTGAATAGCCTGAATTAATTTATCTAATTATTGAGGTTAGACACATGTTGTATAATTGTTGCATTTATTTTTTTTTCTGGTTTCAATTGCCATCATCTTGTGTCTTCGTTTTAACATATTTTCGGCCACAGTAGGGGAACTGCCCTTTGAAAGTATTGGAATCATCTTTGATTCCAATTGAACTGTACAAATGTTTTGTTTTTCAACTTCTGAAGACAGTTCTATCAGAATTGCATTGAATTTTTAGATTAATATAGATGACAGACATTTGTATAGACTTGTGATTTGCCATTTAAGAAGCTAGATGCTTTGAGGTATGAAAACTCTTTTTGTACTTCTTTAAAGCTTTATGGTGTTCTTCATGGGGCTTTACACATTTCATGGAGCTTATTTTAAGTTATTTTTCTTGCTTATTAACATATCTGTGTATAAATATAATGCAAGACTGTTACATTATATTTTTAACTGCTTTTCTATGAATGAATGCTATTGATATTTGTGTTATAATACTGTATTTGGCTGCTTTGCTAAATTTTATCATTTCAGTTTTCCAGGTTTTCCTCTAGGATTTTCCAGGTAGACAGTAATCTGTCAAGCAGGTAAGTAGTTTCTAAGCAGCAGCACAGGGGCAGCTGCTAGGCTAGCTTGCCACATTTTTACATATTTAGCCAGGAAGGAGACAATGAATCCAAATGTTAGACAGTTTGTCTTAATCAGTTTGGGCTGCCATGAAAAATTACTATAGGCTTAAAAAATAGAAATGTATTTCTCACAGTTCCAGAGGCTGAGAAATCCAAGATCAAGGCACCAGGAGATCCACTGTCTGCTGAGGACCCACCTCCTGACTTGCAAATGGCCGTCTTCTCCCTGTATCCCCACATGGCAGAGAGCAGAAAAAGAGAGAGAAAGCAAGCTCTCTCTTGTTTTATAAGGATGCTAATCCCATTCATGAGCTCTCCATTATCATGGCCTATTTACCTCCCAAAAGCCTCACCTCCTAATTCTATCACAATTGAGGTTGAGGTTTCAATATCTGAATTAGGAGAGAACAAACATTCAGTCCATAGCACAGTTTATGCAAAACTGTTTTGCATAATAGCAAAAACAGTTTTTTTGCAAATAGCAAAAACAAAATCAACATGATGTTACATCCCTGTTTGACTAGTTCCAAAAGAAGACATGAAACTGGAAGGGCCAAATGACAAATGACACAAGAGGTGGGCTGTTCTGTCATTGAGGAGCCAACTCCACACTACAGCCATGCAATTTTATAGCCTGCGTCTACCCAAAGGGCACATGTAGAAAGTCCTATGCCTCACTGGAACCAGAGAAGTGATAGATGAGAAACTACCTCACAGCAGCTTCCCACAATAGAAGTAACTTCCATCTAGTTGGGGAGGCTGATGATAAGTGGCCTTGTGACAATTCCTCACAAAACTGCCTCTTCACATATAAATATAATATAATTATAATTATAATATGATATATTACAGGGAATTCTGCCATACAGGGGATTCTGGGAGGATCACAGGGCATTCTACCATAATGGATCAGAGTGCAACTGAGTCTTGCCTGTGTGGCCTATGTGCAGATCTGCAAAGTTGCCAGGGTGCCATAGAAGAGCCACTGTCCTCCACAAATCATATGATTATTTTACTCTGTTTGTTTCAGTAATTAAACCTCTTCTCTAAATACATTATATAATAGTCTGAAGTGATGATTTAAAATAGTGATAATAGTAGACTTGAATTTCTCAGATATAATACACATTTTTCTTTGATATATATTTCTGCCATGTTACTAACAGGCTTTAATTAAAAATAAGTATAAAATATTAGCATCTACCTACCCATTTAGCAACTAGTAGATGCATATGGTTCTTTTCTCCTTTAATTTGTGTCATGAATTCCATTTATAGTTTTTATCATTAGCAACAATAGAAGCCATAATAATGGAAAAATATCCTGAAAATGCTGTGGCAAAACATTTTTCAATCTAGAATTCTATGCACTGCTAAACTACAACTATAGGATGGAGTAAAATAAAGACATATAGACAAAGACTGAAAAATTTTACAACTCACAGAAAGACACTTAAGTTAATGTATAGTAAAAGAAAATATTTTCACCATTTGGATTTCAGAAATCTAAAAGTTTTATAACACACTGTTAGAACATAAGGAAATGAGCAATGAAATAAATTATTGATAGATGTGTAATTTGTTGCAGCCGTCTGTGAAGAGCAATTTAGAAGTGTCCATTAATATTTAAACACAGATACTTTTGACCCGCAAATTCAACCAAGAGATTTTCACCTGTAGTTACACTTGCACTGGTGTGGGCTGAAGTATATGCAAGAATATTCATTGCTACATTGTTAATAGCAAAGAAAGAAATCAATAATATAAAACATATAGCATTTAATATGGTGAACACCCTGTTAAGAGTGCTTTACATATGTTAACTCATTTATTAACTCTCCCAACAATCCTCTGAGGCCAGAACAATTATCATCCCACATGACAGATGAGGAAACTGAGGAGCAAAGCTGTTAAATAATGTGGCAGGCACTGTTATGTGTCTTTTACCTCTTGTGGAAAAGACAGTCTTATATGTTGACAAACCCATTTTTCTTTTCCTGAGCTACTGGACTGCTCATTCCCATCATCCTTTGAAGTCACCTTCTATGCCTCCACTGAACAGCCTGCATTAGATGGTGATGCCAGTAGGAAATAAACATTTGCTTTCTTAAACCTCTGAGATTTTGTACAGTTTACTTGTTAACACTGTAAAGTCTAGCTTACTCTGACTCATTCAGAAATTGGTACCAGAGGTGGAGTACTACCTTAACAAAAAACTAAAATAATTCTCCTGTCATTGCTCCATGAAAAAATCATGGGGGCAGTGAAGATAATGCAGTATGAACTGTATTTCAGTGAGGATGGGGCACAAACTGGATGCAGACAAGTAACAGCCAATTAGTTTTCAAGGGTAATGTGGCATGTTTCACTTCTTTGTTGTCTGGGCCAAACTCCATTTTAAGATCCCTACTTCTTTATTCACCTGTATGTACTTTAAAAAGAGCTCTAAAAGCAAAAAACTCAGTTTTCAAGCCTCCTTGCAACTAATGTGGTCTTGATGCACATTTCTGGCCAGGAACACATAAGGATTTTCTGATTTGAGAGTTGATGTGAACTCTGGATATGCACCCAATGATTATGAAACAAAAAAATGAGGAGGGAAGTCAAAAGACTTGGCATAGGTGTATTAGCCTAGAGGTGACAGATAAACTGAAAATCTCAGTGGCTTACAAAAATAAAGATGTATATCTTGTTCACACTACATTCATTGAGATTGGCTGTAGCCCTTCTCCATGTCATCTTCCTGTCAAGATCTAGGTCAGTAAGGTGGATTCTATGTGGAAGATGGGTGGTTGCATTATGGAGAGAAAATAAATAATTTGGTGAGCCATGAACTGATGGTAAAAGTTTATTGTGGATGTGACTCATGTGACTTCTATTCACATTTTATTGACCAAAGTAAGTCATATAGATATGCCTGATGCCAATTGCCTAGGAAAGTATCACCATCCCAGAAGGAAGGGCAGAGATATTTGTAATTAAAAATACAATTCATCACAATCCAAACTTCTGATCACAAATATTCAGTTCATGCTCCTTTCCACACACAAAATATATTCAATGGGTGCCCCTCTCCCACTCCAAGAAAGAAAACCCAAAAGTCCTATCCAGTCACAGCATCAGCACTGAAGTGCAGGATCTCATGACAATCTCTGCGTAAGTCTGGATTTGGGTCCTTTTGTTCTGAAACCAATAAAATGACGTCTGCCCCACCTCTACTCTACCGCACAACCGCATGTACAACAGTGGAACAGGAATAGGATAGCTACAAAAATAGGAAACAGAAAATACTCACTTGTTGGAGGAAATTATGAAATCATCCAGGGCAGATATTGTAAAGTTTTTCTACACTGGATGTGTACTGACTGATTCCTTGCTTAGTCCATAGTTCTTCACCCTCAGAACAGCTCGTTGTTTTCCATGGCCTTTGGCTCCACCTTCTGGGGAATCTTTTCTTTTCCATTATTCCTTTTGGCCACATTTGAAGAGGACATTGGATATGCCCCTCCTTAGGAACTGAGCATCTTTCACTGTCCA
This sequence comes from Homo sapiens, assembly GCF_000001405.40. Lineage (NCBI taxonomy): Eukaryota > Metazoa > Chordata > Mammalia > Primates > Hominidae > Homo > Homo sapiens. Next base: position 25,890,748 of record NC_000006.12, read on the forward strand.
TCTTCTGCCAAAAAAATTGAAAATAAATAAAATTTAAAAATTGGTATACCAGGGTAAACCAATATATTTTTTGAGTCCTGAAGTTATGGTCTCCTTTAGTCCAGACTGATTTGTACAACTCTCAAGGCCCTTTACATTGCCTTGCTTACAACCAACTTTGCATGCTAACTTTACTTGCCACCCCTCCCTTCCCAATTAATTTGAAGATGTGCTCTTCTCTCTTCAAATCTTTCTCTCGACTTAATTTTGGGCACTTCAAGCCTATCAGATTCCCATGGGAAAGCCATGTTCTTTGTCTCATTTTTCTGAGCCATTTTATTGAATCAAAAGTATTTACTAGATACTATCTTAATTCAGAGGTTTGAACAACAAACATGAACAACCTCATTGTTTTGACTTTAGTTCTTGTCATGAGAATGACTTTTAACAAGTTTTTTGTTTCTTAAGTCATTTCTCAATTGAGATGAAGTTTTTTTCTTCCAAACCTAAAAGTCTAGATATTCTGAAACTGGCCAATTATTTTTGGGCCTCCTATATTTTTGGAGAACTTTGTCAAATGCAACCAATAGTAACAAAGGCACACTACTAACAGCCAATATCTCAACCACTTCACCCAAAGCAAGAAGCTCATTAGATATATTATCAGCTTTCCAAGTTGCTTTGGGCAAAAGTTTAATGTATTTCAAAGGTTATGCTTCTAGCCTCCAAAATTTTTTTTCCTTTGCCTCCTGATAAGTCCTGAAACCAACACTACACGCATTTTGGACTTTTGTTTGTTCGTTTGTTTCTCTTGTGGTAGCATTTGACTTCCAGTACTAATTTTTTTTAAACCAGTCAGAACAGGGTAGGTTATGCTGCAGTAGCAAATAATCCCCCAAATCTCAATAGTTTACAAGAACCTCCTTCATTCTACATATGCAATGGACAGCTGTTGCTCTGTTCCACATCATCTTCACAATAGCACTGGATTGATAGGACAGCTTCCATCTAGAACATAATAAGTCTCATGACAGAAAAGAGAGAGCATTGAAAAAGTTTTTGACTGGAAATGACACATCATTTTGGCTCAAATTACAGTAGTCAAATTAAACCACATAAACAATTTTGATATTAATGAAGAAGGGAAATATAATCCTTCCTCAAGAGAGGGGAAGAAAATATCTGTGTACAAATCATTGGTGGATCAAAAAGTAGAGCGAGCTTCGATCCTTGTTGTCATCATTATATCACTGCCTTACTTTTGAGCTGTCTAAACCAGTGTTTCCAGTTCATGAGTTCAGCTATTCTAATTTACTACTTAACTCACATGTTAAGGTTTTGGTTTTCTTCAGTGACAGTAATTATCAGGTTTCTTTACACATCTCATGCATAACTGTTTGGTCTATTCCTATTCACTCTTTTTGCTATTATAGTCATCATTTCTATTATTTCTTCTTGTGTTCACTTATCTGAAAATATGAGGATGGCTATTTGAATTTCCTTAACTCATGGTAGATTGTTTCCACATTTGCTTTATAATTTCTGATGGTGAGAACATAGTAAATGGAAATTTACTTGAGGGTGCTCTAATGGCTAGGAATTTAGCGATTAACACTTTTGAGATGATTTCTGTTTGTTTCTGCTAAGTATCACCAAACTAACTATTTTTGTGTTCATTTCATGGCTTTCCAGGTCATGTACATATTGTACATTTGAATCCTAAAACAAAGCAAGTACAAACTGGTATTTATGCACTCTCAACATGGGCTAACAGAGAAAACCTATCTTGTCTCCCAGTCCCAATAAACATATGTTTTCTAGTTTACCTGCCACTGCAGCTATGGCTTTTTGTGCATCCTGGCTTTATGCAGAGTGACAAGGGGGAAAAGAGACTCATTGAGGAAATTTTAACTGTAATGTCAAATAAAGAAGGACATTAGATTGGTACATGTAACTAGAAAAAAATATGTTTTATTCTCTTGAGTTGTTGGCATGATGTTTTTTAAAGTAGGGTGATACATGATGGACATTGTGTGATAAGAGTTGGTTTTGACTTGACAATGTAGCTGAATGTAATTCAGGATAGGAAATATAATAGTCAGTTACCTCTATTTCTATTGTGTAGGATGACCTTGGAAGTAGCAGTCATGACCAATTTTAGAAAAATTATAAGATAATAATAAAAAAGACTTGAAGGGAAAGAAGCCATCTTTCTGCCCTCAAATAGATTCATAGCAGCAAAGGCAAATATAGGAGAAGTGGGCCAATGAAGATGAAGTCAGGAATGCTTTGATGTGCCTCCAATCTCCTCTTCAGTAAGACTAGCCATGCCTATCTTTAACCATTGTCTTAGTCCCTTTCATGCTGCTATAACAAAATATCACAGACTGTATAATTTATGAATAAAAGAAATTTATTTATCACAGTTCTGGAGGCTGGAAGTCCAAGATGAATGTGCTGGCAGGATTGGTGTCTGGTGAAGGCCAGGTCTCTGCTTCCAAGATAGTGCTTTGTTGCTGCATTCTCCAAAGGGAAAAAACACTGTCCTTACGTGGAAGGGCAAGAGGGCCAAACTCACTCCCTCAAACCCTTTGGTAAGGACACCTAATCCTATTTATGTGGGTGGAGCCCTCATTACCTAATTATTTCCCAAAAGGTCCCACTTCTCAATACCACCACCATAAGGATTAAGTTTAACGTGAATTTTGAAGGGAACACCATCATTCAAACTAAAGCAACCATAAGCTTGTTTTTAATTGTTTTTGTTTTTTGGACAAAGAGCAAAAATCCATTCTTTTTTTTAAATTTTATTTTATTTTTTTTTTGAGACGGAGTTTCACTCTTTTTGCCCAGGCTGGAGTGCAATGGCCCGATCTCAGCTCACCGCAACCTCCGCCTCCCGGGTTAAAGCGATTCTCCTGCCTCAGCCTCCCGAGTAGCTGGGATTACAGGCATGGGCCACCACACCCGGTTAAGTTTCTGTTTTTAGTAGAGACGGGGTTTCTCCATGTTGGTCAGGCTGGTCTCGAACTCCTGACCTCAGGTGATCCGCCCGCCTCGGCCTCCCAAAGTGTTGGAATTACAGGCATGAGCCACTGCGCCTAGCCAAAAATCCATTCTTTTACTGGATTTCAAGCTTCCTCTTTACCTAGCCCTTATTCTTCGTATGTTTTCTGATGACAAACTAAGATTAAGAACAAGGTTCACGTCTTCATAAAGTGAAGAGTGATGATGTGTCAGCACGAAGGGCCAAGTTTATTTTATTGGCTATCATGCTGGGATTGGGGTTTTCATTGTATCAAGTTAAAGGTTGTGTCTTACATATGTCAGGCATATATGATGCCTCAGGCAGAAAGCCACATTGAACCAACTTCAGGAAAGAAAGCAACTGGGTTAGGGAGCTCACCAAACAGAAAGAACAATGGATGTAGCAAGAACAGCTCCAGACATCTCATGGTCTAGAATTCAAGATTTTAATCTCATTCTCTTCCTCCCCCTTTCCTTCCTCTCCCTTCTTTTTTCCCCTTCTTTTTCTCCCTCTCATTCTCTCTCCTTTCCTTTTTCTTTCTCTACTCTTTCCTCACTCATGACCCCAAACGGCTCTAATTTCTGCTGTTTTCTTGCCCATCACGTTCCTTCAGTTAGTCTTTTCTAGGAGAGAAAAGCCCTTTGCCTGGCAGTCTGGAGTGTCATCCTTATATCTTTACTATAAGAGAAGAAGAGGTATTTGGGTTCAGCCTCCAGATCAGAGAATCTCCTGAAGGACTTTTATTGGCTTAACTCTGGTCACTTCCCTAATTCTTGAACATATCATCCCAGCTGATGGAGGTAGAGTTCTCCCATTGGCCAAGCTTGTAGGAACCTTTGGTAACTTGGAGGGCTCTAAGACCATAAAACAAGAGTTTTCCAAAGCACTAATTATGTCTCACTAGTGAAATCAATTTGAATTGATATGAACAATATATTTTTTAAATGAGATATATAATAGGATAAATCAAGGCCTTATTCAATAAAATTAAAAATTTCAGAGTGTATTTCACTCTGAAATAAAGGTAACTGTTTTGTAAGTATTCTATTTTATTTATATGTGTTTGTGTTTCTGAGTATGTCCTGAGTTGCACGATAATACTATATTTCTTATTGGGTAACATTGTCAGAAAAGTTTCTAAAAACTTTCTCTGCTGCACTTATTTTATACATTTTATTTATGTTAATAATCTCACATTTAACACACTTATGATTTATTCTCAACAGAAAAAGGTGGTATTTCTTTCATTTAGTCTTTTAAAAAGCTCACATTATCAAATGATTGCTCAATCATTTAATCTCTTTGCTTCTCTTATATGCATTGATTTAATAAATATGTATACTAGTTTCTCCATCGATTCTTTAGATTTGAAACTTATTTTCCTTTTATTCTTACAAAACTGACTTGTCTATAGGCCCACTTCTACTTCCTTTATTCTATCATCTTCCTCAACTTATTCTGTGGTCAAAGAATGGAGAAATAATATTAATAATATGTTTTTCTCATCAATGACTTCCACCTGTTCTCTGAGAAATTCAGCTTCAAGAACTTTAGTTTGATATGACTGCAAAGATAATACACAGTCTAAATCATAAAAATGTCTCAAAGGTTTTTTTTTTATTTGTTTCTTTGAAATATCCATGAACAGGCATGTTTCTCCCCTGTAGTGCAATTTGTGTGAAATTCTGGCATGCACTTAAGAGGATGTCCTAAAATACCAATATTTAATTGATTCTAAGTCATGTATTGTATCACATTTTTGCCCATGGATTGTTGAAATCCATGGACAAAACTGATAGCATTTTAGAACTTCCTTTGTCTAGTGGCAGTCTTGATATATTCACACTATCTATTGACAAAAAATCTAAAGCACCAGGCTCAAAGCTTGTAGAGTAGGTGTCAGTGATTTGGAGGACATCTCTAGGGCAATAGTAGAGGCATTTTTAACCCCTAACAACTAAATGATCATCAGAAGTGAGTGATATCCTCACTCATGACCCCAACTGCTCTAATTTCTATTGTTTTCTTGCAGAAATGAGAGCAGGTGGGGTCATGGGTGAGGAATGAGGTGTTGAAAGTGAATGGGGTGTTGAAAGCAAGGTGTTTAGCAGTGTTCTGAAAGCATACATTTAAGTAGGCTATCCGGGCACTGTCAATAGCTAAGTGTCAAGCTAAGTACTCTATTTTATTCTAAGAACTATTTTTAGAAATGCTGAATCAACAAATCTCAGATGGCACAGAGGTTGTCATTTTTGAATAATATGAATATCAGTAATTTTAGTTGGAAAAGAAGATTTTCAAAGAGCCATCTAAGTTTCCAAAATAAGTGTTGCAGTCATATTAACTATTATATTTTCCTGCCTGTTGATCTACTGCCTGTGAATTGCTTATCAAACCAACAACCAACTGGAATACATAGACTGCATGTCTTGTTCATTTCCTGCATTCTCAAGTAATGGTTTAACAAACTCATGAGCTTACTCTTTAATCTGAACCATGCTTAACTTCAATTATGTTGATTTAGTCTAAGGATGCAGAATTTATTTTATAGTTATGTAGGAACTGGAATCCAAAATGTAATATGCCTCCAAGCTTTTCTTTGTTGGCCTCTGAAGGAGCATCACCTCTACAACTTCAACGTTGTTATGAATACCTCTGGGGAGGTGTTCACCTCAGGACCCAAATTTGGAAAAAGGGAAGTGCCACTTTGGAGGAGTGCTCTGAGCAGCTGATCCATTAAATGTCCCGATCACATGCACGTGGAAGTGTCATTGCAATATCTGCACTAACAGAAGCTCAGTGACTTGAGAAGTGAGTCTGGAATTCTAAGAAAAAGGCAAGGCATCTCTCTTGCCACTTGTTATTTTTCCAGTCAAGCAACTGTGATAAGAGGGCATGGAGAGCAGGAAGAAGTGAAAAATCCCAGGAAAGTCTGGAGTGGAATCATTAAACCAATTCTGCTCCCTCTCTAGGCCAACTTGGGCCTATTATGAATAAGGAGGTCTCTTATAATCCATCTAACTCCACTCAGGAACAATTTGGGGATCTGAGACTGTGAACTCAGTGGGCAAAAAAATATTTCTTGGCCTATCATTATTCTCTGTAGGATGTTAAGGACAGGTTTCTGTATGTGGAGTCCTCAGTTTTTGCCTTCTCTCCTTGAGATATTTTTATGCTATTTAGTAATTGATGGCCACAGTTGATCGACCACATTTCTGGGCAACTCTAATAATCCTTGTTATATTAATCATTGGACCAATCTTGATTGTGTATGACCATCATCTTGTAGCTACCACCTCTATGTGGATGCTCTCCTCACCCTGCTTAAGTGCCAATGTCTGTGCTATGGGCCTACCTGTCACATGGATAATCTCTTCACTCCAGTCAGGCTCCAACATTAACACAGGGCTGTTCTCTTGTCCCCCTTTGAAGACAGCTTCATCACCCTATTCAAGTTGCAGTACTCTCACTGGGCCTCCACTGTTGCCTCTCTCTCACTCTGCTTAGGTTTCTTCACTCCACTCCAGGCAACTGTCACTAAACATCCTTCCCCCATATATACACAGACATCTACCTTGCTTGGCCAAACCCACTGGATTTCAGACTCACTCATTCAGAGAGTAAGACAGAGAGGGGTTCATTTTTTATTTTATTTTATTTTTTATTTTTTGAGACGTTGTCTCACCCTGTCGCCCAGGCTGGAGTGCAGTGGTGCAGTCTTGGCTCACTGCAATCCCCACGTCCCAGGTTCAAACGATTCTCCTGCCTCAGTCTCCCAAGCAGCTGGGATTACAGGTGCCTGCCACCATGCCCAGCTAATTTTTGTATTTTTAGTAGAGACAGGGTTTCGCCGTGTTGGCCAGGCTGGTCTCGAACTCCTGACCTCAAGTGATCTACCCGCCTCGGCCTCCCAAAGTGCTGGGATTACAGGTGTGAGCCACTGCGCCCAGCCGGGGTTCATCCTTAATACATACATTAGAGATATAGATTCTGTTTTTATCTAAAAAGTCTTTATAAGGCCGGGCGCGGGGTCACGCCTGTAATCCCAGCACTTTGGGAGGCCGAGGCGGGCGGATCACGAGGTCAGGAGATCGAGACCATCCCGGCTAAAACGGTGAAACCCCGTCTCTACTAAAAATACAAAAAATTAGCCGGGCGTAGGTGGCGGGCGCCTGTAGTCCCAGCTACTTGGGAGGCTGAGGCAGGAGAATGGCGTGACCCGGGAGCGGAGCTGCAGTGAGCCGAGATCCCGCCACTGCACTCCAGCCTGGGCGACAGAGCAAGACTCCGTCTCAAAAAAAAAAAAAAAAAAAAAAAAAAAAAGTCTTTATAAAAATCTGATTGAATGGTTGAATGCTGTGCTAAAATCTGCATAATATCTTACAACACTTCTGTGAATCACGAGACAGTTTTGAATGCTAAATGTCAGTTAACAGATCTAAAGGGACCAACATCTGCTTTCCCAAATTATATGAAAGAAGATCCTGATCCCTCATCAGGTGAAACTCACATCAGACAACAGTGTCTGCATTTCTCCAAAACCCGCCTCAGCCCCATGGCCACTTTCCAGGGTTATCCTGCCTACCAAGCACTCTCTTTCCTCAGAAAAACTTGGGGGAAAATGTAGAATAATAATTTTTTGAAGTTCTGACCAACTTCTTGAATCACTCAGCATGTTTTTGACTGCAGGTACAGAAAACGCTGACTCAACAAATTTAAACACTATATAAATTTCTTATCTCCCCAAACAGGACATCAAAGGCAGAAAGGTTCCAGAGCAGGGTGATCAGAGCTCTGGCTCCACTGCCCTCAGTCTTCTTGCCTCTGCTCTCCTTCACAGCAGGCTTTACCCCCCATGCTGGTCACAGTTTCAAGTGTCCATGCAGACACAAGTTAAAGGCAGGAAGAAACAGTGCGTTTCTCTTGGAGATCAAGGAATGCCTTTCCAGAAAACTCCCCCTTATGTCTCATTTGCCAAAACTTGGCCTAGTCTCAGGTGCTGCCTGAGCTAATCAGCTACAGAAGAAGGGACCACATGACTGGTGTGGACCAGTCAGAATTCACCACATGAAGCTAGTAATGTGGCTCACACTTCCCAGGGGGATATGGCCAGGTAGCAGACAGTGGATCGCTGAACAGAATACTGATAGATTTCAGCACCAAGGTTAGAATGGCTACCACACCTAATCCCACCCTATCCCCGTTTCCTTCTTTAATTTTTTCCATAGCACTTATCAGTAGCTGACAAACTGTATATGTTTTTACTTTTTTATTGTCTGTAGCTCCCAAGTAGAATACAAACATCTGAAACTCACTGTATCCATCCTGAGTAATGTTCTTTTCAGCTCAGTCACAATCATTTTTTGATAGCCTATCCTATAAGCTTAACTTATAGTGTTAATCAGTATTAATACATCTTAGTGGGAAAGAAGGAAAAAATAAACGATCACACACACACACACACACACACACACACATACATTTACGTAACAGAGCAAGTGTGAAAATACCTAAAGGCTTTATAGCTCCTTTTGTCAATGGATACATGACAGCATTTTTGGCATTCTTTACTACTCTTATTCTATGCTCCATTTGTCTTCAGTCAGCACCTCAGCTGCCCTTATGTTTTACTTGGTAAGGCAAATTCCTAAATGAGCCTGGTAATTAGTCATCCAGCTTATAGGAAGGTACTATAGTTTTTCATTAACTTTTTCACTGGGCTTGAGAGTAGTAAGGACTCCCAGAGAATTCCTTGTGTTCCAAAAGTACTTCTCCTTGACATCTTGGTATAGGATTAATAACTGTTTACCTTTGATAATCAGGAAGAATGACTCCAGCTAGTACAGTTACGTGATGCCTATACATTCCTTTTTTTCTGGGAAAAATGTAATGTGAAATTAAGTGCAAAAACCATGCCTTGTTTATGTATGTATCAAACACTTCTAGAGCTTTCCCAATACAGTTCTCTTCTCAGCAAACAAGAGGACTATACCCTCATCCCCACCCCTGCACTTAGGTGTAGCCAATGTGTTGTAACTTAAAGAGGAGAGGGCACTGGATGAAGGGAAATCTGTCTAACAAGCTTCTTTATTTCACCTAGTGGAAAAAAGCCTTAATCTGCAGTGGGGCAGTTTTCAAGGACATAGACTGAATTGGCTCATGCATTTATGGAAGATGAGGAGTCCCATGATCTGTAATCTGCAAGCTGGAGACCCAGGAAAGCTGGTGGTATGATTCAGTCTGAATCTGAAGGCCTGAGAACCAGAGGAACTGATGATGTAAATCCCAGTTCAAGAGCAGGAGACCAGATGAGATGTCCCAGCTCAAGCAGTGAGGCAGAAAAAAAGGCCCAAATTCCCCCTTCCTCTGCCTTTTCTTCTATTCAGACCCTGAATATCAGGTGGCATAATGCCATCCACACTGGGAAAGACAGTTTACTTTACTAGGATCACCTATTCAAAGGCTAATCTCATCCAGAAACACGCTCACAAACACAGCCAGAAATAATGTTTAACCAGATAGCTGGTTATCCCCTGACTCAGTCAAGTTGACACAAAAAATGAACTATTTCAAAGCTTACTGTAATCAACAGTTTTGTCAAAAAGATAGACACAAATCAGTGGAATGAGATAAACAGTCTAGAAATAAACCAACAAAAATATTGCCAACTAAGGCAAAGGTAATCAATGGAAAAAAGATAGTCTTAGCAACAAATAGTACTGGAACACCACAATGTGTTAATAAAGTGAAACTGGAGACATCTCTCACACCTTATACAAAAGTAACTAAAAATAAATCAAAGGACTAGATGTAATGTATCAAACATTACATCTTTTAGAATGTATCAAACATTACAAGCTTTTAGAATAAAATATAGAAGAAAATTTACATGATCTAAGATTTGGCCCCAATGAAGTTTTAGCTATAATAACAAAAGTATTAGTCATGGAAGAAAACAAAATTGATAAGTTCAGGTGGGCTAAATTAAGGGAAAAAAATCACTTTGCAGTAGAGAAACCTGAAACATTACCTAAACCACATGATGAAGGTTAATATCAGTGATGTCATGTGGATATCATGTTCTCCCTAAAATGATGTGACAAGAAGGGCCCTTTGCCCTTGTGGTATTATTTCAAAAAATCTATAACTCCGGTGTAATTATGAAAAAAAAGCAAATGATCTTCAGGACTGTTAAGGTCATGAAAAGCAAGAAAAGACTGAGACATTGTCACAGACAAAAAAAGACTAGGGAGATATGACAAGAAAATGCAGTGTGGTATTCCAGATTGGACCTTGGAACAGAAAGAAAACATTAGTGGAAACAGTGGTGAAATCCACATAAAGTCTAGGGTTTGGTTAATAGAGTTTCATGTATCAATGTGAGTTGCTTATATTTGACAAATGTATCATAATAATGTAAAATCCTAACAATGGGGGAAAGCTAGGTGAAAGATATATGGGAACTCTCCTGTACTGTCTTTGTACTATCTTTGCAACTTTCCTGAAAATCCAAATTATTCTAAAACAGAAAAGTTCATGCTATTAGAAGTGAGGATAGAGGTTACCTTGAAGAAGCTGAGGTCTAGAAGAGACCATGAAGGGTCTAATTAGCTAACACACGTTGAGTATCCCTTATGCTTAGAACCAGAAGTATTTCAGATTTTTTCAGATTTGGAATGTTTGCATTATACTGAGTATCTCAAATCCAAAAATCCAAAATCTGAAATATTCCATGAGCACTCCTTTGAGAATCATGTTAGCATTCAAAAAGTTGCCGATTTTGGAGCATTTTGAATTTCCAATTTTTAGATTAGGAATACTCAACCTGAGTAGAGGCTGCCTGCTAATTACCTGGGAGCTAATTACATGGATATGTCATTTTGAGAAAGTTTAGCTTGCTGATATGGATGATTTTCTGGATAAAAATTATACTTTGATAACAATTCTTTTAAAGGAGACAATAGTTATTAACTTTTAAGTACTTTTTAGCTCTACAATTCAGAATTCTTTAGTGCTAAATATTACATATTTTGAAACAAAAGTTTTGTTTATATTTATTTATTTGTTTCCCCCCCCCTTTTTTTTTTTTTGAGACAAGTTCTCACCTTATTGCCCATGCTATAGTGCAGTGGGTGATTATAGCTCACTGCAGCCTCAAACTCCTGGACTCAAAGGATCCTCCTGCCTCAACCTCCCAAGTAGCTAGGAGTACAAGCATGCACCACCATATCCAGCTAATTTTTGTTTATTTCTACAGAGGCAGGGTCTCACTATGTTGCCCAGGCTGATCTCAAATTCCTGGCCTCAAGTATCCTCCCACCTCTGCTTCCCAAAGCGCTGGGATTACAGGTGTAAGTCATTGCACCCAGCCAAAAGTTTTATTTTAAACTTATTATTATGAGCATGTAACAGATTTATGTGGTTTGAAATTCAAACCTACAAAAGAAAATAATAAAAAGCTAACAGATAGACAAACAAAAACAAAAGCAAAACCCCACTTGGCCATGCTCTCTAGTTCCTCATTTCTCTCTTGGAAGAAACCAGAGCAATGTTCCCTGTGTATCCTTCCAGAGATAATTTTTTAAAATACTTTTTTCTTTTTAACAGAAGAGATGGTAGACTACTTCTTTTAAATTAAATTAATATACATTTACTTGTTTCTTTTTATTGCTATAGAAAATGAAGTTGGGGAAACAGGAAAAATGACCTAGTATTATCATACTAACATACCAAAATTTTTCAGTTATATGTATTTCCTGTTTCAGTTTTTACCCCACCTGTTTTTTATTTGGTTTGAAATCATAGTACAGATAAAAACTTGAGGCAGGTATTTTAGACTTGTTTTTCTTTTGTAACATAAAACTTTGAGAGCACCAGGAAATCTGGAAATATTCATTTAGTTATTCATAATTCAAAATATTGTTATATCCACTTTGTGTCAGACTATTTGTTAAGAACTAAACTAAAAGAAAAAGATGGGGCTGGACATGGTGGCTCACACCTGTAATCCCAGCACTTTGGGAGGCTGAGGCGGGTGGATCACCTGAGTTTGGGAGTTCGAGGAAAGCCTTGCCAACACGGTGAAACCCTGTCTCTACTAAAAATACAAAAATTAGCCAGGTGTGGTGACACACGTCTGTAATCCCAGCTACTCAGGAGGCTGAGGCAGGAGAATCACTTGAACCCAGGAGGTGGAGGTTGCTGTGAGCCGAGATCATGCCACTGCACTCCAGCCTGGGCAGCAAAGCAAGATTCCATCTCAAAAAAAAAGATGATAACACCCTCTGGGAGATTACATTCAGATAGAACAAATAAAGGTGTAGAACCTAAGATGTGACAAGGACACTGTTGGGTGACTGATTCTTCCTGGGAACATTTATAAAGGCTTCCTAGGGGAGGGCGTGTTTGTGTAAGAGCTTTCCAGGTCAGAAAGTATGTACAGTGGAAAATGTATATGAAAAGACCGTGTTTGGGAATCAGGGATTATATATTGTGATTAGAGGAAAGAGTCCTAGGGTTTGATACCTACAAAGAATTAGAGTTTCTAGGTGCTTCTGGACATGTGGATTGATGACAGCAATACTAAAAATACAAAAATTAGTGGGGCATAGTGGTGAGCGCCTGTAGTCCCAGCTACTTGGGAGGCTGAGGCAGGAGAATAGCTTGAACCCGGGAGGCGGAGGTTGCAGTGAGCCGAGATTGTGCCACTGCACTCCAGCCTGGGTGACAGAACGAGACTCCGTCTCAAAAAAAAAAAAAGAAAAAAAGCAGGAGTTAGCAGAAAACCAACAAGACATGGGAAGGAGAGAGAGAGCTGCAACACCCAAGAGAAAAAATAGCAATGCTGAAATCAAAGTATAATGAAGGAGAGAGGATGCTGGAAGCTATGAAATTCTTTCTGTGAGGCAATGGGGCAATGACCCTAGAACTGCTGAGTTAGCAGCAGTGACAGACTCAGTGCCAAATCATATATTAGAAAAAAAAATCAGATAGAGGTAAAGTCCAGATCCAAAGAAGAGGGTTTTTAGCAGTAAAGCAGACAGTAGAACCCACCCAGCTTTCTAGGGTGCAGGGGGCCTCCCTTTCAGGCATCATGAACAGTGGGGGACCATAACTAGGCATGATGGCTTCAGATACAGGGCTTGTTCATCTCTTGTTGTGGTCAGGCACTGCCTAATGAGAGCAACCCCTTCCAAATGCTACTGCTGTGTTTAACTAGGGCTCTTGATAATCTGACCAGCTTCTGTCTTACTGATTTTAGGAGAAAAATGGAGCAACCTGCAAGATGAGTGGGATTAGCTTCGTGCTGTCTCCCATGCACACCACTCATGCACACTTGGCGAGCATGGCAGTTCCATTTATTTTGCACCCAGTTGTGATTTAAAAACTTTTAATTAATTAGTCTTATTAGTCTTCAGTTGGATTTAAATGCCAAATAATAACCTTCTACCTTGTAAGAGGAGCCCTTTTACCTAAAGCAAGGCTTAAGTTTGGATAAATTTTGTCCTATTTATTATTCATCCACAAGCTCTCTTAAAACACTGAATACACACTAAGAAGGCTCTCAGCACTCCGAATAGTGTGATAAATCAAAAGCCAGTAACTTCTCAAAGTCATTGTGTATTAGTCAGGGCTCTCCAGAGAAATAAAACCAATAGAACATATATACATGGGCTTTTACCCAAATGTCATCTTTTCAATGAGTCCTCTTGCCTGCTTAATTTTTCTTTTTAGCATTTGCCACCTCCATATAACATGCACTTTACTTATTTATTGTCTTATTCTCTTTCACATGGGCAGGGGTTGCATTTGTCTGTTTACTGCTGTATCCCTAGCACCTAGAGTGGTGCCTGGCATACGGCTGGTGTGTGATACATATATTTGGAGTGGAGGTAAAAGTCACCACTTAGGCTATCCACTTTTGTGACAGGGACAACACACGTATCACTTGTCATTGTACCTATAGCATCTCACCCAGAGCCACAAAAAAAGTGGCTCAAAGTATATATTAACAAAGAACAAAATGGAATAATCCCATCTGAAGGCGAGGATATAATAAAAGCAACATACCTTTTTTTGGAAGGACATGGAGAGCATCAACCTTAAGACTAAAGACTAAACTTGAGAAGCAATTATTACATTTCTATTAAAAATTACCAAATACAAATAGTTAACTTTGAAGAAATATATGAATAATGATGGTATCTGCAAAAGAGGAAAAGACTTACTCAATTTCATTGTACCTTAGTTGTAAATAGTATTCAGGCCACCATTTGGAACCTATGTGACACAGTTTAGTTCCTGTCTATGTTCATAAGAGAGGGCAAAGGCCCGTTTACATCCAACCTCTGTATGCCAGCAGCCACGTATGCCACACTCTAAAATGGCTAAACAGTCATTCATCAGAATCGGTTCCAAGAACTCCAACAAAAATTAGAGCTCATGGTGCCAGATTGGCCTGGATTTTCATGCTCCTGGGTGATTACAAAGTTGTAAATAATGATGCTGTCCACTGATTTTCATCATGCGGGGCTCTCTGCTTCACTGTGCCTTCCTCTTATGTCCATGGCACCAATTTCTCTGATAGTTCCCCCAGGGGATAGGGTTAGATGTGGGTTCATAAGCGCTGGACCACTGAGGGTAATTCACTCTTAAGACTAGCGAGCACTTTCTGAATCTGAGGAGTCACATATTAAAAGAGGCAGAATCATCTTCTGATTTCAAAAAAGCAACTACATGACCACCCTGAAAGTGATTTCAAAACAGTTGAAAGCTAGCTGTTCAAGTTGATAAAAGCCACTGCAGTTCCCTGCAGGGAATGCTGATGGGCTCCGTTCCCTCTGCACATTAGAGCCATTTAAATGAAATAATTGATCATATTAACTGAAATCACCTGGCTTATAGCTCAGGTCCTAAGAATTGTTAGTGGCACTTGGAGCTACAAAGAGGAGTCCCCAAAAGAAACGATTCTCACTTTATTTTGGCAAATGGGTGGCTTAAGTAGAACTGGTCCTATTCCATAACAATAAAAAAGGAAAAAATAAATTTTATATAAACTTATTTCCAAGATTTCTTACCCCTTCTTGTCAGCATTTCAACTTTATTTGGTGGAACTATCTTTTCTCAATTATGTGTGATGTATTGTGGTCGTGAATCATGGTGTCCTGAACTCCCTTTGGAAGCTAAAACGGTCTGTTGAGGCTCTGCCTACCAGCTCTCTAGGGTTTGTTAAAGCAAAAGAGTGAGCACTTTACTTAAATTTCACCAATTATATTATCTTCTGAGACCTTAAATGTTGAGTAGAGGGAAAATACAAGTTCAAGCCTATTTATTTCAACAATGGAGCAAGTTGCTACAGCTAAGACCTTTTGAGGCTGCCTGTTTCTTCAGGTTTTCCTTTGATTCTCAGAGTAACCCCACCTCAATTTATTTGAATACATGTACTTATGGCTTAACCAACACACAGGTGGTTTCTTTAACTACAGTGCAAAAATCTTCACACATACAAACTTTTTAAAAAACAATTCTCAATATGAAAAAGAGAAATCAATATAATTGGCTACAAATTATTGGCATCTTTTCAGAGATTTTCTCAAGAAAGTAACTGAATTCCTAAAATTCTTATGACTTTGTTAAAGGACTCAAAATGAACATATATTCTGGCTGGGCAGGTGGCTCATGCTTGTAATCATAGCACTTTGGGAGGCCAAGGATTGTGGATCACTTGAGGTCAGGAGTTCGAGACCAGCCTGGCCAACATGGTGAAACCCCGTCTCTACCAGAAATACAAAAATTAGCCAGGCGTGGTAGTGGGTGCCTGTAATCCCAGCTACTTGGAAGGCTGAGGCAGGAGAATTGCTTGAACCCAGGAGGCAGAGGTTGCAGTGAGCCAAGATTGCGCCATTGCACTCCAGCACGGGCAACAGAGGGAGACTGCATCTCCAAAAAAAAAAAAAAACAAAAACCTCATATGTCCTACAAAGCAAGTGATAAAAATCAAAATATGACAATGGGCTGAGAGGAAAGGGAAACTAGTAGTATTAAAGAAAGTTTTTAATGAACAAATAATGTTAAGGCGGATTTTTTTGTTTGTTTATTTGTTTTTGGCCTTTTTTTTTTTTTTTTTTTTTTTTTTTTGAGACAGAGTCTCACTCTGTCGCCGAGGCTGGAGGGCAGTGGCACTGTGTTGGCTCACTGCAACCTCCGTCTCCTGGGTTCAAGCAATTCTCCTGTGCTAAGGCAAATTTTTAAGGATTATAAATAGTAAATATTAGAAGGGATACTGCTTAAAAATAAACAATTTGGATAGCTAAATGGTCTTCAGACTCTTTTGATTGTACAACATGTAAAAGAATTTTGAAAACTTTAGGCATTCCTTTGAATATTTTTAACTTGATTTCTAAAACTTTTCATCAAAAAATAAATTGTTTTGTAAATAAAAGAAAACATTAAACATGTTATAAGATGAAATAAGATGAAGAGTGACTATAATTAGAATAAGTATTTCATGACATAAGTTTATTTTAATAAAAGTTCTAACCACTTTATTGTATCATTCATATCAAGTTTTTTAAATATATATTGAAATTTGGTGCTCTGGGAAAATATGCCAGCTTCATTTGAAAGAATGAGTTCCTATCCTGTACTGCTTCAGTTATTCTGAATTCAGAACATTCCCACTCTGGCCAGTCCTCTCTTATAATAAAACATACAATACTGTGCATATTCTCAGTGATTAAAAAAAATACACACAGCAGATAAAAGAAGAGGGAGCAGGCAAACCAAGAGCCAAGGTGAATGTGTTAATCATTAGCAGGTTATCCCCAAACCAATATTTGGAAGTACTCCTTTGTTGACAACCAGAAAGTGTTTACACTTCAGGCATTGCACCTAAATAAAGTGTGGATGCCTTTCCTTTCTAAAGTGGAAGGAGGGATATTGTGGACATAGGCACATTCTGAGGCAATTTTAGGAAATAAGTTGAAATTGATGGAAATTGAGAAAGACTTTGGAAAGTGTTTGCCTGCCTCCACTACCAAAAAGTCCATGGAGAAAGCAAAGTAAAAGGTCCAAAAATGAAAGTCAGCAGAAACCAGAAAGATGGGCAACAAGGTTTTACCATACAGATAAATAGAAGAGAGATTCTTAGTAAAGAAAACAAATTGAGGACAATCACTAAATAAAACAAAATCGAAGGAAACTCTAAGACCACCAGCCAAAAAGCAAGAGAAAATGATTAACACCTTGGCACATCTTGGTGAAGGAATTCCAGGATAAAGAGAATCCTATAGCACCTAGCCTAAACATAGCTCTCCTACAAAAAGTAGCTGGCTAACTAGACTTCCTCATATTGGACATCAGAAGAGACTAGCAGGAAGTCAATACTGTTCTGAATAAGACAAATTGTGGAACAAAATTTCTGTTCCCAGCTAAGTTAATATTACAATGTTTTAAGGCTCCACAGTGATCATAAAGAGTACTATGAAATAAATTCTCAGCTACTGTGGGACTCAGAGGCTCATCCAAGTACTGCTCCAAAAAAATACTCCATTGAAATGTTTTGAGATGAAGAAGGATAAAGGATGGACATGAAAAAACAAAACAAAAAACACTTCATTGTCCAGGGGTATGCTAAGTGAGCAAGAAGTGTCCAGCACTCAAAATTAAGGAGGCACTCACTCTCATGTGCCAATTCTGTTCTTGCATGAGCCTAAGAAAGGATGCCTCCTTAAATATTGCTTCCTGGGCACCTCACTTGCCTCATCTTGGTTTCAGCCCTCAAATTATGTTCAAATAACAGTGAAAAGTATAATACCCAACAGAATGCAAATGCTATAATTCTTCTATGGAAACTACTCAATGCAAAATTAATACATTAACTGCAAAAGGTCAGAGCAAAACTTCCAGAGAACAGTAGTGAAACCAAGAGTGAGATGATAGGATGCCTCAGTGTGTCTGTTTTCTTATTATATATAAGGAGAGAGACATGGCTAGGCATGGTGTCTCATGTCTGTCATCCCAGCATTTTGTGAGACCAAGGCAGGAGGATCCCTTGAAGCCAGCAGTTTCAGACCAGCCTGAGCAACACAGCAAGATCCCTGTATCTACAAAAAAAAAAAAAAAAAAAAAAAGCTGAGAGTCAACAGCCACTTTTTTACTATATAGGTTATTAACTTGAGAAATAAAGCATTAAAAGAACAATGAATTTGGGAGCACAACACAGCAAAATGTAATCTGCCCACAAAATTGGACTTAGAGGAGCAATTTTCCTCTAAGCTTTAACCTGTTTCATAATTAAATGAAAAATAAATAAACTATCCAAAACAAAATTTATATGAAGTAAAGCAAAGGGAAATAGGACATAAGCTTGATAAAAGATAAAGCTAATCAAATATAAAATAAAAAGACAAGCAGGGCTGGGCGCAGTGGCTCATGCCTGTAATCCCAGCACTTTGGGAGGCCAAGGTGGGTAGATCATCTAAGGTCAGGAGTTTGAGACCAGCTTGGCCAACATAGCAAAACCCCATCTCTATTAAAAATACAGAAATTAGCCAGACATGGTGGTGCATGACTGTAATCCCAGCTACTCGGGAGTCTGAGGCAGGAGAATCACTTGAACCCGGGAGGCGGAGGTTGCAGTGAGCCGAGATCGCGCCACTGCACTCCAGCCTGGGTGACAGAGTGAGACTCCGTCTCAAAAATAAATAAGTAAATAAATAAAAGACAAGCTATTCTTAAAATTAGTAAATGACTAAGTAGTCTAATGAAGGAGAAAGAAAGCACACATGCAATTGGGTCAGAAGTACAAAGAAGCTAAAACCTCAGATATAGATAAAATGAATATATTATTAAAAAGATAGCCTGATAAAACAGTTGAATTTTTGCAAATATACTTTAAATAGTGTGTAAAATAGATGATCCTCCAAGATAACATAAATGGTCAAAATTGATCAAAGAAAAATATAAAACCCCTTAAAAGACCAGTAACTGAAGGAAATTGAGAAAGTTATCAAAGTCTCCTCAAAATGGCTTTCAGCCTGCATGATTTTTACAAACCAATGCTTTCAAGCTTTCAAATAACAACAGCAATTATAAAAATTCCATTCTAGTCAATCTTTTTCAGAGTAATGGGGAAAAAGGAAAGTTCTCCTTTCTTGTTTTTGAAATCAGCATAAGCTCCATATCCAGACACAAAAAAGATACACAAAACACATGTATGCATACAGAGCCAATCTCATATATCAGTACATCAGCCAAAGTCCTAAATAAACTATTAGTGAATCAAATTCTGTCGTACATCAAAAGAATATTCAAGGGAAAGCTCAACATTAAGAAATACATTAATATAATTCATAATATTTAACAGTCAAGGAGAAAAAGTAAGTCATCTCATCATTAGGTAGATGACAATAAACTATTTGAGAAAAGTGAATTAATTTTCATGACTATTGTTAGAAACAATCCTTTAGGGATGGGGAGGGGAGATGAATTAGAAATGTTTCCTATCAGTTCACAATTGCATCTATTCTGAAGCCATTAGGAATGTGAATGGTAACTCTTCCTCAAACCATCACATAAGGAAAGATACCCTGAAAGTCTGACACACCGAAGTCATCTGTCAGGAATCAATCAGAGAAGCTGCTGGGAAAACCTCAGAGAAGCTGCTGGGAAAACCTAGGCATTCTGAGTCATCATTGTTCTTATCACCCGTGGCAACTGATGCAATTGGAAGCAACTGATGCTTTCAGGGTCATGGTTTCTTCAAAGCCTGAGCTCATTAATTTTGCTGTTTGAGAACTTGCAGTTTGATCCAAAAGCTGACAGCATCGATTGACCCATTGCCTTCCTTCCTGCTCTGATACTGGAAGTTCCAACAAAAGAGGAGGAGGAACAGGACCAAGAAGAACATGAAAGCAGAGGACCAGGGGCCGGGCGCGGTGGCTCACACCTGTAATCCCAGCACTTTGGGAGGCTCAGGTGGGCGGATCACGAGGTCAGGAGATCGAGACCATCCTGGCTAACATGGTGAAACCCCGTCTCTACTAAAAAATACAAAAAATTAGCCGGGCATGGTGGCAGGTGCCTGTAGTCCCAGCTACTGGGGAGGCTGAGGCAGGAGAATGGCATGAACCCGGGAGGCAAAGCTTTCAGTGAGCTAAGATCGAGCCACTGCACTCCAGCCCGGGCGACAGAGTAAGACTCTGTCTAAAAAAAAAAAAAAAAAAAAAAAAAGCAAAGGACCGAAGGACCAAGACCCCTTCCCAACTGCTCCATTGGTCAAAACGAAGTCAGAGCAGAAGCTCTCAAAAGGATGATACTTTGAATTTGCTTTCTGTTTTATTTTCTACATTCATAAACGTGCACAAATCATAAATGTACAATATTCACAAAGTAAACACACATCCAAGTCAAGAAATAAAATATTTCTAGTACCCCAGGAGCACTTCTTAAGTACCATCCATCCAGCCACAACCCCCATCCCTGCACAAGGGAAATCGCTCACTGATTTTTAACAGGACAGATTGGTTGTAGCTGTTTTTAAAAAGTATTTTATAAACCTTTAAAAGAATGTGCGTTTTGTCTTCCTTTAATCAATATTGTGCTTATGAGACCCATTCATCTATTATATATTGGGGTCTGTTAATTCTCATTGCTATACAAATAGACCGTGGTTTATTTACTCATTCTTTTTTTAACAGACAACTTCCTGTTCAGGCTATTACAGATAGTGCTCCTATGAACATTGTTGTACATGTTTTATGGATGTATATGTGCATTTCTAAGTAAAATGTTTGAGTCACTGGAATTGTACATTTAGCTTTAGGAGATATTGCCGAGCAGCTTTCCAAAGTTCACATTCGTAACGTATGAAAGTTCCAGTTGCTCCACATGTCTGGCAACATTTTGTTTTCCATCTCCTTTCATTTTATCCATTAGTTAATTTTATAGTGGTATTTCATTGTAGTTTTGATTTTCATTTCTGTAATGACTAATGAAGTTGAACATCTTTTTATATGTTAAGGAGCCACTTACATTTTCTCTTTTATGAAGTCCCTGTTCAAGTCATTGGCCCATTTTTTAGTTGGGTTGTCTGTCCCCCACCCTTTTTTGTTTTTTTTTTCTCTTTTTTCTGTACATAATTTGACTACCTATTATACTATGTCTTTCTTTTTTCTTCTACTTCTTCTTTTAGTTTTCTGCAAACCCCCTTTCCTCTTTGTGTTGTCAATATCATGAAGGCAAAATCAATGTTCTCATCTTAGTACCACCCTCAGGGCCTGACACTCTGTTTTTCTGAAAAACTTGCTCAAAAATACCCATTGATTTGCATTAGGAGATTCTCTTCATCTGCTGAATTAACCCAAGGTTCTTGTCCAAGCAGTTTTTTAATAGGATTTAAAATATGGTGGGAACTTCTTCTCTAGACATGTTGTGGCAAAACCAGAATCAGTTCTGTGTGAGGAGACAAACTAAAGGATATGTCTTAAGTGTTAGGAGCCAAATTAATTCCTGTTAGAGTTGACGCTGCCTATCTGAGTATCTTGGGAAAGTAAGAAAAATATGAAGAAGGTTAAATTATCTTTTTCTACGCTCAAAAGGAACTTCTCTTGTATGTGATACACTTCTATGCCTTGTATGTGATACATTTCTATGCCTTTTCTCATCTTGTTATGTCTTCAATATTTTTCTCCCCCATATAAATTGTCATTTCACTTGAAAGTGTCTCTGTCATCTCTCTCCAATTTTCATTATATGGTCTAAACTATATTGCTATCCCTTCTGGAAGTGTCTACATTGCCTTCCTTCACATTCATTCTTCTCACAATACAAGCCTTCCAGTTCTATCTTCTCTGTCCTTGATTTCTAAGTTAACCTCATTTATTTAATCTTGTATTGGTCATTTTCTCATCATTAATCTCTTGCAATTGGGCTAGGATAAATAAATATCTGTTTAATCTGATGGAAATATCTGGATCTAAATAATTTGAAAATGGTCTATTTTATTTTAGCATGTAAATTTTAATAGAATTTAATCACATAAATAAACGTCTATGTTTTACAATGTATAAAAAATAATAAAAACTTTAATTCTGGGGATTATAGCTTTACAGTTCCGATCGGTGCTGAGATCTGTAACATATGGCTACAATTCCGAGCAGATCTTCTCTGCATCCAATAACCTGCCCCACCATGAAGATATTTATCAGTGATCATTTTCACATGAATTTTTATTTATTTAGTACTTTCCAATGAGGAAAATTCAAAGGCCACATGAATTGACTTTTCAAGTTTGTCCAGCTGTTGTCAACCCCGGGCGCATGCTAGAAACCTCTAAGGAGTATCTAAAAATTAGTAGTATCTGGGTTCCACCCCAGACCAATTCATTCAGAATCTCTGGAGTGGGTCCCAAGTATCAGTGTCTTATAAAGGCTCCCCAGGGAAGACTAACACACAGCCAGAGTTAAGAACTGCTGAGTCTATGGTCAGGAATATGGAGAGAAGTAAAAAATGTTTAAAAAGTTCATGCTCAGTACCACATTTAAGTTTGTAACTTTATGTCCTCAGAGGCGGGTAAGGGTCCTCTCTTTGGCCCAGTCTTGAAGTTCTGCTTGTCCAAACGTGAGGTAAAAGACCAGGCCAAACATGTTGACTGCAGCAGACAGGAAAAAGACATTCCTCCAACCAGACTCAAAATCCTAGATGTAAAAAACAGAGAAAATGATCAATCTCACAAGTTCCTTCTACACCAGTTCTAGTAGCCCTCCCAGTTGTGTATTGCAATGTTGATCACAAGGAATATAAGGAACAATGTGCAGTAGTTACTTAAGAAAGTTTATGAAACTATTGGAAACAAAATGGCCAAAATGCACATGGGGTTCTGAGTTGAGATGGTTATTTCTTTAAACAAAAATAAAATACACTAATGTTTTTCTGAAAATTTGGATTTCAACATATAATATTACTCATTTAAAATTATGCCTAAAATGGCATTGTGGCATTGTGTTTGTGTCTTCTCTGTTTTTTTTTGTTGTTGTTGTTGCTGTTTGTTTTGTTTTTTTTTGTTTCTGTATTGGCTGTTGACAACTATCACTACAACCCATCTCAATTCAACATGAGTTCTCTTTGGTCTTCTGTGTGACCCTCCTCAGAAAGCCCTACTAAGTCATTTCCAGCATTATAGTCACAGTGGATTCCTAGCAGTTTAGTCAAATATTAACCTGGGAACTTGATCACATAGAAATGTAGTAAAAACAAAACTTCTCTTTGTAAGTTGGTTCTCGTCAGTCCTTCCATCCCTGCCTGGGTCTGTCTTTTCATCTTCCTCATGAGCCTGCATTTCCAAACACCGAGCAAGCCTCCTTGCAATGTCTCACAGCCGATCTGTTTCCAGACATTAAATTATCTTTAAACTGGCCTAGGACACTTTGTTTCCCTTTTGTGATTTTTTAAAAATTGGATTAGTCTGAACATATTCTTCATGATCTTCTTTTGCCCCTCTGTCTTCGTCTCTTGCTATTCCTTGACATGTGTCTTTCATTCTGGTCATAACTAAGAACTGTTTCATGCTCATGTACCTCTAGGAAGTCACACGTGCTGTCTTCTGCACCGGAACAGCTCATTTTAATCAATCTAACATCTATTCATCTTGAGAAAATAAGCTTATATTTTTCTTCCTCTGGGAAATCTGACCTACCAGAGTCTGATTTAGAGGCTCATGTAAATAGAGTAATTGTGTTGCCATCCAGATCTTTAGAGCACCGTGTGTATCTCCAACACCTAAAACAATACCTGCCACTTGAAGATGTTCAATAAACTGGCCCAACCTGACTGATGAGGAATCCAGTGGCAGTGGAAGAGATGATTCCTGCGATGAGCCCAAATCCCCTTGAGATTCCCATGAGGAAACTTGCATATCTGTGGGAAGATGATTTTATAAATGATTTTATATAGAAAGCCACCTACAGCTTCTGCAGCAACTCAACTTTAATGCAATTCAGCTCTAATGGCAAAGTCATTTTGCTTAATGCAGTTTTTCATTCACCTAAAGACATTCAGGGCAATGTCTATTTGCCAAACCTGAAATTACCAATCTACCAAGTCAATAACCAGGGAGCAATGCAGTCTCTCTGGGAACCACGTTTCTTTACCCCGGCTGCTCAGTGGAGAAGCCAGTTTGTGCAACGGGCAGGACACAGACTCCAAAGCCAGACTCCCCCAGTCCAAATCCTGGCTCTGCCTTTATGTGACCATAGTCACACCATTTAACCTCCTTGTGCCTCAGCCTTCTCCCTTATAAAATGGGGATAACAATAGGGCCTACCTAATATAACTGTGAGGATTAGATGTGTTGATATATGGCAAGTCTTGGCACAGGAGCTGGCTTATTGTGACTGTATATATATATATATATATATATATATATGGTAGCTAATATGAACAACACCATGGAAACTTTTCCAAATCACCTGTGTGTGGGCCTTTTCCCAGCATACACAGTTCAATCTCTGTTAGGGAAGCTTGGGAAGGTTTTTGTCAAAATGATTACTGGCCAAGATTGGAAATTGTTGTTCTAAAAATGCCACATTTGTTGTTCTAAAAATGGCCACAGACAGATATTTGTAGTTATTTGTCATTCTGCCATTAGTGCAATGTCAGTAACATTAAAGAGTTTCACGGCGACCACTGAGGTCTAACACCTCTGGAGGGGTCTGGAGGAGGGGAAAAAACAGGTAGAGCTCTTACCTGGGGGCGATATCTAAGGTGTTGATGATAAACCCTGAGTCACATAGGTTACTGGTCCCAGGAATAAGTATCAGCAAAATAATGGTTATCACGTAACTGGAGGCCACAAAGGGCAGGGCCACAGCACATATTGATGGAAGGAGGAGCCCTGGGCAATGAGGACATGCTGTCAGGGAACCCTCTGAGACCATGTGCAGAAAAGGGATTGGTTAAATGGGCCCACACGCTTATCCTTACCAAGAGATGAAAAGAGCTTTCGCACAGTGATCAATCTGAGAAGATTCCTGGACAAAAGGAAATCTGCCAGCTGACCTCCTAAAATTGTACAGCTTGCAGCAGCAATAAAAGGCAGGGAGGACAGAACTCCACTCTGAAGGAAGGAAGTTTATACAGAGTAGTTATAGAGATACGTTAGCACCAAAATTTGTCAGTTACACAGACCAGCCATTAACTTACCCCCATGATACTGTGGGTTGTTTGGGGGAAAATTAGCATCCTTTTTCACACTAAAAGAACACTGTCTCAGATAAGAGGGCCAGAAGCTGCATCACTCTGGGCTCCAGATAAAAGCAATATTAATTTCTTGGGTTTTTTGTTTTTGAAACGGAGTCTTACTCTGTCGCCCAGGCTGGAGTGCAGTGGCATGATCTTGGCTCAATGCAACCTCCACCTCCTGGGTTCAAGCGATTCTCCTGTCTCAGCCTCCTGAATAGCTGGGATTACAGGTGCCTGCCACCACACCTGGCTAATTTTTGTATTTTTAGTAGATGATATTTAGTAAACCATATTGGTCAGGCTGGTCTTGCATTCCTGACCTCATGATCTGCCTGCCTCGGCCTCCCAAAGTGCTGGAATTACAGGCATGAGCCACCATGCCTGGCCCAGCAATATTATTTCTAAAAGAAGCTTTGGAATCAGCTGGTGTGGTAGTATAGCATAGTGGTTAAGAATATGGATGCTGCAGCAGCTCTATCACTTAGTATTGTGCAACCTGGGGCAAGTTATCTCACCTCTAAGTGTCCTGTTTCCACATCTGTGAAAAGGGAATTATAACAATGCCTCTCTCAAGGTCATTGTGAAGGTTAAATTAATGGTTATATGTAAAGCCAGAATGTAATAGGTAACACAGAACTGTTTCTCCTTATTACCATTATCATTTTCGTAGAAGTATAGGAAGTAAACTCACATCTCTGATGTTAACATGGAGCAGAGTACTGATATACGTTGGTAGGTATGTTAGGATGATGGTGCACAACCAGAAATGGCTGAAAAAACCCAGGAAAATGGCCCAAAGTGGTAGGCATGTGACCATCGCCTTTATGGGGACAGCTCGTCCAGGAGAACTGGGCTGAAAAGAAAGATCTAATCAGCATGAGTATTAGAGCAGCCAAGATGGTGCCTCTCAGAGGAGATCCACACCCTGCCCTAGAGACCTCTGCATGGGCCACAGGTACAAGGTGTGCACTGTACCTGTTGAGCCAGTGAGGACAGGATGTGCTCCTTTTCCCTAACACTTATGCACGGGTGATGCATGGGGTCATCATAAATCACTGTGAACCATAGGAGACAGCAGACACAGCCAGTGCTACCTGGGAAGAAGGGATAAAATTAGTTTTTAGGTAGATTTGTTTACTGGGGGAAGGAAGTTTCCTCTGAAGTGGCATGCCTCTCCCTTCTACACACTAATCAATTAATGCTTATTCTACCATAAGGACCTAAATGTTCCCATTCTTTCTTTCAATCCTTCTACAAACCTGTTAAAGCTTTTTAGATATTACGTCTCAAATAGAAAGCCACCATTTGTCAATGTCAGAGCCCTCTGGAGATAACAGGAGCGTGGCATTGCATAGCTGATTAATTACTTTAAAGTCTCCAATGATTACAGTGTTATGTATTTTAGGCAGCAACTTCTTAATGCACACATAAGTTGTCTTGTTGCGGAAGATCTGAATAGTCAGGTTTGCAGTCATACATACACGAAACAACCTTCCATGAAATCATGTGGCAGGGAAAAATTTCCAATGCACTTACAAGAGACAGTATTATTTGTATTCAAGCCATACATCCATTATGGATTCCCAAAAGAAATATTTTTGTACAATACCTGGTTAACATGTACAAACCAAAATAATTAGCATCATTAATGAGAAAGCCATTCAGGCCAGGACTATATTTAATGACACCATTTGGCTATAAAAACAAAATCAAGTGTAGAAAATTGTCTTATTATTGGAATTCCTTATTTGAAGAACATTCTATGTTAAAAGATTCTGAGGACTAGTTTTCTTTAAATCCCCTCTAATTACTGGATTCACTGATTCTTTTATTTTAAAGCTAAAAATCAGGCACCATGATGACACCCAAGTGATGAAAACATAGAATGGATTCCTTGCCTCAAGCATTTCACAGTCTAGTGGAAAGAAAAGGAGAAATAAATAATTACACACCAACATAACCTAGAGAGGAAATATCATAAAGGAGAGAATGCCAGAATCTGATAGGGTAAGCCCTGGAAGGGCCCATGGGGAAGGGAACATTTGAATTGAACTTTGCAAGATTAACTTGGTAGAGAACAGGTGAAAGGCATCTTGGACAGAAATAATAATTATAATGAAATATGAAGACACATTGAAAATGTACTTCACTATCTTTGACATCTTAACTGCATATAGCAGGCACTTCAGATGTGGTGGTAGAGATTCTGCAGAAGGTGCTTGATATGGAAGGACAAGACTGCATCACAAGTCGGTGGGTGCCATGTGAATAGTCAACTCCTCTACCTTGTGCGTGTGGCTTCCCAGAACCACCAGGAAGGTGTTAATCAGGTTGTGTGACTAGATTAAAAATGATACCAACCGTTGACATTTTTTATCATCTTCCATTTGATAAAGGACATTTTCTTTCATATAGGAAGAATGTGGGTGGTGTAGGTGCCAAAATGGATGCTCAGGAAATGGAGGCGTTAGGATTTAAGAGAAAGTGACTCACCAAAGATGTAGAAGATAAAAGGCCAGCTCAAGGCCTGTGAGATTAGTCCCCCCACACAGAGGATGATGAAGGATCCAAATGCTGACCCTAAAGGAAAAAGGGAGAAAAACACTTATGAAAATATCAAAGGCTGAGACTTCGTGGCCTCCCTAAACAATGTCCCAACAGTGAGGTGGCAGACTTAGAATTATTGGGCAATGAGAGTATTTATTTCTAAAATAGCTCACAGATTTTCCCCAGTAAAGTAATATGATATAATTAAAATTAACAAATAATAGTAACACACTCTCTGATTCTTCAATGGCTCCTCAACACCAATGTGACCAAATCTAAATCCCTTAGTTTGTCACAGTAACTCTCTGCTATCACAGCCCATTAGCATTTTCTTGTGATTACAGTTGCATTCTTGCATGATCTAATATGAGGCTAGGGGCAGGAAATGAAAGACTTACAAAAATCGGTAAGATACAGCCCCTGCCCTCAAAGAGCTTCTGGTCCAATTGGAGAGAAAAATGTGAATAAAATTGATTGTCACTAGTGAAATGCCATGTAGGCTTTGGAAGTCTACATTAAAAAACAACAAGACACATATTTCACAGAGACCTATAGTAAGAAATGCATTTTACAGGGTAACATAACACACACACCAATATGCATAAACACTTGTACATACAACCACACACATATGCCTCAAACGATGGTTTCATGAATCGATATTTAACTTTACCATGTCCAATGCACTCCAACAATTTCTATTCTATTCTATTCATTTTTTAAAATAATGATTTTAACCCGCTCAATGGATTTTATGACTCACTAATGGGTCCCAAACTGAAATTTGAAAAAAAAGATGTAAAATATAAATATAATAAAACTACAATGTACGTGGAAGTATATCTGAGGATAAATTGATAATAATTATAAGATTTAGGAAGTTTTGGCCGGGCGCGGTGGCTCACGCCTGTAATCCCAGCACTTTGGGAGGCCGAGGCGGGCGGATCACGAGGTCAGGAGATTGAGACCATCCTGGCTTGAAACCCCGTCTCTACTAAAAATACAAAAAATTAGCCGGTCATGGTGGCAGGCGCCTGTAGTCCCAGCTACTCGGGAGGCTGAGGCAGGAAAATGGCGTGAACCCGGGAGGCGGAGCTTGCAGTGAGCCGAGATAGCGCTACTGCAGTCCGGCCTGGGCGAAAGAGTGAGACACCGTCTCAAAAAAAAAAAAAAAAAAAAAAAAAAAAGGTTTAGGAAGTTTTTACATAAGCTATGCAATAGGATAGATGGAATTTTGGCACAAGGAACAGGGGCAAAGAACTTTCCAGGCATATAAACTAACGGGAGCAGAGCCAGAGGGAAGTGCAGTGCAGATCTATGTGGAGAGCAGCCAATGTCCAGTGCCACTGGAGCCATGCTTGCACAGGGGAGTTGAGTGGAACAAGGTTGGGGCCAGATGGCTAAGAACTTTTGTATTCATGCAATAAAGAGGTCAGGCTTTACTCTGTAAGCATGAAGGAACACATTGAAAATTCTCAAGCGGGTGAGTAAAAATGTGCCATCTTTATTTTAGCAAGCTAACTTGGTTTTGGTGGGAAGAAGGTTGAAAGAAACCAGTCTAGAAGAGAGAGATCAGCAGATAGTATTTGCAAATAGAGGAGATGGTTACAACTATGATGGAAGGAAGCAAGAACGCAGGAGGGTTGCTTGAGGTAAAAGTCTGCAGGATGCAGCTGTGTAGTGGACCTAGGAGTGAGAAGCTGGATGGAATTTTAGTTCTGCTCTTCGAGTATATACTCTCAGCACGACAGGCTGGGGAGAACAGCAATGATAAAGCTGTAGAGGCCTGAGTAGGATCACATACCATGGAAAGGCAGTCTAGCATAGTGATTGAGAATGTCTGCTCTGGGGCTAAAATCTGCATGGGCTTAAATCTCAGACCTACCACCTGCTGGCTATTTGTATTTGGGCAATTTTCTTAATCTCCACCTTCCTTAACTCCCTTCTCTGTAAAATAAGAATTTAAAATGGTACTTATATGAGAGGGTTGTTGTGAGAATTAATGAGCTCATAATAGAATAGTAAAGAGCTTAGAATAATACAGAAACTTCAAACTCTTCCAGCCTGATTTCTCTCCTTACCACCTGGAGCTGTGGTAGCCTTAATTCTCACTTCAAAATCATTGCTAAGATGGTGTATATATAGCTTACTTGATCTTTTTCCATGTGTGCAATTCTTAAAGGTTTAAACTTTTTCCGACAAGGCTTTTCTGACTACTAAGGCTTTTCTGACTACTAAGGCTTTTCTGAGCTGAAACCTAGCTCACAATGGTTTTTTCTACTTCTAAGCTTCAATGTCTTTACTGCACAGATGCATCTTTCCTATTTGTGATGCAAGTGTCTTATATTGTTGAATTTTTCAGCAGTACTTTTTCTCTCTCTTCCCCAAACCATTTGATTCATAGAAGATAAGACACAGTGGGATGGAACAGATGACAAAGCTATGACCCATCTGTGCACACTTACCTGATCCTGCAATGGTGGTGAGCTTGCTTCGTTCAAGTGGAGGAGCCCACTTTGCCCAAATAGTAAACTGACCTGTCCATGCCATTCCCTGAAATGAAAATCATTAAGACCTTTGATATTTTGTAGAATTCAGAAATCTGGATCCCACCAAGAATGAGAAAGTATCTGGATACCTGGGCCATGCCCTGGACTGTCCGAACCATGATGACCAAAATCACTCCGAAGTCAGCAGCCAGTGGTGTAAAGAGGGTGAGAAGGGAAGAGATCAGCAAACCAGCACCAAGCATTTTTTTTGCTCCAAATATCCCTGCTAAATATCCACTTGGGATCAGAGTCAGTATTATCCCATAGTTGATGGAGCTAAAGATGATACCCTGAGTTTCTGGGCTCCATTGATACACAGAGGCCTGGGGGAAAAATAGGAAAACTCTTTGTCAAGAAGTCCTATTATGAAAATCTACTTTACAGTCAGAGTTGCTTGAGGTTAGTGAGACCCTAGTATAAAATATTGATTTTTGTTTCTCTCTATATTCTTCCTACCTTCCCAAATAACCAATTATACCCCTAATTTGCTTGTCTTAGTAGAAGGAGAGAAAAACAGAAGAAATGAAGAAAAGAGGTAAAGAAAATGATTATATAGATGAATAATAGGAAGAAGTAAATGGAAGAAAACATTGAGAGATATTTCATCTGTGAAAGCACTTCCTCTATTTTGCTTCTAGTAAAAGTTGAGTAACATCTTGACTCTTATATCAAAGAATTTTTTAAAACACACACACAAAACTTTACTGAACTCTTAACCAAAATCAGTGCCTAATTAAAAAGAAAAGTCAAGTTTGGGAATCATGGTCTGCCCTGGCTGAACTGAGTTCCTAAAACACATATTACAAATGAATAAGATCACATTCTTCTGATATAACTCAATAAATAATTTGAATTATTTTAAAATAACTACCTAAAATTCCTAAATAATTACATAAATTATATTACCTGAATATTTACCTAAAAATAAATAGATTTTAAAATAAATAAATAAAAAATAAAATAGATTTTAAAATAAAATAAAAAATAAATGCAATAAGGCCCCTAAATATCTGGCATCATGCTATAAAGTAGAGAGCCAAAGAATATAAAATATGAAATATTTTACCCACTCAAAAAAACTATAAATAATACAAGGTATATGATTCATGTGAGAATCAAGATTTGAGGATGAACATAAATAAAACAGAGACTTTGAGAGGAGAAAATAATAATTTGGGAAGGTCCCAGAAAGGAAGCAATACTTGAACTATCCCTTGAAAAATGACTATGATTTGTAGAAAGTCAAAAAGGAAAATTTTATCTCATCGGAAAAAATAGCAAAAGTGAACTTGTAGCATTTGGAAGAAACTAACAGGGACTCTGGCTTGCTCAGGGCAAAAACTTTCCATGGGTCATTGATAGCAGATGTGAGTGTGCTGAGAAGCAGGCCCAAATTCTGAAGGAACACAGCATGTCCAGTGAACACTGCATGTTTGGCAACTTGAAGGTGTCCAAGATTCCTGAGTAGTGAATCTACTCAGTGTGGATATGTAGACGGGATAATGGAGGAAAGACTGGAGACAATAAATTTATGTACTCATTGTAAATAAGCTAGGTCCAATGTAATAAAATCATTAATCATGAATTATAGGGATGACATGGGAAATGTACAGTACAAGATAATTTAAAGGATAATTTTTTTAATTGGGTAAATTCATGGTTTTCATATAAATGTAAAATAAACATACAACAAAGATTTTATTTAACTCATTGATTAATGGAGGAAGTAAGTAAGATGTTATAACTGGTTCAAAGGAAAACTCAAAGAATCACGCATAACACAAGCAGGAAGCAATGCTGAAATAGACTTTAAATATACAGCAGAGCCTGGCACAGTGGCTCACACCTGTAATCCCAACACTTTGGGAGGCCGAGGCGGGTGGATCACCTGAGGTCAGGAGTTCGAGACCAGCCTAGTGAAACCCTGTCTCTACTAAAAATACAAAAATTAGCCAGCCGCGGTGGCATGCCCCCTTACTCCCAGCTACTTGGGAGGCCGAGACAGGAAAATCTCTTGAACCCGGGAGGCGGAGGCTGCAGTGAGCTGAGATCATGCCACTGCACTCCAGCCTGAATGACAGAGGAAGACTCTATCTCAAAAAACAAACAAACAAACAAACAGCAAAATTGGCTAATTCAACTGGGAGGTGAGTGGAGAAAAGTTTTAACTGATTTTTCTCTTGGCAAAATTTATTTGCAAAGCTATGGACAAGAATCGTTTGCATTTCTATTGGTTATATAGAATTTACAGGGATATAAAATTGCTCAGAAACAATAAAACAGGCAGAGAACTGAATAGGATTGAGTAACCTATAAGAATGTGCCCAGGTAATACCTAGTTTTTCATTGAAGACATCACATAAACTGTTCCATTTTTAAATTTTTCACATTTAACTCTACAGTTCCCCCACCTTATAATCATAATAACCTCAATGAAATCTTATTTTTATTATTGAAGTAAGCAATGTCTCAAAGAAAAATAGTTCCAGTCAGTTTTAATTTGTCATTGGAAATGTATACTTCCATACTCCACAGAATCAAGATCTATGCCTTCCTTTCAAAGTTTTTTCTCTCAACAAAGAGCCCTATTTTCCATCATACTTACCTTTGTATCAAATTCCTTGATGGATATGCTGGAGTTATTGAAGGCATCTGCAACAGGCCCCTCAGTGGAGGCATTAGATAGACCTTGCTGCTGAGTGGTGTTCACCATGGCGATGATCGCAATGCTCAGACTCACACGCTGCGTTATCATGGTGAAGTTTGAGAAGTGCATGATAAGAGCCAGCCCATAGCGTAATGAACAGAAATCTGGACCTAGACAACAACACAGATGTATGTAGTGAGCATCCTGACTGAGACCCCTTTCTTTTCCTTTCTCTCACAGCTCGATCTGATAGAACTTTGGATGACACATGAAGTCTCATTGTCTTTTTTTCACCAAAATAGCCAGCACTACAAACCCACTTTGTCAAATTATTTGGTTGGCTTCAAGACAGCGAATATGGGATCTTATAACCAAGTAAAGCAAATATGGCCATCTTTCAAGGGGATAGGAAACACATGATAAATAGAGAAAACCCACATGTAAGGCATTTATGTCATATTGCTCCAAAATGAAGTGAATGGGGATGACAGTGGCAGAGCCAGTCACATAACCTTCTCAGCGTCAATAAAATTCCCTGGGCTGTAAGTGAATAGTCCCATCTGTTATGCACATTTGTTTATCACAAAGCTTGAGAGTTTATACATAACGAGCTGCCTTTGAATTAAGGTATTGCACATCCAAGGATTCTCTTTTAATACATTTGAGAGATGGTACTTTAAATGAGCACTTCGACTAATTCCCTAGTGTAATGTCTACTTGGAAATGTTATTGCTATGTGTCACTAGGTCCTGCCTTCACATATGTTCAACTTAAAAAAAAAAAAAAACTACGTGGGGTGCAGTGGCTCACGCCTGTAGTCCCAGCATTTTGGGAGGCTAAGGCAGGTGGATCACTTGAGGTCAGGAGTTTGAGACCAGCCTGGTCAACATGGTGAAACCCCATCTCTACTAAAAATACAAAAATTACCCAGGCATGGTGATGCATGCCTGTAATCCCAGCTACTCGGGAGGCTGAGTCAGGAGAATCACTTGAACCCAGGAGGCAGAGGTTGCAATGAGCCAAGATCATGTCACTGTACTCCAGCCTGGGTGACAGAATGAGACTCAATCTCAAAAAAAAAAAAAAAATTAATATGTAGAACTATTTTTACAAAGCTTGCAGGTGATGTGGTGCTGGAAGATATTCAATATATTGAAAGGACAAATTTTTTCTTTAAAAGCATCCCCATAAAATGGAACAACCACAGACCAATATTGAAAGGGTTCCCATGTGCATGATAGATTGGATTTTTCCTGCTTATTTGAAGAAAAGCACTAAAGTGAAAGAAAGAGAAAACCTGTGAAGACACAGATAAAAATATAATGGAAGAAATAATTTTTAATGGCCAAAAAAGCTCACAGATAAGAGTGGTGGTCTGGGAAATAATTATTTCCATTTTACTGGAGGTTTCCAAGCTCAGGAGAAAGAGCCAGCCGCTTGGTGAGAATATTATAGTAGGGATTCATACATAGGTTGGTTTAAAATGACTTTCCCGGGCCAGGCGTGGTGGCCCATGCCTGTAATCCCAGCACTTTGGGAGGCCGAGGCCGGTGGATCACGAGGTCAGGAGATCGAGACCATCCTGGCTAACACGGCGAAACTCCATCTCTACTAAAAATACAAAAATTCATCTGGGCATGGTGGTGTGTGCCTGTAGTCCAAGCTACTCGGGAGGCTGAGGCAGGAGAATCACTTGAACCCGGGAGGCAGAGGTTGCAGTGAGCCGAGATCGCACCACTGCACTCCAGCCTGTGAGACAGAGCAAGACTCAGTCAAAAAAAAAAAAAAAAAAGACTTTCCCAAAACTTATTCCACTCCCTAGATCCCAGGATTTATTGCTTATTTGGCTTAATTTCTCACAGATGATTTCATGGGGCTAAGGAAAAAGCAACAGGATCAGGGGCTGGAGCTGGCTCCAATGTTACACTGGGAGTATCTTTACGAAGGGTCAGTGTGATGCAGAGATGTGTAAATGTGTCGGAATAAGCTTCAGCTTATTAACATAGCCTGCAAACAAGAGCAGTGGCTTTACCTTTCCTGGTGGCAGGCTTCCCGTCCATTTAGCTTCTGTGGGAAATGGTACCACGCTTTGTGGTGGAGTTTCCCTGTGCCCTGAATCTCTTTTACTACGACAGTCTTTTATCTATGGAGAGAACATAATCCAAAACATAATACACAAATAATTTCCCCTTGTTAATGTTGCCTCCTCTTAGCATCAGTAAAAGTTTTGACCCAACACAGCTCTATAACTTACATTTTATGGGGCACTACTGGTATGCTTTTGGTTACAGGATTGTTAAAAGGAAATCTGGCTGTAAGTTCCAGCTGTGTGACCTAGAGCTAGTCATTTAAATTCTCTAATCATTCATTTCCTCATCTGTTCAATAAAGATAAGGCTCCTTTCTTAGTGCAGCTGGAAGAATTAAATGAAAAATTGCATGTACTTTATCAAACCACAGAGAAGCATGCGAAGGTGAAGAGTGGTATTGCTTGTAGCAGACCATAAGACAGG
The DNA here is from genome assembly GCF_000001405.40 of Homo sapiens. Lineage (NCBI taxonomy): Eukaryota > Metazoa > Chordata > Mammalia > Primates > Hominidae > Homo > Homo sapiens. The sequence goes on from NC_000006.12 coordinate 25,926,249, forward strand.
ACAATTAAACTAAGCTCAAGAGCTAAGGAGGAAGGTTCCAGAGCGGTCTTTCCTTTCATTCTGATGGTGTTTCTCTCCCCTCTGTACCACCAGAACAATGTTCCATGTGCCTTCGAACATGAAGGATGACATTACATAACACTAATATGTATTACATTTAAAAGTTTAAAATGTTTATTCTCATGTTTGCTACACACAATGTGGACACTTGCTTGGACTGACAAAGTCTTCATATCACCTAGAAAATTATAATGAACAGGGACTAATTACTACAATTGTGAATAAATCCAGCTATTGTGACAGGCAAAGAGAATTCATGGCTCTAAATATGGACATGTTTAATTTAATATTTGTATACTAATCAAATTATCTTTGGGGATGCATACATTTGTTTCTTTTAGGAAAAATCCATATCCTAAGAATATCATCAATTTTCCATTCATTCCTAAATTGAAGCTTCTATGACTTTATTTTTTAAATTGCTTAAAATCCTTCAAGACATCTGAAATTTCTGTGACTTTAAAAACACATGTATCGGCCGGGTGCAGTGGCTCACACCTGTAATCCCAGCACTTTGGGAGACTGAGGTGGGTGGATCACTTGAGGTCAGGTGTTCGAGATCATCCTGGCCAACATGGTGAAACCCCATCTCTACTAAAAATACAAAAACAGCCGGGTGTGGTGGCACATGCCTGTAGACCCTGCTACTAAGGAGGCTGAGGCAGGATAATTGCTTGAACCCAAGAGGCAAAGGTTGCAGTGAGCCAAGATCGTGCCACTGCACTACAGCTTGGGGGACAGAGCAGGAATCCGTCTCAAAACAAACAAACAAAAAAACACATATATCAAACCTCTATTTTATCATTCAAGGCTTTGCACTGTTTTTGCACACAAAATTTAAAAGACTTGTCCGTACTTTAAAGATATTCATAATCTGTGACCTTAGGATGAAGGATTATAAAGAAAGGCATAGATGAAAAATTGTGTCCAAAAATATCCTTTGTAGTATTACTCATGACTGCATAATGTTAGAGATAAATTAACCTAATAATGAGAGTCTGGCAAGTCAATTTGATAGATTATTGTGATGGAAGCTATTTTAAAATGTTTTCGACAATATTGAATTACATTAGAAAAATGCTAGTACTCTAGTGTACAAAGCAGGATACGCTGTGCACATCCACATACAGGAATAGAAACTGATTCACACAAGTGCCAGTAATGACTATTTCTGGGTTACAAAACAGGATGATCACTTCATTCTTTGTGACTTTCTATATTTACCAAGTGATTTTGTAAATAATTAGTAGATACTCATTTTATATTCAGAAGTAGCTAAATGTATTTAAAAGAGCAATAATTGGACTTCATCAGCATGGCAAGTATAGTTTTCTGCTTTCCAAATATCTCTAGAATTCTGGGAATAGTATCTCTCCATCTAAATTTTGAATTTTGGGTGTTTGGAGATTTTATTGTTGTTGTTGTTGTTGTTTTGTACAATGGACCCAAATGGAGGCCCAATTGCTAGTAAGATCAGGTCAGCACCAGGACAGATACTGGTTGTTGCTCTGCCTTAGAAGGCCTCCAAGTCTTGCTAACATCTGGATATCAGGAGTTCAGCTCATTGCTCTACACTCAGATCCTAGCTGAAGTCATCTGTGGTCAAACCCAGAGTTTGGACCATTTTCTATTTGATTTCACTTTTTATGCAAGATCCCGTGGCTTGGCTGAAGGCAACTCTTTAACTGTACATGCAGCTGCAATTACTTACACTCCACTTAAAGCTTTCCCACCAACTTCTCCAATCTTATAAACACTGAAAGCTGAAAGAGACTCAGAGATCCTCTGGCCCAACTGTTTATTTTATTGATAAGAAAATTTGCGTAGAAAATTTGAAAAGTTGCCTGAAACCACATGATGCACAGAGCCAGCACCAGATCCCCTAATGCCTAGACTACTGCTTGTTCTACCTATTACAACTTCCCCTTTGTTTTCGTAATATTTTAATCACAAGCTTAAAACTCAATGGGGTAGCTCCATTTTGAGGTATTATAAAGGAGAATTTGTATATTTTAAATCAAGTTTTAATCATTTATTCTAGAAGGAAGTTTGATAATGAAAAATACTTTTAGGTTGAGCTTTGAATATTAAACATAAACACAACAAAACTACTTCTCCTTGCTCTTTATGTTACTGGAATTGTATCACAAACCCATCACTTTAGTTTTTCTTCCCATTCTCTGTTGCTGTCTAACGAGAAAGGATGAAAAGCCCTACTTAAGTTTTATGGTTTCAAATGCTACTTTGATTTTGTATCAATAGGTAATTTCAGTTCTTCGTTTCCTATTTTCCTTTGCATGAGACGAATGCAGAAATCAGGCTAACATACCAAACCATCCTAAACTGAGGTCTTTCATGGTAATGGGAAATGTTTTTCCAAAATAAGCACAGAAGCTAATAAAATTATGGAGGCTGAACACTGGCATGGTTGATATGTACTTAGAGACACTGGAATAATTATTAACCTATTTGCAAACAATTGAGAACATGTAACAGTGTCAGAACCCTTCCCTTTAAGGAGATATACCTCTAAAAAAAAATTGTGAATTCTAGTGCCAAAGTTGTAAGTAGACACAGAAAAATGAATTGAAATTAAGTTAAAGGAAAATGTTATATTAAAAAAAATTACTTGACACAGTATAGGTTGAATTTGAGAAAAAAATAAATAATGTAAATATTATGGTATACGCATAAGCAAAAAAACAGGTTTTTCCCTTTTTTTAAGTCTAGAACTCATGATTTTATTATAATGGTCGTTAGATTGCTCTTAGATTCTCCTAATATCCAGCCTGTCTTGCTTCATCTCTGTTAGCCCAGAGTCCTAGTTTACTCAGAGTAAATGTTACACCTAGATCAAAGAGCATGAACCTGCAGTGGGAGGATATTCAAGGACTGAATTCTGCTCTGCCATTCCCAAATTGAGTAAACCAGGTAAAGTTTCAAAAACTCTTAGGGCTTTCACTGTTTCATAGGAAGAATTGGGATAATGTTACTTCACTGGGCAGTTTGGAGTGAAAACAAAAGTATGAGACATGCCTCGTAAATTGCAAAGTGTTATATGTTGTATAATATTCTAGATACTAGCAACAGCAATAATAATAAACAGTCACAATATTGGCAGTCTAGCCCTCTCAGATCCATAAATACAGGCCTACAGCAAATGAAATGTATTTCTATAAAAGTGCCTTTGATTGGTTGTTAAATTGGTTTTAAATGTTTCTTTTTTAAAGTGGATTCTTCTGGCCTGGAATCCTCAAGATGAGTGGGGAGGAGTTCACCAGAAAACATAGAAGCAATTCCTTCAGTGTTAGAAAAACTGAGGGCCCTCTCATCATCTGCCTATCTTTCTGAGAAATTGGTGCTGACCACAATGTCCCTGGGTGCCTTTTCTTAGCTGTACAATGAGGGCAACAAGCTAGGTGATCTCTACAAGCGTACAATTTTCTTGCCTTCAGTCTTATTCATAACTTTGGTCATGTTCTCCTTTTCTTTTATTATTATTATTTTTTTGAGACAGAGTCTTACTCTGTCACCTAGGCTGGAGTGCAGTGGTATGATCTCAACTACTGCAACCTCTACGTCCTGGGTTCAAGCAATTCTCCTGCCTCAGCCTTCTGAATAGCTGGCACGCGCACTATGCATGCGCATAGGTGCACGCGCCGCTACGCCCTGCTAATTTTTGTATTTTTAGTGGAGACAGGGTTTCACCATGTTGGCCAGGCTGGTCTCAAACTCCTGACCTCAAGTGATCTGCCCGCCTCAGCCTGCCAAAGTGCTGGGATTACAGGCGTGAGCCACCAGGCCCGGCCATGTTCTCCTTTTCCTGAGAGACCATTTCAAATTCATATAGAAGTCTGAAAAGACTCGTTAGCCACAGTCCCAAACACAAATCTTGTCAGTTCTGATCAGTATTTCATTCCACAGCCAATCCCAGTCTGACTAATCACAGCATCACAGTTAATACTCACAGCGTCCTTGGAGAAATGACCATTGTCCACAGTGTCCATTGGTACCAGTGGCTTCTCAAGCCTTGCCCTAGGGTCTTCATTGAATCAGTTATCTTTTTCAGAGAGTCTCTTCATTTTGGAATTAGGCAATATTACCAGATGGAGATCCTTATGTTGCTGTTAATGTCTTTTCTCTGACTTCTCCTAAAACTGTTCCCTCCCCTTAATGGACCTTTGGTAAGTTAGTAATAATCCTTCTACCCAAAAAGAAGAAAAGCACTTACCTTCACCATTAAACCAGTATTTTAAGCCCTAGACTATAAGGCTAACTTGGAAAAGGAGGGAGTTTTCTGTCCCTTCTTCCCTTTCAAATACTTTTGCAGATTTTTACAGGGATAAATAGTGAGCCACGTGGCAGTCAGACGGCAACAGGTTTGGCCCCACTTTCTCAGAAAGCCTCGGCTTGGTTTTGCCGCTTAATTTTTAACTTCATTTTCAAGTTCTCACTGTTAGAGTATCTCAAAAGATGTCATCGTGTGTTTCTGCTTTGAACTGTGCATACAACCATTCAGTCAACAAGCCTTTTTTTCTGAAAGCAAGGGGGCATGGTGTGGAGGAAAGGGCAGGGCTCCTGAAATCAGTGATGGAGTCAGACCCATATTCACTTCCTAGTGTTTTCCCTGAGCTTGGACAAGTCACTGAACCTCTTTGAATTGGCTTCCGCTTTAGTAAAGCAAGGATTGTGTTACTGTACTCATGGGGTTATTGAACAAATGAAATACATATTCTAATTGGTAGTAGCTCCTCAATAAATGAGGTGTTCATTCCTCTTCAGGAGTTCAGTTAAGTCAGCTAGATTTTCCATATGCATTTGGTGCCCACAGCCTAATGAATGTGAACTGTGACTGCCCTGGCAACTTCCCAGGAAGCTGCCTTGTACCCCTCCTTCCTGTTTCATATCATCCATGTCTTCCCTAATCCATTTTCTGCTTGGCTCCCGACTCTTGGAATTGTGTCCTATTTGTAATCATTAATTTTGAGACTGTGGTTGCTATTGGATCTTCCTAGTGTGACGCAACCCTTATAAAATGAAATGAGAGCCTTCCCTCTCTGGCTTATCAGCTTCAGACTTCCTTAATTGAGTTCCGCCATCCTAGTGAGTCTCACCATACTCCCGAAATAACCTGCTGGAGTAGGCTTATCCTACTCAACTCCTCAGATCTCTGTATTTAATTCTATTTTATTGCTGTTGTAGTAAATTACCACAACTGTGATGGCTTGAAACAACACAAAATTATTTATTTATTTACAATTCTAAAGGTCAGAAGTCCAAAATGGGTTTCACTGAGCCAAAATCAAGGTATTGGCAAGGTTGTGCCCCCTCCAGAGGCTTTAGGGGAAAATCCATTTCTTTTTCTTTTCAGCTTGTAGTGACCACTGCATTTTTTGGCTCTTGGCCTTTCCTCCACCTTAAAGCCAGCAGTGTAACATCTTGAAGTATTTTTCTCTTATTCTGACTCTTCTGCCTGTCTCTTATAAGGACCCTTGTGATTACACTAGGGCCCATCTGCAAAATTCAGGAAAATCTGCCCATCTCAAAATTCTTAACTTATTAAACATGTAAAGTCCCTTTTGTCATATAAGGTAATATATTTACAGGTTCTGGGGATTAGGACATGGATATCTTTGGAGGACAACATTCAGCCTACCCTTTTGAGGGATAGAGGGGTAGCAGGAAGAGTTGAAACAATTCCTTCCTTTCTTTATTTAAAAATTCTGGTTATTGATTTATTATAGTTATCATGTGCCTGATAAGCCAATGAAAATAGTTATAATGGCCAGGGGCAGTGGCTCATGCCTGTAATCCCAGGACTTTGGGAGGCTGAGGCAGGAGAATCGCATAAGCCCAGGAATCCAAGACCAGCCTTAGCAACATAGGGAGATCCCGTCTCCACAAAAAAATGCAAAAATTAGCTTGATGTTGTGGCACATGCCTATAGTCCCAGCTACTCAGGAGGATTGCTTGAGCCCTGGAGTTCAAGGCTGCAGTGAGCTGAGATTGCACCACTGCACTCCAGCCTAGGCAATAGAGCAAGACCCTGTCAGAAAGAAAAAGAAAGAAAGAAAGAAAGAAAGAAAGAAAGAAAGAAAGAAAGAGAGAGAGAGAAAGAAAGAAAGAGAAAGAGAGAAAGAAAGAAAGAGAGAAAGAGAAGAAAGGAGAACTTTCTTGGCTTAATTTACCCAAAAGGTATGATATTTTCTTAATTTGCATAAGGCAGAGCATGAGCTGATACCAGTTCTGGTAGAAAAAGTAGGTGAGACTGGATCCCCCAAACAAGAGTAAATATTTAATATAATAAGGAAAGAGTGGCCGAAAGTATTCAATGCCACAAGTAAGATTCAGAGTAGATTTTTCAAACTGCATAATTTGTTTAAAAAGCATAATTTTATAGCTGGATTTTGCAAGCTCTCTGAGGGGATCTTGTTCATTTTGAGAATCACTATATCCACAATTCTTGGCACAGTGTCTGTCCTATGGTGTGTGCTATGATCCAAATGTCTGTATCCTCTCAAAACTCATGTTGAAATCCTAACCCACAAAGTGATAATATTAGAAGGAGGGGTCTTTGGGCAGTAGTTATACCATGAGGGCAGAAACCTCATCACTAGGATTAGTGTCCTTATAAAAGAAACCCAAGGAAGTTTATTCAACCCTTCTGCCATGTTAGGACTCAGCAAAAAGATGGCTACCTGTCCTCACCAGACACTAAATTTGCCAGGGCCTTAATCTTAGACTTCCCACCTCCAGAACTGTAAGAAATAAATTTTTTGTTGTTTATAAGTCACCCAGTTTATGATATTTTGTTACAGCAGTCTGAACAGACTAAGACAGTACACGCTTAATAAACATTAGTTTACTGAATGAATGAATTCTTGCATTGCTTCACCACCAACAATCAAGATCTCTGTAGCTGGTTTAACCCCCTCACTCCCAATCATGATTTTCATATAACAAAGTTAACTCAGTTAAATCAACTCAATAAGGTATACATTAAATGAAATTAAAGAAGTTGTAACATTTATAAACATCAAGAGTAATGTAGAAGAAAAGTCCAGAGATCCTTAAAAATTTAAGCCTCTCTGGCCTGACATTAACAGCTAAGGCAGGAACAGAAAACCAAACACCTCATGTTCTCACTTATGAGTGGGAGCTGAACAATGAGAACATGTGGACACAGGGAGGGGAACAACACTCACTGGGGCCTGTTGGGGGAGGATGGGGTGGGGGTGTGGGAGAACATTAGGTAAAAGAGCTAATGCATGCTGTACTTAATACCTAGGTGATGGGTTGATAGGTGCAGCAAATCACCATGGCACACGTTTACCTATGTAACAAACCTGCACATCCTGTACTTGTACCCAGGAACTTAAAAAATAATAATTTTTTAAAAAACAGCTATTTCCAATCAGAGCAGTTCAATTCCATACAATTATTATTATTATTATTATTATTATTATTATTATTATTTTGAGATGGAGTCTCACTGTCGCCCAGGCTGGAGTGCAGTGGCATGATCTCAGCTCATTGCAATCTCTGCCTCCCAGGTTCAAGTGATCCTCCCGCTTCAGCCTCCTGAGTAGCTGGGATTACAGGTGGGCACCACCACGCCTGGCTACTTTTTGTATTTTTAGTAGAGATGAGGTTTCACCATTTTGGCCAGGCTGGTCTTGAATTTCTGACCTCATGTGATCCTCCTGCCTCGGCCTCCCAAAGTGCTGGGATTACGGGCTTGATCCACTGCGCCCAGCCAACATACTATATTTTTTTTTGATAAATTTTCTGTATTCTAGACATGACATTAGCTTCCGACAATATTAATTTATTAAGATCTGACCCATGACATGACTTCATAAGAGTTCAGAGTCCACTGAATGAGACCACACACAGAGACAGACAACTAGAATGAAGGATGATAAACATGAACAATACAAACTTGCACAGGTGACTAGAAAAGAACAAATGAAGACTCCTGCCAACTGGGGGTATCAGGGGAAGGCTTCCCAGGCAGAACAGGGCTGCGCCAGTCTCCATGTGTGGTATGAATAAGTCAGTAATACAGGGGAAGCACCTTCCAGAAAGAGCAAACCCGTTGAGGCTTGGTGTGAGGAATAAGAAGTGTTCAACATGACTGGGGATTAAAGTACAAAGGTATAAAGGAAATGTGGTGAACTGACTGGAAAGATAAGAATTTTTTTTAACAGTTACTTTTCCCAATAGTAGAATTAACTAGACAGGAATAGAAATGGAAAGAAGTTTTTATGTTCCCTTAGAATGAAAACTATACATTTTTTAAGAATTATATGAACAAGGAAAATGTGACTCAAAGGCAGAAAATGATAGAATTTTATTAAAGGGCAGAAAACAGGATCTGGCTAAATTAAACTAAGTACTCTACTATACTATACCATATGCTATATTCTTGAATGGGAGAAGTAATACCATAAAAACTATTGATTCTTCCTAAATTAGTAAACACATTGAGTGAAAATCCAAGAGGAAGAAAGAAAAATGGAAGACAAACTGGAAATAGCCCAAATTTTCATCAGTGGAAGACTGAGTACTTTGTGATACATAGTCATTGCAGAAAAATAACACAGTTAAAAAGAATGAATCACATCTATAACATTTGACCTGAATACTTTCATATAATGTAATACATTTTTAAATGAGTAAAGCAGATACTAAGGACGTATAAAGGGACTCCATTTTTTTCTGAATATTAATCAAGAAAATTCTATATATCTGTATCTTTGTTTACATAAGATTGTGTGAGCCATAATAGCTGTTGACTTGGGTTATCAGGTTTGGGTAAACAGTTTAGTGGTAAAAAAAAGATGTGTAAGACTTGGCCGGGTGCAGTGGCTCACATCTGTAATCCCAGAACTTTGGGAATCTGAGGCAGGCAGATCACTTGAGGTCAGGAGTTCCAGACCAGCTTGGCCAACATGGTGAAACCTCGTCTCTATAAAAAAACTACAAAAATTAGCCAGGCATGGTGGCGCACACCTGTAGTACCAGCTACTCAGGAGGCTAAGGCAGGAGAACCGCTTGAACCCGGGAGGTCGAGGTTGCAGTGAGGTGAGATCGCGCTACTGCACTAAGCCTGGGCAATGACAACAAAACTCCGTCTCAAAAAAAAAAAAAAAAAGTGTAAGACTTAGCAAAAAGGTGACCAAAAAAAAGCAACATTTATAAACTATGGATGTAAAACTCTATGTATGTGTGAGTGTGTATACATGTGTGAATATACATAGGATACATTTTTGTCTGTATGTGTATATGTACATACATGCATGTATGTGTATGTGTGTGTATATATACAAGCTTTTTTAAAATGTTTTCAACAATATTGAATTACATTAGAAAAATGCTAGTACTGTAGTGTACAAAGCAGGATGCGTTGTGCACATCCACATACAGGAATAGAAACAGATATATACATACACACACACTACACACACCCCTATACCTACACCAAATATACATTGAGAGAGAGAGATAGAGAAAATAGTAACTAAGGTAGTTAATTCTGGCCACAAGGATTTTTAGATGAATCTGACTTTCTTCCTTAGGTTTTTTTTGTATTGTTTAAAGTTTCACACAAATAGCATTTATTTACTGTATAATCATAAAAGGCAAAAACCTATTTTGATTTTAGGAAAACACAAAGCATCCAAACCAAAAATCTCAACTTAGGAAATAGCGGGAAATCTAGGGAAGTCAACAGGACCAGGTCATGACGGTCTTTTATGCAATGTCCAGGAGCTTGAACTTTATCTTGTCGTTCCTATATTTCCTCAAAACAAATGTGTGTGGACGCAGAAATGGAAATGCACAGCAGTGCACTGAGGTCACAGGAAAAATACAAAACAGTTTTTCTGAAGTACTAACTTCACTCAAAACTTCGGGAAACATTTTAAAAATGGTTTTAAACAAATTTGACTAAATTTGACAAATTTAGTCAAATGCAAAATTTTCATTTTTAAAAGGAAATAAATTTTAGAGGAAAAAACAGATGTGAAAAAGAATACATGAAATAGTACATGAAGGAATACATGCACGTGGCATACACTTGAATCCATGTATATGCCAGGTTTTCTTGTGTTGCACACAAGACCAACTCTGAAGTTAAAGATAACCCAGTAGAAAAAATTAAATGATGGGGAGTAATTAAAATGTTTTCAGCAGGAGTAGGACATGATTTTTATATTTAGACTGTTTAGTCGGCTAGTTATGTCTGACGGATAGAAGTGAGGACACTCCTAATTGAAAAGTAAGTGCTACTAAGAAACTCAACGTGGGGGTCATAGAATGAAGCCAGACTTTTGTTCCCAAGCAGGAGACAGATGCAGATAAGAGGGAATGAAGATGAAGTAAGGGCTGAACCACAGAAGCTTCGCATCATAAGTCATTGTATTTCTCTGAGTGAACATCATAGAACTTATTTACTATCTGGTCACAAAATGCCACTGACATGAAAAGAAATCGGGTTGAAATGGCTCTAGACCAAGATTCCCAAGACATCAAGAAATCACCAAAAGTTGCCTCAGGTTCACAAAAAAAGATATTCCAAGGGAGTTCTCCAAGTAAGTAAACACTCATTATTTCTATAAGGCTTAGGCCACAAGACCTTGGCTGAGACCCCTGTCTCTGTGATCTGGTCTGTACCACATTGGAAGGGCCATGACTGATTTCTACCTAGACATTTAAGGCTGAACGGAGGCTGAAGAACCTCTTGCTTGCTTTCCCATAGACTCACATCTGATAACAGCCCTCATCTTAGGCCCCAGAGGGCAAGAAGAGGTTAAGAAGGATCAACCAAAGGTAAAGTACACCAAGAAAAGAGCAGCTCTTTGGTTAGAATTTTAAGATAAAGAGAGACACATAAAAGCTACTGTTGAAAAATAACAGAAGGAACAACGTTTTATCTAATCAATAGATGGAACAAGACAATAGAGGACCATCTCAACAATAACCTAGAATACCATGGAAGACAGACATAAATCATCTGTATTTGTCCTGCTCAAGACTTGCCATATGCCAGGTATGGTGGCTTATACCTATAATCCCAGAACTTTTAGGCTAAGGCAGGAGAATTGCTTGAGCGCAGGAGTTCCAGACCAGCTTGTCTCTACAAAGTTCTCTGGGGGTTTTTTTTCGTTTGTTTGTTTTTTAGGCAGGTGTGATGGCACACACTTGTGGTCCCAGCTACTCAGGATGCTGAGGTGGGAGAACAGATTGATTCTGGGAGGTCAAGGCTGCAGTGAGCTATGATTGCTCCACTGCACTCCACCCTGGGTGACAGGAACTGCAGACAGCCTCTAGAAGTTGAATCAGCCTCTACCAAGAAGCTTCTACCGGTGCAAAGAACTGAATTTTTCAACAAACCTGAGGGAGCTTGGAAGTGGAAATTTCCACAATCAAGCCTCTGATGAGAATTCAGACTCAGCCAACACCTGGATTGCAGCCACATGAGGCTTGAAGCAGGGAACCCAGTTAAGCCATGTCAGAACTTCTATCCACAGACCTTAGGTAATAATAAATGTGTGTTGCTTTAAGCCACTAAGTTTTTGCTAATTTGTTTTGTAACAATTATATATAACTAGTACACATGAATAGTAGAATCTAATATCAGCCATTGACTTCAATGAAGGAAAAAACAGATGTGAAAAAGAATACATGAAATAGTACATGAAAGAATACCTGCACATGGCATACACTTGAATCCATGTATATGCCAGGCTTTCTTGTGTTGCACACCCAGACCAACCCTGTAGTTAAAGATAACACAGTAGAAAAACTGAAGAGTTACTGAGAGTAATTAAAATGTCTTAAGCAGGAGTGGGGCATGATTTTTATTTTTAGACCGTTTAGTCTGCTAGTTATATCTGATGGTTAGAAGTGAGCCTATCTCTGGTCCCATGTTCTTAGAGAGAGTACTTTTATCTCTTTATCCATCTAACATCTCTAATTTATGTAACATCCCAAGTCCTCATTAATCCTGTGTTATTGCTGTTGGAAGTCCATCTATCCCCTCAAGAACAGAGCCTGAAATTCCTCTTTGAAAAATTTCCATTCATCATAATCTCAAATTTCTCCAATGTCATTTTCCACCTAAATTTCATGTGTGACTTGAATCTCAAGACTATTCATCTGCCCCAGGTATCTGTTTGATGCCTGGATATGTCTGAATTATTATTATTGTTATTATTATTATTTTTTTTTTAAATGGAGTCTTGCTCTGTCACCCAGGCTGGAGTGCAGTGGTGCGATCTCAGCTCACTACAACCTCTGCCTCCTGAGTTCAAGTGATTGTCCTCCCTCAGCCTCCCCAGTAGCTGGGATTACAGGTGCCTGGCACCTCGCCCAGCTAATTTTTTTGTATTCTTAGTAGAGATGGGTTTTCACCATGTTGGCCAGGCTGGTTTTGAACTCCTGACCTCAAGTGATCCACCCACCTCAGTCTCCCAAAGTGCTGGGATTACAGGTATGAGCCGCCACACCCAACCTTAGACCTCATCCTACCCAGCTCACGTGTCTTTTAATCCTTTAGCTGAGGTTGTAGTTTTAACTTATTGCTGCTTGAACCTATTTCAATGCAAAAGTTCTAAAAGAACTCAGCCACCAAAATTCCCTTGATTTGCTGCACTGTACCAAATATTAGTCTTAATGAAATACAAGATTTGTTTCAGGATCTCAAGCCCAATATTTTCAACTGTAGGCTTCCCAGTATCCAAGGTTTACGCAGGAGATTGGCAGTGGGTACATTCCCAGGGTCAGTGGTTTTTATCCAGGAAGGAACCTCAGAATCACCTGGGGAATTTTAGCAACATACACACCAGTGTTCTCAGGAGTGAGGCTCAGGTATGTGGATGGCAACAATACTTCCCTTATCAAAAAGCTGCCACCACACCAGACAAATGAAAACTGCTCTTTAATTATACAGCTTGGCCTTACCTAATGGTTCTCAATTTTGGATGGACATTCAAATCACAAGGGTAGTTGGTTTTTTTTGTTTTGTTTTGTTGAGACAGACTCTCACTCTGTCGCCCAGGTTGGAGTGCAGTGGCGCCATCTCGGCTCACTGCAACCTCCACCTCATGAACGTAGTTTTAAACAGCACTAGTGCCTAAACCAGACTCCAGAGATCATGATCCCTAATCCTATCCCTACCCTGCGGTACTCATTCTGAGATATGCCCTGGGTAATAAGAATTTTAGAAGGTACTCAGGTGATTCTAATGTTCAACCAGTCTGAGAACCATTCGCAGACTTCATATAGATACTTTATTCCAAACAGCTGAGCTGGACCATAGCTAGAAGAAGGAATAGAGATGAATGAGAGTTCATATTTTCCATAGAAAGCCGCTGCCCTCTTCTAAATGTGAATGGAAGTTCTGGAGACCCCTATCCTAAGGTAGACAGATGACAGATACACTGGAGAATGCTGAAGGAAGCAGATAGGAGTCTAGGCTTTAGACCACACCTTCCAAGACGTACTACTCATGCCTGATGAAGTATTACCAAACATACCCCTGGGCCAATAAACAAAGCAGGAGCAAATGTGTTTGTGTGTGTATAACTTTCTACACAAAATACAGAAAAAAGTGATTCAATGTTCAGCATAAATAAAATTTTGTGTTTTAGTATTGTTTTATTTCAAAGTACATCTTGGTGAGAATGCATTATTTTGAACTGGATAAAAGCCCCCCACTACTGAATCCCAGGTCTCTCTATGAAGCCTGAATAGAGGCACTGTAACTCTAATGGCCAAAGGGCTGGCCTGGAAATTCTCCCTTCAGCTGCAAAAAGAGAAAAAGAATAATCCAAGCAAACAAACAAAACAAAGAAATGAGCAAACCACTACAACACAAAACCCTTGGGATGAGATGAGTACTAGACTGGGAAAGTGATAGCTCTGGTATTCATGTGTGTGTGTGTGTGTGTGTGTGTGTGTGTGAGAGAGAGAGAGAGAGAGAGAGCACATGAGAGCACACACAAGACCCTATAGAGGAACCAAGTAGCTTATCTTCTTCCTTGGATTCCTCTATCTCATAGCCTAGAAGACATGGGGTGATCCTAGCCCCTGGTAGTGTAGGACAAGGTAGAGTGGGACTGTGGTTTTAAAATACTTTTTAGACCGGGTGTGGTGGCTCATCAACACTTTCGGAGGCGGAGGTGGGTGGATCACCTGAGGTCAGGAGTTTGAGACAAGCTTGACCAACATGCTGAAACCCCGTCTCTACTAAAAATATAAAAATTAGCTGGGCATGGTGGCAGGCACCTGTAATCTCAGCTACTCAGGAGTCTGAGGCAAGAGAATCGCTTAAACACAGGAGGCAGAGTTTGCAGTGAGCCAACATCATGCCATTGCACTCCAGCCTGGGTGACAAGGGTGAAACTCTGACTCAAAGTTAATTAGTTAATTAAAATAAAATACTTTTTTATTTGGGGCTGGGTGCAGTGGCTCATGCCTATAATTCTAGCACTTTGGGAGGCCAAAGTGGGAGGATCACTTGGGGGCAGGAGTTTGAGACTAGCCTGGGTGACATAGCAACATGCCATCTCTACAAAAATTTAAAAAATAAAAATTAGCTGAGTGCAGTGGTGCACACCTGAAGTACCAGCTACTCATGAGCCTGAGGTAGGGGGAATTACTGGAGCCCAGGAAGTTGAGGCTGCAGTGAGCAATGATTGGGCCACTGAGCTACAGCCTGGTGACAGAATAAGATGCTGTCTCTAAAAACAAAAAACAAACAAAAAAAACCCAAAAACCTTCTTATTTTAAAATGATTTCAAACATATAGAAAAATCAGAAAAACAGTACAAAGAACACTCATATACTTTTTACCTAGATTGTTAATATTATACATTTGCTTTTTCTCTACCTATCCATTTATTTATATGTCTTTATATCTCTTTATATATATATATACTTACTGAAACATTTGAAAGTTGCAGATAATCATCTTCCTATATTACTCAATACTTTATCTTTAAATTCAAATTCAAATTTTACCAGCTGTCCCAATCATGTCTCTGACAACACTTTTTCCCCTCAATCCAGGATCACAAATTGCATTTGGTTGCTATCTCTTTAGTCTCTATTAACCTGGAACAGTTTCCTGGCCTTTCTTTATCTTTCATGATATGAAATGACAATGAATTTTTAAAGGTTAGGTGTTTTGTAGATTAGTTCAGTTTTAAAACTTCACAACAAAGTGCCAAAGATGTCTTGGCAGCAGTGCTCAAAACAGGTTGGAGATGCATAGGAGCCACAGAGAAGGGTCTGGTTCAAAGGCCAGTGGTCGTCTCATTACAGCACTGCTCCATCAGGTCTAGGTCTGGAGACTTGGTAGCACGTCTATGGCCCCAAAGTGTGTAGAGAATGTTGAGAATTGCCTAGGGTGGCAGACTTAGAGGAAGAAAGGTTGGTATGAGGCCTGTCTAAAATTGAATTTGGCTATAGAGTTATGGAAGGGTTTTAGGCCATGTCTGGGTGGAATCAGATTCAGTCAGCAAGTAAGGGGTCTTTGGGAGGTGAGCTTAGGCTGTCTGGGCCCCTTCGAGGAGGGCAGATTTTATGGGGAAGGGCTCTCCTAGAAGAACCTAGTTTAGGATGAGCAAATCACGCAGGTTCATTCTCCACTTTACCCTAGCACTTCCTAGGCTCAGTGGTGGTTTTGAACTTTTCCCATCCCTGCAATTACTCCATAAAGGGAATGTGCAAGGAAGAGGGGAGGAAAGAGATGTGAGTTCTGCCAGAGGCTTCACTGTTTCATTCCCAGATTTATTTGAAACCAACCCTCCTCCTGTACTTCATGCTCTCCAAGCTCATGGTCCTGGAACTTCACATTTACATAATACGGAATTTTTTTTATTACCCTTGATCTTTATGCATGCAATCTTTCTGAACACCCTGGACCCCCTCCTTCTCTTGGTGACCTTTTCCTTCTCCAAAACATGGTTCACCAGTTATTACCTCTGCAGCAGTGGTCCTTCCAGGAGTTGCTTGCTGCTTTGTTCTTCTCTCAGCCTCAACACTTTTTCTTATCTTGTTACAGCATTTAGAATGTAATGTTTTGTTTTGTTTTTAAAACACATCTTGGCTTTCTGGAAACTTATATAGAAAATAATTTTTTTTCCCTCAATAGATATATGGCTAGGGTCCAGCCTAATGTCTGCCATAGAGAAGCCTAATGTCCAGCCTAATGTCAATAAATGTTTATTGTGGGCATAAAGGAATACATTTTAAAATAATGGAGTGTTTAGGTAAAATTAGGATTATTAGCTTGAGTCATTTAAAATCATCCACAAGAACCAGATCAAATGTACATGTCTTTAATACTGGTGAAAGAAGTAGTTACGCTGTCTTAAAGGCAAAACGATATGGACATAGCCACCAGAAATACAAGAGTGCCATCTCTTGGTAAACCTGTTAGCAGACAGAGAAGACACTGAGAAGCCATGTAAAATATACTTGATAATGTGTCTCTTATGTAGGTTATGTAAAATGTGGAAGAAAGATGGAAACAAAATTGAGAGACGTGGTTATGGCATTTTCCAGGAAAATTGGAAAATATTTTCTCCTAATAATTCATGCAAAATGTAATGATATTTTTTAATGCAGAAGAAAACAGTGTAACAAAAAGCATTATAATTATGGCAAATTGTTGAATGCTTTCTCCACCCCTGCCCTTTCCACTCAGAGTAGGAATGAAATAAGGATGTCAGTTATCACACTTTATGTTCAATATTATATGGGAGATGCTAGCCAGTGTACTGTGGAAAGAAAAATAAATGTTAATGTTAGATGTTAATGGTGTAAATATTTCAATTGAAAGGCAAAGATTGTTAGAATCGACTTAAAAATGCAAGAACCAAACACGTTGGCTAGAAGAGAAACATCTTAAATATAAAAACACAGATAACTTGAGAATAAACATATTAAAATATATACACTATGCAAACAGAAAGCATAAAAAGACTAAAATGGCTATAATAATAACAGCTAAAATAGAGTTTAAGACAGAGAGTGTTACCAGAGACAGAGTGATATTTTGTATTGTTAAAGGAGTCAGTTGCCAGCCTGGCCAACATAGAAAAACCCCATCTCTACTAAAAATACAAAAATTAGCCAGTCATGGTGGTATGTGCCTGTAATCCCAGCTACTCGGGAGGCTGAGGCATGGGAATTGCTTGAACCCAGGAGGCGGAGGTTGCAGTGAGCCAAGATCACACCACCGCATTCTACCCTGGGTGACAGAGTGAGACTCTGTCTCAAAAAAATAAAATAAAATAAAAATGCCGAGGTGGGCGGATCACCTGAGGTCAGAGGTTCGAGACCAGCCTGGCCAACGTGGTGAAACTCTGTCTCTAATAAAAATACAAAATTAGTTTGGCATGCTGGCACATGCCTGTAATCCCAGCTACTTGGAGGCTGAGTCAGGAGACTCGCTTGAACCCAGGAGGTGGAGGTTGCAGTGAACCAAGATTGTGCCACTGTACTCCAGCCTGGGCAACAGAGTGAGACTCCATTTCAGAAAAAACAAAAACAATGACAATAGAAAAGTGTCATTTCATCAAGAAAACATAATAATCATAAATGTATGATTCTAACAACAGAGTTTCAAAATACATAACGAAGTTTTAAAATACATAGCAAAATGTCATAACAGAGTTTCAAAATACATAAAGTAAAAATGGAAAAGAAAAGACAAAATAGACAATTCTACAATCACATTTGGAGAGTTTAACACCCTTTTTTTGGTAATGATGCAATAACTAGACAAAATATCAGTAAAGACACAGAAGATCTGAACAATCCTATCTATTATCTTGAGCTAATTGATTTATAGAACATTATACACAATATCTGCATGCACATTTTGCTCAAGTACACATGATATATACATCATGATAGATCATATTCTTTTTTTCTTTTATTTTTAGTTGACATATAATAACTGTACATATATACGGGATAAAGAGTGATATTTTTATATGTGTACACAATGTGTAATAATCAAATCAGAGTAATTAGTATATCCATCACCTTAAACATTTATCATTTATTTTGTTGTGAGTATTCAAAATTCTTTTCTAGCTTTTTGAAAATATACAATAAATGAGAGTTAACCATATGCACCCTACAATGGTGCAGAACACCGGAACTCATTTCTACAATCTAGCTGTAATTTTGTCACCATTAACCAACCTCTCCCTATCCTCCCCTCCTTGCTACCCTTCCCAGCTTCCGGTACCCACAGTTCTGTTCTCTAAATCCATGAGCTAAAAATTTTTCTCTACTTTCACATATGAGTGATAACATGTAGTATTTATCTTTCCAATCCTAGCTTATCTTACTTAACATAATGTTCTCCAGTTTCATCTACGTTGCCACAAATGACAAGATTGCATTCTTCTCATGGCCAAATAGTATTTCATTGTGTATATATGCCACATTTTCTATCCATTTGTCTGTTAATGAACATTTAGGGTTGACTCTATATATCAGCTCTTGTGAAGAGTGACGCAATAAACATGGGGATGTAGGTGTCTCTTTGTATACTGATTTCCTTCCCTTTGGATAAATAGCCAGTAGCAGATTTTCAGCCTCATCTGGTAGATCTATTTTTAGGTTTCTGAGAAACCTCTGTTGTCAGTAGGCTGGTTCAGATTCTTGAATTCCCTGCACAAAAGAATTTGAAAGCCAGTCCAAAGTAAAAGTAGGCAAAGGAGTTTATTGCAAGGTGAAAGTACACGCTGATAGCAGAGTCAGGGTCGGCTACTTCAGCACCAATTGACACTGAAGAAACTCCCGTTATGGGAGTCCTACGTGATTATCCATGAGGGGGTGGGAATGGGCATTGTTGTTAAATATGTTTTGGGTGGTCTCTTGAATGTGCATGCAATATTGCCATACACGCTAGTACATACATCACATGTATTATTAGCATTTTAATTCTCTACCCAAGGGTGTGTTTCTTACTATTAAAATGAGTATATGTCAACCTGAGAACACAGCTTGTGGGTTTCTGCACTTGCACGAACTTAGGGATTTTCCCTCCTGCTCTTCTACCTCCTTGACTGAGGATATTCTAACCACTAGCCCCAGATGCAGTTTGTGTAATGTCAAGAGATTTGTTCTCTCCATCAATTTGACAAGTTTCTTGTTTCCTTTCAAGGGAGGCTGTGACCACCCTATGTAACCTACCTCACTTCCATACTATTTTGCATAATGGCTATGCTAATTGACATTTCCACCAGTGGGACATAAGAGTCCCCTCTTCTGTACATCCTCACCAGCATTTGTTATTTTTTGTTTTTTTGACAATAGCCATTCTAACTGGGGTGAGATGATACCTTATTGTGGTTTTGATTTGCATTTCCCTGATGATTAGTTATTTATATGGTTTGGCTGTGTCCCTACCCAAATCTCATCTTGAATTGTAACTCCCACAATTCCCATGTGTCCTGGGAGGAACCCAGTGGGAGGTGACTGAATTATGGGCCGGGTCTTTCCTATGCTGTTCTTATGATAGTGAATGAGTCTCACGAGATCTGATGGTTTTAAAAACGGGAGTTTCCCTGCACAAGCTCTCTCTTTGCCTGCTGCCATCCATGTAAGATGTGACTTGCTCCTCCTTGCCTTCCACCATGATTGTGAGATCTCTCCAGCCATGTGGAACTGTAAGTCCATTAAACCTCTTTCTCTTGTAAATTCCCCAGTCTCAGGTTAAGTCTTTATTAGCAGCATGAAAACAGACTAATACAGTGATGTTGAGCATTCTTTCATATATTTGTTGGCCAATTGTATGCCTTCTTTTGAGAAATGTCTGTTCAGTTCACTTGCCCACTTTTTAAATGAATTGTTGGTTGTGCACGGGTGGCTCGTGCCTATAATCCCAGCACTTTGGGTGGCTGAGGCAGGAGAACTGCTTGGGACTAGGAGTTTGGGACAAACCTGGGCAACACAGAAAGGCCCTGTCTCTAAAAAAATGAAAATAATAAAAATAAATGAATTATTAAATCTGACTACAGTAGAAATAAATTTGAAATCAATAAAAATAAGAAATGTAGAAAAAAACACACATATTTGGAAATTAAACATCATTCTAATTAATCAATCTCTCCAAACAAATCACAAAAAATTACAAAATACATTGTACTATATAATAATGACAATAAAGCACATCAAAATTCATGGGATGCAACTTAAACAGTGTGTAGAGAGATCTGTAACTTAAATTGCTTATAGTAGAAAACAAATAAAGTCTAAAATGAAAGTCCAGATTCTACAAAGGTGGTATGTCTAATAAGAGATACTTGTGTTCTCCCAGTAATACTGCGATCCCAAAGGATGATAAAAGTAAACTAGAAGTAATCCCATCCTACTCTCTGGAAACTGCTAGAATGTTTGCTCTGCTTCTCAGCAGAGCAAGGGATGTGAGAGAGGTGGGGAGAGACAGAGAGAGAGAGAGAGAGAGAGAGAGATCATCAATCCTGATAAGTTGTAACCACAAGCCAACTTTTATACACATTTAGGCTAAAAAATAAAAAGTCTTGGCTAGCCACAGAGGCTCATGCCTGTAACCCCAGCACTTTGGGAGACCAAGGTGGGAGGATCACTTGAGCCCAGGAGCTCGAGACTGGCCTGGGCAACAAAGTGAGCCCCATCTCTAAAAAAAATATTTAAAAAATTAGTCAGGCATGGTGGCACACACCTGTAGTCCTAGCTATACAGAATGGTGAGGCAGAAGGATTGCTTGAGCTCAGTAGGTTGAGGCTGCAGTGAGCCATGTTCACACCGCTGCACTCCAGCCTGGGTGACAGAGTAGGACTCTGCGTAAAAAAAAAAAAAAAAAAAAAAGTCTCAATTCATGAATTGAGTTTAAAGTAATACTTGACTGGTGGTACCCCAGCTTCCTGGCAAAAGCAGACACAAACCCCCTCTAGAAGAAAGAACATCCCAGTCCTCAGTGACCCATAAGTAATTTTACCAGAAAAATAAAGAAGTTACTGGCAAAATCATCAAATGCACAAAATGGATTGGAGGAAGCGTAGCAAGAATAAATGAAGAGGAGCTGGGTGCTGTGGCTCACGCCTGTAATCCCAGCACTTTGGGAGGCTGAGGTCAGGCGTTTGAGACCAACCTGGCCAACATGGCAAAACCCCGTCTCTACTAAAAATATAATAATTAGCTGGGCATGGTGGCATGTGCCTATAGTCCCAGCTACTTGGGAGGCCTGAGGCAGGAGAATCGCTTGAACCCGAGAGGTAGAGGCTGCAGTGAGCCTAGATGGTGCCACTGCACTCCAGCCTGGGCAACAGAGTCAGACTCTGTCTCAAAAATAAATAAATAAATAAATAAATAAATAAATAAATAAATAAATAAATAGGGATCAGGAGGTTTGAGTAAATAAGGTTAAAAGTGATGGTGTTCTAGACTATTTGTGTCTTTATATTAAAGTGAATTTTTTGTAGGCAGCATGTTGTGGCTCTTTTTTTGCTTTTTTTTGTTGTTGTCTGTTTTTTTAATTCAATCTGACAACCTCTGCTTTTGTATTAGAGTATTTAGATCATTTACCTTAAGTGTGATAATCTATATGGGTAGAGTTAAGTCTATCATCTTGCTATTACTTTCCCATTTGTCCCATCTGTTCTTTGTTCTCTTTTTCCTCTTTTTTTTCCCATCTGTTGAACAACTTAAATATTTTTTCTCATTCTATTTTATTTCTTTTTGTGGCTTGTTAGCCATAATTCTTCGTTTCATTATTTCAGTGGTTGCCTTAGAGTTTATAGTATACATCATTAATTTATCGTAGTTCATCTAAAAGTATACCACTTATATAAAATAACATTATTTTCATTTCCACTTCTTTTGCACTGTTGTTGTCATACACTTTTCTTTTGTGTGTGTGTGTGTGTGTGACAGAGTCTAGCTCTGTTGCCTAGGCTGGAGCACAGTGGTATAATTTTGCCTCACTGCAACCTCCACCTCCTGGATTCAAGTGATTCTTGTGCCTCAGCCTCCAGAGTAGCTGGGATTACAGGCGTGCACCACCACGCCTGGTTAATTTTTGTATTTTTAGTAGAGATGGGGTTTTGCCATGTTAGCCAGGCTGGTCTTGAACTCCTGTCCTCAAGTGATCTGCACGCCTCGGCCTCCAAAAGTGCTGGGATTACAGGCACGAACCTTTGTGCCCGGCCTGTTTTACTTTTAAATGCTATAAATCACACATTACATTGTTAACTATTTTTGTGAAAATAGTCAACCACATTTTATGGAGAAAAAATATTATCTGTTTACTCACATAGTTACAATTTCTAGTACTGTTTATTCCTTTGTATAAATAGGAATTTCAATATGCCTAAGGGACTTTTATCATTCTGCCTAAAGGACTTTTAAAAAATATTTTTTATTGTTCTAGTCTGCTGATTAGATGTTTATTGCCTTTAGGCAGGGAGATAAAAAAATACTACAATATTTTAGTTAATGACTGTGTCAATCAAAAAGAAGCAAGACAATCTACCATTTAATTGCACGGTTGATTTTTTAAATGAAATAGAAAACATCCACATATACAGTACAAAATGTATCATAAAACTCTCACATATGACTAGATAAATTCCTTCCTCTTTTCTCTGTATTAAATTGTCTTATTTCACCCTCATTTGGGGGGAGTTTTTTTGCTTGGTACAGAATTGTAGGTCTTTCATTAATCTAAAAAATTTTGCTCCACTGTCTTTTTGCTTATATTGTGTCTATGAGAAATATGTGATCTATACACTTGTTCTTCTGTACATAATGTGCCTTTTGTTCTTGGCTGCTTTGAAATTTTTCATTTTCCTCTTGCTTGCTTTGGGTTTGATTTGTTCTTATTTTTCTAGTTTCTTTTTTTTTTTTAATTTTGAGACGGAGTCTCGCTCTGTCTCCCAGGCTGGAATGCAGTGGCGCGATCTCAGCTCACTGCAATCTCTGCCTCCTGGGTTCAAGTGATTCTCCTGCCTCAGTGTCCCGAGTAGCTGGGACTACAGGCAGATGCCACCAGGCCTGGCTAATTTTTGTATTTTGTTAGTAGAGACAGGGTTTCACCATGTTGGTCAGGCTGGTCTCAAACTCCTGACCTCGTGATCTGTCCGCCTTGGCCTCCCAAAGTGCTGGGATTACAGGCGTGAGCCATCACGCCCAGCCTAGTTATTGATTTCTATCTTCATTCCACTTTGGTCAGAGAATATATACTCTATTATTATAGTCCTTTTACATTTATTGAGACTTATTTCATGAAGTAATATACAGTCTATCCTGAAAAATGTTTCATGTGAGCTTCAGAAGGATGTTTATTCTGCTGTTTTGGGGTGTAGTGACCTATAGATTTATGTTAGGGTCAGGTTAGGTGTTTTCAAGTGTTAAGTCTTCTATTTTTTTGTTGATCTTGTCTAACTAGTGAGGTATTGATGTCTCCAACTATTATTGTCGAATTTTCTATTTCTCCCTTCAATTCTGTCAGTTTTGTTTCATGAATATTAGGGCTCTGTTGTTAGGTGCATGTATGTTTATAATGTTATGTTTTCTTGATGAATTGACACTTTTATCATTACAAAATACCTTTCTTTATTTATTATAACAATGCTTATCTTAAAGTTTATTTTGTCTGATATTAGTATACCTACTCCAGACATCTTTTGAGTACTATTTGTATGTGATGAATTGTTCCTTTCTTTCTGCTCTCAAGATTCATCTTCTTCATCTTTTGATAATCTGATTATGATGTGTCTAGGTATGGATCTCTTTGAGTGTATCCTACTTGGAATTCATTGAGCTCCTAAAATATGTATGCAAGTTAATGCTTTTTTGCCAAACATGGGAAGCTTTGAGAAATTATTTCTCCAAACATTCTCTCTCCCTGTCCTCTCACTTTTCTCCTTCTAGGAGTCCCATTATGCATATATTAGTATGCTTGATGGTATCCCCTGTCTCTAAGGCTCTATTTCTTTTTCTTCATTCTGTCTTCTTTCTGTTTTTCAGAGTAGATCATTTCAATTGACCTATCTTTGAGTTCACTGATTACTTCTTTTTGCTGCTCAAATTTGCTGTTAAAGCCCTCTAGTAATTTTTTTTTCTTACAGATGAGATATCATGCTGTCGTTCAGGCTGGAGTGACCATGATCCTCTTACTGGGATCACAGATCACGCATGCTCCAGTCTGAGCAGCAGCATGAGCTCCAGCTTGCTCCAGCCTGAACAGCAGCAATACATTCTTTCACACACAAAAGGGTTATTGGATCTCACACAAGAAGGAATTTGGGGCTAGTCCATACAGTAAAGTGAAAACAAGTTTATTAAGAAAGTAAAGAAGGGCCGAGCGCAGTGATTTATGCCTGTAATCACAGCACTTTGGGAGGCTGAGGCAGGCAGACCACTTGAGGTTAGGAGTTCGAGACAAGCCTGACAAACATGGCAAGACACTGTCTCTACTAAAAATACAAAATTAGCTGGGTGTAGTGGCACATGTCTGTAGTCCCAGCTCCTCAGGAGACTGAGGCAGAAGAATCGCTTGAACCCAGGAGGCAGAGGTTGCAGTGAACCAAGATCGCACCACTGCACTCCAGCCTCTAGCCTGGGTGACAGAGTGAGACTCTGTCTCAAAAAAACAAAAAAAAGTTAAGAAATAAAAGAATGGGTCATGCATAGTGGGTAATGCCTGTAATCCTAGCACTTTGGGAGGCCAAGGCAAGTGGATCGCTTGAGGCCAGGAGTTCGAGACCAGCCTGGCCAACATGGCGAAACCCCATCTCTACTAATAATACAAAAATTAGCCAGGCATGGTGGCACCCACCTGTGGTCCCAGCTAGTTGGGAGGCTGAGGCAGGAGAATTGCTTGAACCCGGGAGGTGAAGGTTGCAGTGAGCCAAAACACGTCACTGCACTCCAGACTCCAGCCTGAGTGACAGAGCGAGTCTTTATCTAAAAAATAAAAATAAAAGAAAAGAATGGCTACTCCATAGGCAGAGCAGCAGTATGGACTGCTCAAATAAGCAGACGTATAGTTATTTCTGGATTATGTGCTAAACTAATGGATTATTCAAGAATTTTTCAGGAAAGAGGTGGACAATTCCCAGAACTAAGGGTTCTTCCCCGTTTTAGACCATATAAGGTAACGTCCAGATGTTGTCATGGTATTTGTAAACTGTCGTGGCACTGGTGGGAGTGTCTTGTAGCATGCTAATGCAGTATAATTAGTGTATATGAGCAGTGAGGATGACAAGAGGTCACTTTTGTGGCCATGTTGGTTTTGGTGGGCTTTAGCTGGCTTCTTTACCGTTACCTATTTTATCAGCAAGGTCTTTGTGACGGGTACCTTGTGCAACCTTCTATCTCATCCTGTGACTAAACTCCTGGTTAGAATGCCTAACCTAACCCAGCAGGCCTCAGCCTTATTTTACCCAGCCCCTATTCAAGATGGAGTCACTCTGATTCAAATGCCTCTGACATATTTTCCCACTCCCTTTTACCAGGGAACCCTTAATCCTAAGGATTGCAGTGGGATAAAGATCCGTCTTCTATAACTTCTTCAGACTAAATAGGGGCAATGATATTCCTGTCTAATTATTAGGGTCTCTTGTGTCCAGGGTAGAGAGGAGCTCAGTCACAAAGTGTCAGTATGGTGAGACATTCATAACTCTGAGGCTTCCCAAAGTGTTGAGATTACAGGCGTGAGCCACTGTGCCTGGCCAGGGTCCCATTTTTATACCAGATCCTGGATCCCAAAAGAGGGAATCAGCCCTCTTTTGGGGGATCAGCCATCTCCCCTGGGAATCTTATCTCTCGGTGGGGATGGAGACATTTCCATACCTTCTAGGTAGTCAAGAGAATGCTTCTTGTGATCCAAAAGTGCAAATAGCCAAGTATTCACCTATATTTGCCTTTAGCTATCCCCAGAAGTATATTTCCTACCTGGTTATTACACACCAGATCTCCCTCATAATGCAAAGTAATTTCTGATACCCCCAAAAGTCAAAAACATCAGATAACATAATGCAAAGCCAAACAGAGCCTTAGATTTTGCGAAGGATCTATCCACTTCCAGTTCCTGGGGTTTCATGAGGAAAACAGAGGTTTTCCCAAAATGGGGTCTGTGGTGCCTCCTCTGCTTTTCCCAAGGAGTCCCAGGCTTTTAGAGATTGAATATCCACTTTTAATTAAGCTTTTAACCATAAACCATAGCACTCTAAAGCAAAAAAAAAAGGAGTCCTTTTAAGTTTCTTATTACTCAACTTTAGCCATCCCACACGGCCATTATTTCTGGCTTTTGAACTTTACCAAAGATAATCTCCCAGGTTCTCAGAGAGAGGAAAACTCAAGACAGTGTGTGGAGGGGAAGAGAACAGAATCAACAAATGGTAAAGGTCACACAGATATCAATCAGAAAGTACTCATTCCCTAAGCCAGGATTGAACCTTGGCCGCCATTATAAAATGACAAATCCTTAGCTGCTGAGCTACAACACTGGTTAGTTTCCATTGCCCTTCCCAGAAGGGGTCCAGAGCAGCCAATTTTGAGCTTGCAATGGCTTGAGATAATTTTTAGAGTTAACTATTACATAAACCCCAAAATTCCTGTTCCCTGGATGGCAGAGACCAAGAGAAAGTACCGCCACGTGGTTACAAGGTGAAGCTCCAAAGGACATAAAACAAGATGAGAAGGAAACTTCATCCAGTTTTTATTTTTTTTTTTTTCCAGGGACCTGTAATAAACTTTGCAACGGACCAGTTTACTGGGCTGGCTTGAACAGCAGGCTTATGGAGTCCTGAGCCCATGTTCTATCCTACCATATTCCTCTTTATGACAGAGTAATACAGAAAGACAAATTGATATCACAAAGTATACCAGATTCATTACAGCTTAAGACTAGCCCCACAAATCCTTGTTCCCATTAATCAAAACTTTACAGAGGTGATAAACAGTGATTTTTACCATTCATTCAGTTTTCACTAAGAGAGAGAGGCCAGAAGCCTGACTGGTAAGAAATCTTTACCCTTTTGCTGGCATGCCAGGTTTCTGGGTTCTCTTTCACTGAGCAGCACTAGCAACCTTGCTCACTGCAAAGCCCTTGGGTCCAAGCTACGACACAAAAGAAAACCAACTTTTTTCTGTTTCATGGAACCACAGGCAAATAAATGTCTCTCACTTTTGTAAGATGCTGCCCAATGGCCACATAAAGTAACCAAATTAACGTTTTCCATTTCAGCCAGAGCAATATACATGTGACAAAACATAGACATTGGCCACTCCACTTAGCACCCAATATCTAACTGGGAAGGCTCAAACTTGCCCCCAGATAGGCCCTTTCATCTTTAATCAAACTTCTGACCAGGAGTTTCAACATATGGTCTCTGGGCAAGATGGTTGTCTCAAGTAACAGAAAAGACAGAAAAGAGAAAAGAGAGAAAGGGAGAAAAGCATTGCCTGTGGTGAGATGGGGAAGGTGAGGAGTTCACAGAGGCCAGAGAAAGACCCACCCATTGCAGCAACACTGAATCAAAAGTTCAGGCGGCTGCTTGTCATAGCAAAGGGATCTTTTCCAACAGTCCTATCAGCTGTCAAGCTTCCCCTTTTGGAGAGAAGAAAAGTTCCCAATGTCCCGTGATCCTGTACATGCCTAATCCTGTCACCCATAGCTGTCAGCAAAGAGCACAGGGAAGATTAATACAAACAGAATAGCAGTTAACATCCCCTAATGCTAAATCCGTTTTTAACCAAGAGAGACTTTACTGAGAGGGGCCTCTAACCCCTTAAATCTTAAGGACTGTAGCCTTCCTAAGTTGGGTCTCAAACCCAAGTTCGGTCAAGCATTCTTGCCCTTTATTAAGAGCGGACTGAAACCCTCTCTGTCTTAGGAGAGACCCTATCTCCCCTAAGTTGCACCTCTAACCCAATCCTATCCTTTACCCGGGGACTCCACCACTTACCCAAAGTCAGCCAGTTGGTGCTGTAGTCTGTTTCCTTTGGCTTCAGAGTCTCCTCAGTATTGTCCCTTCGTGGTCACCAGAAAGATGTTACCAGAAAGGGGTCTTGATCCAGACCCCAAGAGAGGGTTCTTGGATCTCACACAAGAAAGAATTTAGGGCAAGTCCATACAGTAAAGTGAAAGCAGGTTTATTAAGAAAGTAAGGAAATAAAAGAATGGCTACTCTGTAGGCAGAACAGCAGCGTGGTCTGCTCAAATAAGCATACTTATAGTTATTTCTGGATTATGTGCTAAACAAGGGGTGGATTATTCATGAGCATTCCAAAAAAGGGGTGGACAATTCCCAAAATTGAGGGTTCCTCCACCTTTTAGACCATATAAGGTAAAGTCCAGATATTGCCGCAGTATTTGTAAGCTGTCATGATGCTGGTAGGAGTGTCTTTTAGCATGTTAATACATTATAATTAACATATAATGAGCAGTGAAGACAACCAGAGGTCCCTTTGGTGGCCATGTTGGTTTTGATGGGTTTTGGCCAACTTCTTTACCACAACCTATTTTATCAGCAAGGTCTTTGTGATGTGTACCTTGTGCTGACTTCCTATCTCATCCTGTGACTAAGAATGCCTAACATACTGGAAATGCAGCCTAGCAGGTGTCAGCCTTATTTTATCCAGCGCCTATTCAAGATAGAGTCATTCTGGTTCAAATGCCTCTGACAATGCAGCCTTGAATTCCTGGGCTGAAGCCATCTTCCCACTTCAGCCTCCTGAGTAGCAGGGACTACAGGCACACACCATCATGCCTGGCTAATTTTTTTGTATTTTTTTTTTTAGAGATGGGGTCTCACTGTGTTGCCCAGGCTGGTCTTGAGCTCCTAGGCTAAAGCAATCCTCCTGTGTCATCCTCCCAAAGTGTTGGGCTTGTCAGAGGTATTTGAACAAGAAAGACTCCATCTTGAATAGGAGCTGGGTGAAATAAGGCTGAGTCCTGCTGGGCTGCATTCCCTGTAAGTTAGGCATTGTAAGCCACAGGATGAGGCAGGCAGTGGGCACAAAATACAGGTCATAAAGACCTTGCTGATAAAACAGGTTGCAGTAAAGAAGCCGGCTAGGCCAGGTGGGGTGGCTCACACCTATAAGCCCAGCACTTTGGGAGGCTAAGGTGGCTGGATGGCTTGAGCGCAGGAGTTGGAGATCAGCGTAGGCAACATGGCGAAACCCGGTCTCTATTAAAAATATAAAAAATTAGCTGGGTGTGGTGGCACATGCCTGTAATCCCAGCTACTTGGGAGGCTGAGGCACGAGAATCGCTTGAACTCAGAAATTGGAGGTTTCAGTGAGCTGAGATCGTGCCACTGCACTCCAGCCTGGGCAAAAAAAAAAAAGAAAAAAGTAAAGAAGCTGGCTAAACCCCACCAAATCCAAGATGGCGATGAGAGTGACCTCTGGTCATCCTCACTGCTCCCCACCAAATCCAAGATGGCGATGAGAGTGACCTCTGGTCGTCCTCACTGCTATGCTCATACCAGCGCCACGACAGTTTACGAATGCCATGGCAACGTCAGGAAGTTACTTTATATGGTCTAAAAAATGGAGGCATGAATTATCCACCCCTTGTTTAGCACATAATCAAGAAATAACCATAAAAATGAGCGACCAGCAGCCCTCAGAGCTGCTCTGCCTATGGAGTAGCCGTTCTTTTATTCCTCTACTTTCTTAATAAACTTGCTTTCACTTTACAGACTCGCCCGAATTCTTTCTTGTGTGAGATCCAAGAACCCTCTCTTGGGGTCTGGATCTGGACGGACCCCTTTCCGGTAACAGGATTACAGGTGTGAGTGAGCCACCATCCCCAGCCTTAGTAAATTTTTATTTCAGTTATTATATATTTTTATTTATTTTCTGTTTTTCAGTTATTATATTTGAAACTCCAGAATTTTTATTTAGAATGTATTAACAAATCAGGAGTACTGGCATAAGCCTGGCACAAAGCAAATGTTGACATAGGTCTGGCACAAAACAAGTGTTCAATGCATTTTAGCTA
This sequence comes from Homo sapiens, assembly GCF_000001405.40. Lineage (NCBI taxonomy): Eukaryota > Metazoa > Chordata > Mammalia > Primates > Hominidae > Homo > Homo sapiens. Next base: position 25,956,337 of record NC_000006.12, read on the forward strand.
CCTTTAAGTGTATTATTACTAGCTGCTTCTGGGGCTATCCGGGGAAAATTATCCTTGCAAAACCCCCACTCACTTCCAGAGCAGGCTTCAGTGAAGCAGTCATCTGTGTCATGACAAGAGCCAAACTCTGTAAAACATTTGAAGAGATTTATTCTGAGCCAAATTTGAGTGACCATGGCCCATGACACAGCCCTCAGGAGGTCCTGAGAACAAGCGCTCAAGGTGGTTGGGATGCACCTTGGCTTTATACATTTTAGGGAGGCATGGGACATCAATCAAATACGTTTAAGAAATGTACACTGGTTTGGTCCAGAGAGGCGGGACAACTGGAAGCAGCGGAGGAGTGGGGTGGAGGTGATGACAATTGGTTGAGTTTGTATAAAGATTTGGGATTAATAGAAAGGAGCACTAGGTTGTGATAACAGGTTGTGAAGACCAAAGTTGTACTATGGGATGAAGTTTTTAGCTAGCAGGCTTCAGAGAGAATAGGTTGTAAAATGTTTCTTATCAGACTTAAAAGCTGTGTTGATGTTAATGCCAGAGAGGAATAATGAGGCATGTTCAACCCCCACTTCCCTTAATGGCCTGAGCCAGTCTTTCAGGTTACATTTTAAGAAGCCTGACTGAAGAGAAAGTCTATTCAGATGGTTGGGGGGCTTTAGAATTTTATTTTTGTTTTATACCTTTGCCCTTGGAAGTTTTGCTGAAAAATGAACACAAAAAAAGGCAGATTCATAAGATAAAAGGCTTTACAATTTAATTACTCTGTGGTTCTCCTCATGCACATAGTACCAATATCCCAGTGGAATTTAGAAGCTTATATGCCACCTTGAAGTTGAAGAAATAACAGGGGCTTGATCCTTGCAAAATAGGTTATGGGAAACAGAAGAAGAGGAATTCTGTTGAGGGGCAATATGTAACTACCAGGAGAGACTAATTGGATCAAAGAACAGATAAATTTGTAAATAGTTCTCCTTGGAATTTAAATGATGCTTAGAGACTGATTATCTTATAAAAGGGTCTGTTCAGGTGTGGTTACATTCTTGGTCTTTCCTATAATGCACAATGAGATAACAGAGAGGGAGAAAAGAACAATTGTTCTCGCTGGTGGGGCCATCCTATTTTTATGTACCTAGGGAAAAGTCTCTTTAGTGTCTGTTGATCTCTAAGAGTTTTTCATTCAAAATACTCATTATATCAGGAAGCCACATTTTGGGGTGAAATTCACTACTCCCTTTTAGAGATACGGGTACAAACTGTTTGTAAAGAATGCTAAGACTTTGCCGGGTGCAGTGACTCACGCCTGTAATCCCAGCACTATGGAGGGGCCAAGGTGGGCAGATCACTTGAGGTCAGGAGTTCAAGACCTGCCTGGTTAACATGGCAAAACCCCATCTCTATTAAAAAAAACAAAAATTAGCCAGGCGTGGTGGTGGGCATCTGTAATCCCAGCTACTTGGGAGGCTGAAGGCAGGGAGAATTGCTTGAGCCTGGGAGGCAGCTGTTGCAGTGAGCCGAGATCACGCCACTGAACTTCAGCCTGGGCAACACAGCGAGACTGTCTCAAAAAAAAAAAAAAAATGCTAAGACTTACTTTGGGACATCCTTTGTCAGGGTCCATGATTCTGATTAGCTCAAGGCAGGTATTTTTTTTTTTTAATAGAGACAGCATCTTGCTATGTTGGCCAGGCTCGTCTCGAACTCCTGGCCTCCAGTGACTCCCCCCACCTCAGCCTCCCCAAGTGCTGTGATTACAGGTGTGAGCCACCACACCGGTCTGGTTTTTTTTGGTGGTTGTTGTTTTAATCCTATAATCCTGTGTCCTTTCTTCCTACCTCTGAGTAGTGCTTACTCTCTCCCCTTTAGTCATTTGAAAAGTTTATCAGAAAGTGGGTGCAGTTTCAGGCTGGGTACCGTGGCTCATGCCTGTAATCCCAACACTTTGAAATGCTTAGATGGGAGGATCATTTGAACCCAGTTCAAGATTACAGTGAGCTGTGATCGTACCATTGTACTTCAGCCAGGGTGACAGTGCAAGAGCCTGTCTCTAAAAACAAACAAAAAATTGCTTTCACACTGTGATGCTATCACATCTCTCCTAAGCTCTTGTTGGGGCTCAGAAATTGATACCCTAATATATGGCCCTTGGTCATATTGAACTGAAGAAGCCTCAAAGTCTCTCTGACATCCCTGCCACCAACTATCCCTACCAAAACACATCGTGGAATTAAAGTTTCTTTATCTACCTAAGATCCAGACCCACCAAAAAGAGCAATTATTTTTATTTACCCTTCCTGTAAGACCAAGAATGTAACCATGCCCGAACGGACTTTCACAAGATAATGTTCAAGTTAATCTCTGTTCCCTGATCTACTTACTCTCCCTAGTAATGAAAGGAGTTGGCCAGCTTGCTTTAGGCAGACAGTAAGGGAATGGTACCCAGAGAACCTCTGACCTGCCCCACAAGTGCTTACACCGGATGTTTTGTGCAGATAAGGGAACTTGCACAGGGGGCTTGCCTAAACATGCCTGCAGTGGATGATTCCTTTCCTTAACACATGCACAGTTCAGGAAATTAATCAATATGGAGTAGCTCAGTCTAAAGGCCTGCATGCACTGGTAGGACAGGGTGGAGTTGTCAGGAATTTGAGTCTTAAGCCCTAGTATTCAACTGTGAAGAGCAAACCAGAAATCTGCTTTCAGGACCCTTGTCTTTGCTGAGAGCTTTCCTTTCACTTAATAAATTCTACTCCACTCATTCTTTGATGGCTGCATGCCTAATTCTTCCTGGCTGTGAGACAAAAACCCGGACCTAGCTGAGCGAAGGAGCAAAAATCCGCAACAGTAATCCCATCAACAGAGTTTCTCTTCTTCCCCTCCCATAATCTGTTTTGCCAGGATAATATATAAGCTTTTAAGCCCTCTTGGGAAGTGGATAATCATTCTATGGTTCTCCCTGTGTACATGTTAATAAATTTGTGAGTTGATTTTTCAGCAAAGTTTCCCCAGAAGCCAAAGGGGAAATTTCCCTTGGCCCCTCCACTCTCTTTTCCCAGCTCTTCTTTTACTTTCGTTTTTATTTCCTCAGCCCAGTAGGTCACAGCCTTCTTTTTATTTCTTCTCTGTCCAAACCATCAGTATATCCTACAGGTGGGAGAGAAGCAGCTCTCTGGGAAACCAGTAAGCACCATGAGTTCTGATACTTTCTAGTACCATTTGACATATTAACATCCCCGCCACCCCTAATATGTATGGACACGCACACACATACCACATCACATGCATCACACTAACACAAACTATGTATCACATACCACACACAGCACACACAGTACCACATACCCCACACAACACCCACACCACACTACGTGCATCATGCACATATGTGCACACACCTCTTGTGATGTGTGTTTAGTGCAATTCAGAAAGTTACTCTTTGATTTAATGCACATCACTATGCTTAGAAATATTCTAGTTACTGGGATTCATCAGTGAACAATATTGAAAAAAATCCATCCCTTTGCATTCTCATGAGGGAAGCAAACACTAAACAAAATAAATTAGTAAAATATTCAGTGATAAGTGCCATGGGAACAAAATAGATTTGAAAATGTTTGGGAGGGAGAGAGGGGTACACTTGCTAACAAGTGGTCAGGATAGGGTTAGTTGAGAGGCAAAATCTGAAGGAGTTGAGGAAAGGCATTCTAGGAATAGCTGAGTGCTGACTCTTGCCCACAGTGGGAACACACAGTACAGAGCTTCTGAAGGAGACTCTAGTGACCTACTTCCCATTGTGAGTCTTTGGACTCCTATATCCCATAATCACAGGATCAAGCCTAACTTTACATATTAGAGATAATGCATTCCTCCTTGGGGATAGTTCAGGTTGATTTCTCCCTAGGCCTGCCTTTGTCAACATATTCCTGAAGTCTCATCTGCACCCCATCTCTGCTTCTAATATTGGCCACTCTGTGCATGAACCAGCCCCTCCTTCCTGCAATGGGAAACAGGTGTGAGATGGGACAGCTGTCACAATCCGTTTTGCTTTTGTCTTGCTGTTATTATTGGTAATGGTAGTTTGTTTCCTTTTTAGCATTCACTAGCTTCCTTTTCCTGATCCTTTGATAGTGTTACCAGAAAGGGGGTCCCAACCCAGACCCTAAGAGAAGGTTCTTAGATCTCGTGTGAGAAAGAATTTGGGGCAAGTCTACACAGTAAAGTGAAAGCAAGAAAGTAAAGGAATAAAAGAACGGCTACTCTACAGGCAGAGCATCAGCTTCTGGACTAAGGATACTGATATGGTTTGGCTGTGTCCCCACCTAACTCTCATCTTAAATTCCCACATATTGTGGGAGGGACCTGGTGGGAGGTAATTGAATCATGGGGGCAGGTCTTTCCCTGAGTAATTTATACTGCTGTTCTCATGATAGTCAATAAGTTTCATGAGACCTGATGGTTTTATAGAAAGGAATTTCCCTGCACAAGCTCTTTGCCTGCTGCCATCCATGTAAGACCTGACTTGCTCCTCCTTGCCTTCTGCTGTGGTTGTGAGGTCTCCCCAGACACGTGGGACTGTAAGAGCATGAAACATTTTTTCCTGGTATAAATTACTCAGTCTCAGGTATGTCTGGATCAGCAGTGTGAAAATGGACTAATACAGATACTTACAGTTATTTCTTGATTATGTACTAAACAAGGAGTGGATTATTCATATGTTTTCTGGGAAAGATGTGGGCAATTCCCAGAACCAAGCGTTCCTCCCCTTTTTAGACTATATAGGGTAGCTTCCTGACATCGCCATGGTATTTATAAACCACTATGGAGCTGGTGGGAATGCCTTCTAACTTGCTAACACATTATAATTCGTGTATAATGAGCAATGAGAATGACTAGAGGCCACTCTTGTTGCCATCTTGATTTTGGTGGGTTTTGGTCAGCTTCTTTACTGCAACCTGTTTTATCAGCAAGATCTTTATGACCTGTGTCTTGTGCCAACTGCCTATTTCATCCTGTGACTTACAATGCCTAACTTCCTGGGAATGCAGCCCAGTAGGTCTCAGCCTTATTTTACCTAGCCCCCATTCAAAATGGAGTCATTCTGGTTTGAACACCTCTGACAATAGGACAGATCTGGAATGAGCCATGCCTGGGTACAGAGTCACATCCACAACAATGAAAGTTGTAGATATCTGCAAGGACTCATCGTGGGACCAAGGATTCAGGGGCTCATTCTTTCTCCTCTCTCTGTGTGCTGGTTGCCTCAGGAGTAGAATGTCCCATGCTATGCATGGGGTCTGCAACCATCATGCCAGGGCATGATGAATCGTAGGTGGCAAAACAACAGAAGGCTCTGTGAGCACCCAGGAGGGTGCAGTGCTGAAGAGTCTTCTGCTTGGTATAGGAAGAAAGGAACGTGTTTCCCAATCTTGCCTTTATTTTGAGTAGTTGGACCAGAGGGATTGCAGCTGGGCCAAACTCCATGTTCCATTGGCTATCAGGGTCAGCAGGCAGGCCAGGGGCCCAGACAGGCCAGTGGCTCCCAGAATTCAAGTTTAATTTCTCCTCCCACCTGTGTCCTGAGCTCCCCTTACTGGTTCCCTTGGACCACTGCATCTACTTAAGCCAGCATTTATTATGTTGTTATCATAAATGCCTCTTACACCTGAGACTTATAAATGTGACAAGCTCTTATTGTGAGATAGTAATCCATCTTTTTTCCCCATGAAATAATAATTCTAACGGGTGGTGATAGTACTTTTCCTTTCATTTTGAAGTGGAGAAGCTGGAGCTAAGTCATTAAGGACTTGACCCTGGACCCCACAGCCTTTTCTCCACAAAGCACAAAGCAGAGTGATGGTCCCAGGGATCCCACACAGCTCTAAGCTGGGGGCACTCACTGCTGGGCCACTAGTGACTCCCATTTTCTATCCTGGCTGACCCTCGCTATTGAAGAAGATCTGAGTCCTGCAGAAGGACAGCAAGGAGAAAAACAAGACACAGAACGGGACAGAGAAGAATAGAAAGCTGACTCAGATGAATTTTGTGATGCCAATGAGTCCTACTGCTGTTACCACCCCTTTTTCCACCACACCCTTCAGAGCAGTTATAGAACCACAAGCAACCCATAAATAGCAAAAGAAGTAACATCAGCTAGGAAGGCTTAAGGACTCCCAAGGGAGTTGGTGGCAAAAGTAGAAAGATCTCAAATCAGAGTCTGTGAACTGAACCTCTGCAGGCTTCCTGTTTTTAGATACTCTGTGTTGGGGTCACATGATAGTTTACAGGGTTATTAATTGGTTCCTTCTTTTTATTGCTGTAAAAGAAGGATATTTTCTTCCTACGTTTCCCCCTCCTTTACCGGAGAGGCGGAGTGCAAATGATATGAACAACGTCACTAGTTTTCTCCTAAATCTTATGAGCCCCGCCTCCCACAGTAGTTTCACTTCTCAGTTTAATCCGGTCTGAGTTAACTTCCTGACCCAGGAAGTGGCAGCAACAGAGGGGACTAGCAGCGAATATGTAAGTGTCTGAGCAGTGAAGGTTACGGAAAAGGTCCAGGCTAAGGTTTTCTCAGTGGATATGTGAGTGTGTACTGATGGCAAGTGGGGTGGGGAATATATTTCGTGACAGCAGGGCCCCTCCAACTCTGAAAATGGTCAGGACTTTCTTTGTTTTACAGCTCTCACCTCTTTCCTGCTCTTTCTTTCACCAGACTTTACACCAAATCTCAGAAGATTCAGAACTTAGATGAGTGGGGCCCAGGACAGGAACCCTGGAGCCTTGGAAGGAGGGGAGCCCCATCTCCCCAGAAGAGCAGTGACCCCAGCAGAGAGGGGCCTGGTGTATCACTGGAGGAAATAGCCTGCCAAGGAATACACGTCTTCAGAAGAAATTCTGTGTGGCTTCAAGAGACTGATCAAATTGTGAGAGGAAAACAGCCTACCCGGTAATTGTAGTTAAATTACTGTTTTTTATTCTAGGCACTCTTCAAACTTCCTCCTGACTCTGCCCCTGTCCTAGAGGAGCTCCCAGGAGTAGGGGTGTGGGGGCGGGCGGGGGGGAGGGATCGGGGGTACAGGGAGAGCCCAGCTAGGTTCTCAGAAGAGGCAGGCTTTTTCGCTCCTGGTCACTCCTCTGTTGCCTATCCCTGGCCTCCCCCATCTTCTTTCTGCCTTCCCTACCTCCTTGGGTCTGCAAACTCTTTATGTTGCAATCACTCTGAACATGTCTCTTGAGATAGGTCCTGTCCTGGAGAAGAGATAGTAAAAGTAAACTCCCCAGTTCTGCAGGAGCTCTGATCCCATAGAAATAACTGCTCCTCAGGAGCAAACCCTCTGCTCTGCAGCCTTCTTTCCAATTCTTATTCCCTCAGTTTAGGGAGAGGGCACAAAAAGGATAAACCGGTTCTTCTGGTTGTTCTGGTTGCCTTGATTGCTTCCATTATCCTCCTGGTTGGGTCTCTAGCAAGACGTTATTAGCCAGGGAAGTCCCACTTAGGCACCCCTCTCTGCAGAAGAGGTATTCACTATTCTCCTTTCTCTTTCTTTTGCCTATTATACCTCTGCTCCTGAAAGCAAAAACAACAACAACAAAAACACAAACAAAAAACAACCGACCTTATTAACCAGTGTTGGTTGTTGTTCTTTGTGGGGGATGGGGGGGGTCGAGGTGGAGTCAAATTTTATTGTCATGATGGTGTAGGAGCCAAGGGAACACTTCCCCTTTGCCTTCTGAAGTTCACTGAAAAATCGACTCACAAAAGGCAGGCTAATTGGAGAAAAGGCATACAAATTTATTAACAAGTACATGGGCTAGAATCACAGAGTGATTACCCCCTCTGCCAATGGGGGTAGATACTTATATAGCCTTATTTATAAATACTTATGTATAAATACATAAATATAAATATGTATGCATATGTATGTATGTATAAATATGTATGTATACTGTATAAATATGTATGTATAACGTTTATACATGTATACATATTTATTTCAGAGGGGAAGGGTGATATCAGGAGAATATAGGTAATTCTTTGAGGGGCAGTAAATGATTACTAGGGAGAATAAATGAATATTTGGGAGGATGAATGAATGGAGGAACAGAGTTTAACTTGTAAATGGTTCTCTTTGGAAAATGAATGAGCCTGAGAGACAGACATTATTTTGTGAAAGTGTCTGATTAGGTCTGGTTACATTCTTAGTCCTCTTTTCTTCAGTACAAAATGAGATAATAGGGGTTGGAAGGAAAAACAATTGTTCTTCTTGTCTAGTGTGACTGGTCTTTATGTAGATAGGGGAAAAGTCTCTTCCAGCATCTGCTGATCTCTAAGGGCCTTTAATTCAAAATACTCATTATACCAGGGAGTCATATATTGGGGTGAAGCTCCCCATACTCCTTCAATGGAATCTGTCACAGATCACCCAATTGCATAAGTGTTACTACTAATTACAAAGAGTAATTCTGGTACCAATTATTCTTTTTTTTTTTTTTAAGACAGATTCTCGCTCTTTCACCCAGGCTGGAGTGCAGTGGTGTAATCTGGGCTCACTGCAACCTCCCCCTCCGGAGCTCAAGTCATTCTCCTTCCTCAGCCTCCTGAGCAGCTGGGATTACAGGTGTGCACCACCACATCTAGCTAACTTTTTGTATTTTTAGTAGAGATGAGGTTTTGCCATGTTGGTCAGGCTGGTCTCAAACTCCTGACCTCAGGTGATCTGCCCGCCTCGGCTTCCCAAAGTGCTAGGATTACAGGCGTGAGCCACCGTGCTGGCCTGGTAACAATTATTCTTGAAGTTAACTAGAATAGGAAAGAGTTTCACACTCCCTGAGTTCTCTCTTTTACAGCTTTTGTGAGGAAGCCTGCATTGCTTCTCCCAGCACTTGGTCCAAGGTAACTTTCTGTGATAACAGAATGTTGTATATTGAGGCTGTTATGTAGCCACTAGTCACATGCAACTATTAAGCAATCAAAATGTGGCAACTGGAACAGAAAAACTGAATTTTTTCATTTTAATTTTTATTAAGTTAAATTTAAATTCCTACTCATGATAGTGGCTACTGTATTAGCTATACAGCTAGATGTTTGTGTATCCTCTAAATTCCAATGCATTTCTTCTTTCTGGAGAGAAGACTTTAGCTGGACATGGTGGCACATACCTGTAGTCCCAGCCACTCTGCCAGGGTGAGGCAGGAGGATTGCTTAAACCCAGGAGGTCGAGGCTGCAGTGAGCTGTGGTCATGCCACTGCCCTCCACTACAGCCTGGGCAAGAGAGCGAGAACTTGTCTTATAAGAAAAGAAAAAGAGGCTGGGCACGGTGGCTCATGCCTGTAATCCTGGCACTTTGGGAGGCTGAGGCGGGTGGATCACAAGGTCAAGAGATCGAGCCAACCAACATGGTGAAACCCCATCTCTACTAAAAATACAAAAATTAGCTGGGCGTAGTGGTGCACACCTGTAGACCCAGCTACTACTCGGGAGGCTGAGGCAGGAGAATCGCTTGAACCCGGGAGGCGGAGGTGCAGTGAGCCGAGATAGCGTCACTGCACTCCAGCCTGGGTGACAGAGTGAGACTCCGTCTCATTAAAAAAAAAAAAAAAAGTTAGAAGACTGAGAAAAGAAAAATAATGAAATAATTTAGAGCAGTCTGAGCTATGTGAGGTATGCAAAATTTATCAGGACAAGTGAGGCAGGAGTATAGGTCTTCAGTTAAGACCCCATGTTTAAAAGCATTTTGTTCCTGACTGGCTGCCTCATCTATTACCTACATATTCCCGAGATTTGTAATACAAAGAACAATGTATAGCCAGTCAAAAGCTTATGCTATTTTAATGTAAATTCTTGGCAAACAACTTTAAAACTGCTTTAAAACTGCTTTTTTTCCTCTAAACAACCACTTGTAACTGCTTGCTAATGAGGGCAACTTGAAACTCTGCACTTGGGTTGCAGTTCTCAAACGTGGCCCAAACAACCTCAGCCTCAACTTCTTCCTTTTAGGTCCTCTTTTCTTCAATACAAAATGAGATAATAGGGGTTGGAAGGAAAACCTTCAAGACCTATGGAAGTCAGTTGCAGCCAGCTCATCACATAGAGGTGCAGGTGAGGTGTATTTTCATCACGGTGGAAAATTCTGGCTGCTTCATCTCCATCTCTAGAGCCAATATTGGAGCTTTTCAATAAAAGCTATGGCCTCAACCACCAGCACCAAGAAGATGATGGAGGAAGCCACCTGCTCCATCTGCCTGAGCCTGATGACGAACCCAGTAAGCATCAACTGTGGACACAGCTACTGCCACTTGTGTATAACAGACTTCTTTAAAAACCCAAGCCAAAAGCAACTGAGGCAGGAGACATTCTGCTGTCCCCAGTGTCGGGCTCCATTTCATATGGATAGCCTCCGACCCAACAAGCAGCTGGGAAGCCTCATTGAAGCCCTCAAAGAGACGGATCAAGAAATGTCATGTGAGGAACACGGAGAGCAGTTCCACCTGTTCTGCGAAGACGAGGGGCAGCTCATCTGCTGGCGCTGTGAGCGGGCACCACAGCACAAAGGGCACACCACAGCTCTTGTTGAAGACGTATGCCAGGGCTACAAGGTGAGTGTGTGGGCCCGGGAGCTTTGGTAAGTACCAAGTCTTATCCTGCTCCCCAGGAGCTGAGATGATTTAACTTGAAACCTAACATTATGACTTGGAAATACAGCTTTCATCATGTCATTCTTCTGAAAAATAGTTTATGATGATTTCTTGCTCAATTATCTAGACTGTCCATCCTGACCTTCAATGGGATGGTTGGACTCTTATCTCTATCCATTTGTGTTATGATGAATTTCTTTTTGCTTTAGAACAGGTTGTTCTCAAACCAAACACCCGCATTTTTTCTTGTTTCACACCATGAATATCATTTGAAAAACCACAATATGTAAAGCCATGCAGTAGGGCCTGAAAACAGGGAAGAAAGACCCATCACCTTTTAGGTATCTACAGTCTAGTAAAGAAAACAAACCATCAAAAATGTCTGCCTGGAGGTCCCTGGTTTTGGTGGTGGGGAGGGACATTTAGGGTAGAGAGTGGTTCATCTTAGAAGTAACTCCTGAAGGACACGTAAAAATTGAACACCTATTGGGGGATTTTCATTTGGGGAATGAAGGGTCAGTGACATTGAAAATATCACTCTGGTACCTCTACTTTTTTTTTTTTTTTTTTTTTTTTTTCCTGAGGTAGGGTCTTGCTCTGTATCCCAGGTTGGAGTACAATGGTGCAATCTCGGCTCACTGCAGCCTCAACCTTCTGGGGCTCAAGCAATCCTCCCACCTCAGCCTCCCAAGTAGCTAGGACTACAGGGATGCCCCACCATACCTGGATAATTTTTTTATTTTTTGTAGAGACATGGTCTGCCTTTCTTGCTTATACTGGCCTCAAACCCCTGGTCTCCCTCCCATCTCAGCCTCCCAAAATGCTGGGATTAGAGGCATGAACCACTGTGCCCAGCTACTGTGGCATGTCTATGATAAAAGGAATATCAAGGAGTAAAATTCAAACTATCCGTATAAGAAAGGGAGGAGAGGGCAGATTTTAAGCACGATTCAGGAAGAAGAGTCAAAGATTTGGAAATGCTTGGTTGTGGAAGGTGAAGCAGAGGGAGAGGTTTTGTGTACCATCCAGATTTCTTGCCAGAAAGCATATTAAGGAAGGTGGGACTTTGCTGTTGGCAGCATGGAGGAATGGGCATAGTCCTGATGTCCTTTTTCCTTCTCTGTCCTGCCTAAATTTGAGGAAAATGTTGTCTCCAGTGTCAGGCTCCTTATTCTGTCCTCCATGAGGCAGAGGTGGTCTTGTATGAAGGCTCTAAGTCCTTCTAAGGACATGTCAATCATGACCACCACTCAGCTCATGGCAGCTCTTCCTTAAACTCCATGGAGCAGCTAATAACTGCGATGATCATATTCCCATTTGAATTACTTTTCCACCAAGTAGTAAGAAAAGGAACCAGCTTATGTTGAAATTGAGTTTTGTCACTTACTAGATGGGCAATTTTGGGCACGTTACTTAATGTCTTCACACCTTGGTTTCTCCATCTGTAAATGGGGATAATAGCAGTGTCCTCCCTCCCTAAAACACATACACAGGAGGTGGTTATAAGCTTTGAGGACATTAAAATATAGAATGCATAGAATAGCACTTGGCATATAGTAAGGACAATGTCATCTTTTGCTAAAACAGTTACATAGAACCTTTTCCTGAGAACACTCGAGAATGAATGAGTATACTTGTTGGGTTTACAGAGGACAGGAGACAATTCTTTCAGCATTGACTACAATTAGCAATTTGGGTCAGCTTCAAATCACTTTCAATAGAAATATGAGAAACTGTTTTGAAGAATAAGCTAAAAGCTTGACATGAATACTAAATCATTTTAAATTGGATTCATGATACCATTGTTCAAAAGATACCAGAATTCCCCTCTTCCATGAACTGTTTCTAATAACCAGCTGGCATCCTGATTTTTCCTGACTCATAAGACACAAAATTTCATGTGTGCCAAACACTGGTATTGGTTTTGCTTGGTTCAGCATGTTGTTTTACAAAATCTTTTAGATGATGATTACCTTGTTCTATATCCAACTTTTTCCTGGCAGGACTCTAGTGGTGGACATAGCTCAGGCTCTGGGTCAGCAGATGAGATTGCAATTGTTGCTCCACCACCTGGCAGTCATAGCCCTTTGGGCAAGTTATTTTACCCCTTTCTTAGTCTCATTTTCTACAGCACAGAAATGAAGTTTAAAATCCTACCAACTATTCAGGGTTGCCAAGGGGATCAGTATGTTCCTGCACATATAGCCTTTAGCATGCTCTCTAGCAAAAAACAATGAGGACTCTATAAATATTCACTATTATTCAAATATATCTTAGAAGATTGGGATTCCCCCTAGGTCCCTAATGAAGAGTCAAATTGAATAGGCTTCACTTATCAAATTTTTCCTTCAGGAAAAGCTCCAGAAAGCTGTGACAAAACTGAAGCAACTTGAAGACAGATGTACGGAGCAGAAGCTGTCCACAGCAATGCGAATAACTAAATGGAAAGTAAGAATCTGACTTCATTGATCTCAAGCTATTTTCCATTCTAGAGCTTAGGCATAGGGGATGATTGAGGAAAAGCACAATGAGGATTTATTCTCACTAAACCAGATTGAAAAAATGAAACCCAAGGAAGAAACCATTATTTGTACTTATGCCCCTGGTTCCAGGTTTACATCCATGAGTATTTAGCACCAATCTTTCCATCTTTAAACTGTAGTTGGCTGGGATTCCTGATACTTCAGTCAGAAGAAGCAGAATTAGTATGACTATTTACCTAGAAAAAGCATCGAGTGGGTCTCAAACTTTAAATACGTCAAAATAAACCTGGTTTGCAGGCCTCAACTCATTACCCTGGCACTTTTACCACAGTGGAGCATCTGGCTCTCAACTTTACAGGTACAGAAACCAAGCTTTGTGAACACTTAGAAAACAGGATCACTCCAGATTGAAATTCATACTACTCTAGCTCATGAAGCTGATGAAAGAAATATACTTTATTTATTTATTTATTTTTAAATTATTACTATTTTTTGAGATGGAGTCTTGCTGGAGTGTAGTGGTGCGATCTCAGCTCACTGCAATGTCCACCTCCCGGGTTCAAGCAATTCCCCTGCCTCAGCCTCTTGAGTAGCTGGGATTACAGGCATGTGCTACCATGCCTGGCTAATTTTTTGTATTTTAGTAGAGACGGGGTTTCACCATGTTGGCCAGGATGGTCTTGATCTCCTGACCTCGTGATTCACCCACCTCAGCCTCCCAAAGTGCTGGGATTACAGGCGTGAGCCACTGCACCCGGCCTATACTTGATTTATAAGTACATCACAAGTAATGCAACAACCTACACACTTGCAACTACAAACTTTCAGATTATTTCCGTGGCTGACTAACCTCCACATTATCAGAGCCACATTCTTTTATGGAAATATTTAGGTTTGTGCAAAAGTAATTGCGGTCTTTGCCATTAAAGTAAAGGCAAAAACCACAATTACTTTTGCACCAATCTTTATATTTATATAATTCACTAGCTTGCAGTAAAATCCCACAAGCTGATTACCAATTTTCTCTCTTTCAGGAGTCCTCTCTAACCTCTACCCTGATCTTTGTTTGTGGATGTTGCTCTTGAGCTCCTGAGTACACTCTTACTTCCCCCATTTCTAGGATCTTGGGCAATGGGGAAGACCTTGATTGTAACTAACATATATGAAAACCCGTCTATACAAGAGTTAAAGCTGCACCTGTCTCCTACACAAAAATTCCACCTCATCCTAAGTCAAAGACCCTTCTTCTATATCATAGTCATCAAAACACTGTATGAATTTATTTTTATTTTTTAATTTTTATTTTTTTAAGATAAGTAGAGAGTTTATTTGGGCCAAGTTTGAAGACTGCAATCCAAGAACATAGATTCAAATTGCCCTGAATACACACTCCCACTGCATTAATTTAGACAGCACTAATGGAAATTGCAACTTTACATCTCCTCAGATGAGAGTTTCACTTGATTTCTGTCAGTCTTACACATAGGAATGCTTAAGATGACCCTAGGGTAGTAGAACAGTATTTCTCAGTTAACCATAATAAATGCCTGTCACACTCAAAGCTCCCCCTGCCAAGAATTATGGACCCTCTTACCAGCCTGGTTGTCTTAAAATCCAGTCTGGGTGATGTTCATTATAAGCTTTTACTTCAAGAAAATCGCTCCAACTCAGAAATCTAACTTCTTAAATCATAAGTAAAAACCTCTTTTTATCCTTGTAACTGATAAAGTGTTTGAACTTGGCCCTAGTTTCACAATTAAATTATCTAGCACTCCTAACCCAGCTTTCTCCTGTGTCTTGGCTGAAGAACAAGAAAATTAATTGGGTGACTATAAGGAATCTGAGGCAACCTCTTCCACATCTGAGTGCCTGCCTCCCACACATGACTCTGCAGCAGGAAACTGGGGACATTCTTCCAGCTTCAGTGACTCATGAGAAAATAATGTCCCAGTGGCTGATTGTGTGTGTGTGTGTGTTTGTGTGAAAATATATATAACACTTAAGCATTTAACCACTTTTAAGTATATAGTTCAGTAGAATTAAGTGCTTTTACATTGTTACATTGTTGTGCAACCATCACCATTCCCATCTCCAAACTGCAACTCAGTTTCATCTTTCATCTTCTAAACTGAAACTCACTACCCATTAAACAATAACTGTCCATTTTCTGGTCTTGCCAACACCTTGTAACCACTATTTTACTTTCTGTCTCTATGAACTTAACTACTCCAGATGCCTTGTATAAGCAAAGTCTTACAATATTTGCCCTTTTGTTTCTGGCTTATTTTGCTTGAATGTCTTCAAGGCTTGTCATGTAGTAGCGTGTGTCAGACTTTCATTCTTGTTTATCCATTCATCCATAGATGGACATTTGGTTTACTTCCACCTTTTGACCATACTTTCTTGACTCCAGGAGAAGGTACAGATTCAGAGACAAAAAATCCGGTCTGACTTTAAGAATCTCCAGTGTTTCCTACATGAGGAAGAGAAGTCTTATCTCTGGAGGCTGGAGAAAGAAGAACAACAGACTCTGAGTAGACTGAGGGACTATGAGGCTGGTCTGGGGCTGAAGAGCAATGAACTCAAGAGCCACATCCTGGAACTGGAGGAAAAATGTCAGGGCTCAGCCCAGAAATTGCTGCAGGTGAGGCTGTGTACTTGGAGTAGGGAAAAAAGGTATGTTATAGTGCTATTAAAGGAGAATGGTAAGGAAGCATGGGAAGATAAAGTAATGTTTCTTTTAGATGTACATCAGTGCCATCAGGCTGGCCTTCACTAATTTATAGGGTACCTTTATGTCAATTAGAAAAATAAACTTCTGAGGGAACACAGCTTGGCCAAATGAAACCACGGGATAACATTTACCACTGTTTGCCTCCTTGGCCCATGTGCAGAGAACCCTGGTTGTTGACTCTCTCCTGAAATACTCCACTAGGTGACTGATGGGTGATGAAGTGGGGCAGCCAAAATGAGTGATAACCTTTTCCCTGATTTGCTTGTAGAACCCTTGCTCCAGAGCTGTTATGGTACAATCTACAGCTTTATCTGTAGGAAGATAAACATCTGGAGCCATTAATTCTGGTTCTAACTAACAGGATTGGTGACTATACTGTAAGGCTGAGTGTATAGCATGATTGCTTTACCACTGTGTGATACCTGCTACCACCATCTTAGTGGCAGTGGCCCAGTCTCAGGGCTGTGCACAGATTCACCACTAAGGACCTTTATGATAAGTGTTCTCTAATCTGGGCTCACTGTGAAGGAAATCCGATCACCAAAAGCTAGTCCTTACAGAGGGAGCATGGACAAAGCTCCTGGCCCTCAGACTTCAGCAAGGATGAGAATAGATGCAAATGTTGATAAACATCCTGCCATGCTGAATCTCCCAGAAGCTGGTAGGAATTATTCCATCTGGGTATCCATCAATACCTAAGACTGGTGGGAATTACTTTGTTTGAGTATCCATCAATATCTAAGACTAAGACTAGGGTAACTCTCTTTACTTCTTCGGGTAAAGCAAAGAAGAATAGCCCTGCATGACAAGCCCCATGAAATACCGATGTTCCCATGCTCACCTTTTCTTTTTGTTTCTTTATAGAATGTGAATGACACTTTGAGCAGGTAAGTCCTGTTTGAATGCAGGAGGGGAGGGGTGTGCGTATATAGAAATGAATGGAATGCACCTCTGAAGAAATCTCTCGCCTCTGCTTATTCTAGGAGTTGGGCTGTGAAGCTGGAAACATCAGAGGCTGTCTCCTTGGAACTTCATACTATGTGCAATGTTTCCAAGCTTTACTTCGATGTGAAGAAAATGTTAAGGAGTCATCAAGGTATGTTCACTAAAGAATTCCTGAATACTGTGGATAGAAGGGGCCTTATGCAGTAACCAAGTTTACCACCTGTCCCTTGGCAGGCTCACAGCCAGAGAGGTTGTTTAGTTAATTTCAGTAGAGCTTTCATACTTTCTCTAGTTAGTATGATTCACTGCTCAGTGAATGTGATGAGCATTGCATTCTGGTTATCTGTGCAAACCTTTCAAATTCTTATTCTTTCACTTATTAGCCATGTTACTCCAAGTGACTTGGTTTCCCCCTCTGAAAAATGAAAATATTAACAGCTCCTACTTCATTGAGTTATCATCAAAATTAAATGCATCAACATGTACAAAGTGCTTAGCCCTGTGACTGACACATGATCATAATAGCACATCATGGTATTAGATCTGATCATAGTGTTTATTATCAATAGCTCAGCCAACTCTTAGAGCAATGCAAGAAAAGTAGGTGAGTATGATAACCTATCATTCACATATTTTAGGAACTTGACTTAGATAACACAGATGACAAATGTTACAACCAATTTACAGATTCCAAAATGTTAGAACCATTTACTGAGTTTCCTGCTCCCTTGATTTTTTAAATCAGTGCTGACTATACTTTCACAAATTTGTATCCGTAAGTACAAAATCAAAAAAACCCCTGAAAATGGAAAGTTTTATCATGATTCATTTGGCTACAAAAATCTGGCCTAACCTGAAATGATTTGGTGGTTATATTAGTTATCTATTAGTACAAACAAATTACCATAATTTAGAACCTTAATACAACACTGATATGTTATCTCAATTTTTGTGGTTCAGGAATCTGGGCACAGCTTAGTTGGGCCTGCTGCTTAGGGTCTGATAAGGCTGCAGTTAAGGTGTTGGTCAGGCTGTGTTCTTATCTGGAGGCTAGGCTAAGGAAGAATCCACTTCCAAGCTCACTGAGGTAGCAGGCAGAATTTCTTTCCTGATGGTTGCAGGACTTTGGCCCTGGTTATTTCTGGCTGTTGGCTGGAGGTTGCCCACAGCTTCTACAGGCCACCCCTCAGCTCTTTGCACATGGGCTTCTAACATGGCCAGTTATTTCTTCAGAGAGAGCTCAGGAGACAGACTCTTTAGAGAAAATCTGCCAGCAAGATGGAGTCTTACATAATGAAACGTAATCATAGAAATTATATCCCATCATCTTTGCCATATCCTATTGGTCAGAAGCAATTCATAAGCCCTGCTCACACTCAAAGACAAGGAATTTTACGAGGGTGTGAACACCAAGAGGCAGGAATCATAGAAGGCCACCCTTGAGTCTGTCTTCCACAGTGGCCAACCCTGAACGGCACTGAGATGAGACTATTTAAAAGTCTTTATTTATCCCACTTAATTTGAATAAATGTTTTGCTGCAGATATATTGATGAATTTGATTACAGGGCTCTGCCTTAGGCCATGATGGGGTTGAACTTTAGAGTATATGCATTTTTTTGCCTTTATAACTTCTAAACTAATTTGAATGGCAAAGCCCATTTTGTTCCAGGGATTTCAGAAAAGGAATTATAGACCTGTGTTCCCCTCAAATACACAACAACAAACAACAACAAAACCCAAAAGCACTCTGTATTTCATCCTATACAGATGACAGGAAGGAAGAACAAGACTTTGTGTAAGTTTTGCTGGGATTTCACTGAGTCAATTTGCCTACTCTCATCTTTTACAGAAGGAATCATAATATGGTTCAAGTGAAACTATTTCTTTCTTTCTTTCTTTCTTTTTTTTTTTTTTTGAGACAGAGTCTCGCTCTGTCGCCCAGGCTGGAGTGCAGTGGTGCGATCTCGGCTCACTGCAAGCTCCGCCTTCCGGGTCAAGTGAAACTATTTCTTAAATGGGCTTATCTTTTAACTAAATATTTCTCCCCTCTTAAACACTGTTTATTAAAATTTTTCTTTTTTCAAATTTTTTTTTGAGATGGAGTCTCGCTGTTACCCAGGCTGGCTTGCAGTGCCGCAATCTCAGCTCACTGCAGCCTCTGCCTCCTGGGTTCCAGCGCCTCAGCCTCCCGGGTAGCGTGGGATTACAGGTACGCACCACTATGCCTGGCTGATTTTTGTATTTTTAGTAGAGATGGGGTTTCACAATGTTGGCCAGGCTGGTCTCAAACCCCTGACCTCAGGTGATCTGCCTGTCTCTGCCTCCCAAAGTGCTAGGATTACAAGTGTTAGTCACTGTGCCCAGCTTTATTACAAAAGTGATAGGAATAAATTTTATTTTTATTTTTAAATGTATGTTTATTTTATTTTACATTGCCTTCAAGCAGATGCAACAAATACATTTTAATCAGTCAAACAATATAAAGGATATAAGGAGAAAGTTCAAGGTTTTTCCCACCCGTCTCCAATCTGACTTCTCTAGGTAGGGTGATCTATATCTTTCCCTAAGTTTGTACAAACGTAACATATATACACTGTCTCTTCTATGTTACTCGTTACTTTTTATGTCTAATATTCCATAAGAATATAATAAATATATGTAACCATATCCCTACTGATGGAGCTTCAGGCTGTTTTTAGAACTTAGTTATTACAATGTTGCTACAATAACTTTCTAGTCCATGCATCCTTATATCCTGGTGCTTTCATTTCTTTTGGGAACATACCCCAAACTGGGATTGCCGAGGTTGTTGTTAATCTTAATATATGGTACCATATTACTTGACTCAAAGTTGTAACATACACTCCTACCAGCACCAGGAATAATGACTCACATATACTGAGCACTCTTTAGTCTGTGACAGATTAGAAAAGCTTTACTTTTCTTGGTTCTTGTTTTATATCACAGTCCTCTCTATATGGGGCATTTTTGCTTTATAGAGGAGGAAATATGACACAGAGAGGTTAGGTGAGTGTTGTAGGATCTCATAACTAGAAGGTAGTCATAGAAAGAGTCTAGAGTCTAGAAACCACTCTCTCACCATTTTGCAATGTGGCAGAAAATGCAAAGTTGTTATTTACTTATCTCTTTTAGACAGGGTCTCACTCTGTCACCCAGGCTGGAGTGCAATGGCCCCATCATGGCTCCCTGCAGCCTTAAATTCCTGGGCTTAAGCAATCCTCCCACGTCAGCTTCCCCAGTAGCTGGGACCACAGGCAAGCACTGCCACGTCTGGCTAATTTTTTAAAAATTTTTTGTAGAAACACTATCTCTTTATTTTGTTCAGGCTGGTCTTGAACTCCTGGGCTCAAGCAGTCCTCTCGCCTCGGCCTTCTAAAGTGTTGGGATTACAGGCATGAACCACCATCTCCGGCCTGAAGTTTATTTAATCCATTGCCTTGTGGACTGGGCATTGAAGTTGTGTGTAGTTGGGTTTTTTTGTTGTTGTTGCTGTTGCAGACAATACTACTGTGAACATTCTTATCCATGCTTCCTTGTGTCCCGTAAATGTTCCCTCCAGGGAGATACCTTGGAGTGACATGCTGGTGTGAGGGATGCATATCATAATTTTACCAGATACTACAGATCTTGAAATTGTTCCAATTCTACCCCACAAGCAATATAAGAGCTCTCACTCCTCCAAAACTCCCTGAGTCTTTACTTATATAATTTATGATTTTGACAGTCTTACAGATTTAAAATGGTACCTAATTGTGTACTTAATTTGTGCTTTTCTGATTTCACTAGTGAGATTGAGATTCTTTTTGTATGTCCATTAGCCCTTCAGGCCTCTGTGATTTACCCATGATTTACTGTGGTTTAATAATTTTTATTGGGTTCTTTTCCTTATTGATTTATGGGAACTTATTATAGCTGATATCTTCTGGCATGTGGATGGCATTTTGCATTTTCATCCTGTTTTTTGATAAATAGGGTTTCAAAATTAAGTAGACACATTTTCCTTCAAGGTCTGTGTCTTTTATGTCCAAAGAGCTTAGTCATCAGTGGGCAGTGAATTTTATCACCTAATTAATTTTATTAGCCCCGTGTGCTATGCCTGTAGTTCCAGCTACTGGGGAGACTAGGGCAGGAGGATCTCCTGAGCCCAGGAGTTCGAGGCTGCAGTAAGCTATGATCACGCCACTGTACCCAGCCTGGGCAACAGAGCTAGACCCTGTCTATTAAAGGAGGAGGCCGGGTACAGTGGCTTACGCCTGTAATCCCAGCACATTGGGAGGCCGAGGCAGGAGGATCACTTGAGGGCAGGAGTTTGAGACCAGCCTGGCCAGCATTGTGAAACCCTATCTCTACTAAAAATACAAAAATTAGCCAGGTGTGGTGGTGTGCACTTGCAGTCCTAGCTACTCTGGAGGCTTAGGCAGAATTGCTTGAACCCAGAAGGCAGAGGTTGCAGTGAGCTGAGATTGTGCCACTGCACTCCAGCTTGAGCGACAGAGTAAGACTCCATCTCAAAAAAAAAAAGAAGAGAGATGAAGGAGGAGGAGGAAGAGAAAGAGGTGGGGGAGGGGAAGGAAGAGAAAGAAGAAGAAAGGGACAAAAAAATTTAGCTGTCATCTTTGCTCTGATAGCATTATAATGATGATGAAGACAATTGCTAGGTTGGTGAGAGAAGGCTATATACACACCAGAACTCTCCACGTATATGGCAAGTTCATATATTTTGTTAAGTATGTCTCATTGGAGACCTTCTTTTCCCGTAACTATGACCAGTGCTCTGCCAGCTCAGTCAACAACAACATTGCATGTTGGCTCCATACCTGGACTCTTGGTCCAATTGGTAATGAAACCATCCCACCAGTGTCTTCATAATATATATATACACACACACATATATATATAGTATTCTCTCCCAGTGTCTTCATAATATATATATATACACATACACACATATATTATATTCTCTCTATACATATTTATTTATATATCTATATCTATATCCTTCCACCTCAGGTCTCCCTCTGTCTCCCAGGCTGAGTGGTGCAGTAGTGCGATTATGGCTCAACCAATGAGAGGATCAATGGCAATCCTCTCATTTCAGCCTCCCCAGTAGCTGGGACTACAGGCATGGGCCACCACATCTGGCTGATGTTTAAATTTTTTTGAGACAGCATCTCTATATGCTATAGATATATATAGTATCCTCTCTCTAATATGGATAGAGGATACTATGTCTATATCTGTATCTATCTATCTATGGAGAAGGAATACTATATATCTAATAAGATGTAATCTATATTATATATAAAAGTGAAGCATTGATTGGTACATATAATATATATATTGATTACTGTGTGTATATATTTGTTTTTTCGAGACAGGCTCTCACTCTGTTGCCCAAGCCGAGTGGTACAGTGGTGCGATCATGGCTCCACCACCTGAGCTAAAGTGATCTTCTCACCTCAGCCTCCCCAGTTGCTGGGACTACAGGAACAGGCCACCATACCTGGCTAATTTTTTAATTTTTTTTTGAGACAGGGTCTCCCTTTGCCACCCAGGCTGGAGTGCACTGGCGCAATCTCGACTCACTGCAATCTCCACCTCCCAGGCTCAAGTGATCCTCTCACCTCAGCTTCCCGAGTAGCTGGGACTATTGGTGTGCACCACAATGCCTGGATAATTTTTCATATTTTTTGTAGAGATGGAATTTGGCCATATTGACCAGGCTGGTCTCAAACTCTTGGACTCAAGTGATTGACCCGCCTCAGCCTCCCAACGTGCTGGGATTACAGGCATGAGTCACTGTGCCTGGCCTGATTATTGTACACATTTTTGATGTAATGTATTATATATGTCATATATGACAATCTAGATGAATATATTAAAGATTGGGTTTTCATTTATATATTGTAAAATACATACACTATACATATATAATATGTAGAACATATGCTATACATATTATATATGTATATGTTAACATATATAATACATACACATATAATATGTATAGTTGCAAATATAAAATTTGGTTTGTTATTTATATTATTTTGTGCAGGAGTTCTATATCTATGTCTATAAGCGGGAGCCATAATTTTCTATTCTTTGTAGGATTTGGTATGAGATTGGCATTACTCATGCCTTGACTTCTAAATTTCCTATAAAACTGACAAGTTCCATTTTTGCTTGATAAAGATGCACGTTTTATTATCTGTCGGTAAAATTTAAAGTAGTGATTTCATTTCTTTAATGTTAGGTCTGCCCATGCTTTATTTGTTTTTTGAGTGAGTTTTACTCAGAAATATTTTTTCTAGGAAGTAATAATTTTATCAGTACTTTCAATTTTATTAGTAGCATAAGATTTATTATAAAGTTCTGTAATATTTAAAAAGTTTCTGTATTCATTCCATTTGTGCCTTCTGTCTTACTTTGATAAATCTCATTGGAGGTATGTCTATTTTATTAAATTTCTTTTAAAAGAAGCTACCTTTTTTTTTGTTTGTTTTTCCTCTTTATTGCATTCTTGTTTTCTTTAACTTCACTGTTATATTGTTTAATATCTATTTTTTCTTTTTAAAAAATTATATTTGGCTTTCTATGTTCTTTTTAAAATTTAAATTAGATGCTTGGCTCATTAATGTTCAGCTTTTTAATTTTTCTAAGATAAGCATTTAAAGCCTACAAATTTTCCTTAAAATTCTGCTTTAGCTTCATTGTATATTTTTATAAATAACTTTTTATTATTGTTCCATTCTATACATCTTCTAATGACTTATTAGTAGTTTACATTTCCTAATATTTAGAATCTTTTTAGTCATCTTTTTATTATTGGTTTATAATCTTATATTGAGGCTAGAGAAAATGATCTGTGTAATACAGATTTATTGAAACTTGTTCAGACTGTTTTCTGCCTAGTATTTACTCAGTTAGTGCATGTTCCATCTATACCTGAGAAAACTGCATATTCTCTGCTTACTATTATTAAACAATTGCTGAGCTTTATGTATTGACTATGAGATTGCGCTTCTTAGATTGTTCAGACCTTCCGTATCTTCCCTTATTTCTTTCTTTTGGTCTGCCTGATCTATCAATTATGGAAAGAAGAATGTTAAAACATCCCATGATGATTGTAGATTTGTCCATTTCTCCTATAATTCTACAATTTTTGCTTTGTATATTAACACAATTCTAAACATGAATTCACTAATAATGTAGTACATTTATGTTTAAAATTGTGTTATCTTTTTTAGGTGACTCCTTTCATTCTTTCTTTTTTTTTTTTTTTGAGACAGAATCTCTCTCTGTCACCCAGGCTGTAGTGTAGTGGCGAAATCTCAGCTCACTGCAACCTCTGCCTCCCCGGTTCAAGTGATTCTTGTGCTTCAGCCTCCCAAGTAGCTGGGATTACAGGCATGTGCCACAATGCCCAGCTAATTGTTGTATTTTTGGTAGAGCCAGGGTTTTGCCATGTTGGGCAGGCTGGTCTTGAACTCCTGGCTTCAAGTGATCCGCCTGCCTTGGCCTCCCAAAGTGCTGGGATTACAGGCATGAGCCACCACACCTGGCCCTTCTTCCATTCTTAATAATGCTCTGACTTAATATCTTTTGATATAATACTATAACAGTATATGACTATATTATCTATCTTTTAGCTTCCAATCTTTCTATATGTTTTTGTTGATGTGTCACACCAATAGATAGGTGGAATTTTAAAAATCCAATTGATATTTTTTCTCTTAAGTGGTATTACCACCCCGTAAACATTTTAATTTCTCAACATGGGTTTTCCTGGGTCATTCAGGTAATATGAATTGAAACCCCAAACTTCTGTGAGTCAGGCTGATAAAAGCTAACTGAATAGAGTTTGAAAAAGGAGGGTATTTACAAAGGTGAGGAGTTGGGAAATCCACAAGGAACAGGAAGCACCCAGAACTAGGAACAGTTAGAGAGCCATCACCTCCTCTGGGCCTCAAGTGGCAGGTGTAGGGAGCTGTAACTATACTAGAGTGTGCCCAGAGGCAGAGGAATGCAGACCCTCCAAATCATAGCGTGGGACTGGGGTACTGAATACTCCCAAGGCTGCTTCTTTGTGCCCTATGGTCTCCTCTGGTGCTTCCCATTGGCTGAACCAAGCCAGAGGGCGGAAAGCCTGGTTAATCTGTCCATGTCAGCCTTCCTGGGCACAGAGCAAGACAGGGAAAAGTGAGGGATTATTTGGAAGAACAAACAGAGAGCATCCAGCACAGGAAGTGTTTCTGAATACTTGAATTCCTTAATTGTCACAGACCAACTGATCAACATTTAACTCAGTAGCACAGTGGTTTCTTAACTCTCTTGTTAGAACATCCTATTACCATTTTTTATTTTTAAAACTGCATACTGTTCAGTATCTCACTTTAGGTTATCAGATCTTTTTTCTGTCTTGTTTGATTCTAGTCTGATATTTTTCA
The DNA here is from genome assembly GCF_000001405.40 of Homo sapiens. Taxonomy (NCBI): domain Eukaryota; kingdom Metazoa; phylum Chordata; class Mammalia; order Primates; family Hominidae; genus Homo; species Homo sapiens. The sequence goes on from NC_000006.12 coordinate 25,981,604, forward strand.
TGTATATTGGTCCTCAGTGTATTATTATCTCATACTAATGCTTATGGAACATTATCTGAGGGGAAAGAGAAGAGCTTACAATTAAAAGTCATGGGACTAGGCATGTGTCATGAGACCTGGGTCTTCCAATAACAAGCTAAGACATTAGCTGAGTCATTTTCCCTCTCTGATTCTCAATGTTGGTGGTTATTCAGTAGAGAAGGGAAAAGGTATCTTTCTGCTCAACTGTCTCATGATTCCTGGAAGTCCTGCATGGGAGAAGAACTTTGGACAGGATGGTAACCATATTAACAGGTTAGTTCTGTACCTTGGCATCCTTGAATAATTAAGACGAAGATGATGTTGATGATATCATTATTACTACATGTTGTTAGAAGAGCTGAAGCAGGACTGGCTTGTCTGTCATAATGTAAAAGAGTCTTGGAAGATGTCCGGGGTCCAGGGTCCAAAACCCCTCGTGGCCTTTGGAACACCAAGCTCTGTGCCAAATGGTGGAAGGCTGCCCTGCCGCACCACAAATCTAAGCCTAGGGCATAAAACCCCTTGTGGCTTGGATGGAACCCAGGGCTCAGGGCATAAAACCCCTCATAGCCTCTGGAAAGTGCACAGACTTGTTGGTTCCTTGCTTTTCACTCATAAACGTGTCCTCTACTATCTCAAGCAGCAGAGTATATTCTACATGTGTCAAAGAAAATGCTAAACTGTCACAGCTACGCTTAATGCACCACTACCTTTCTACCCCCATGTCCTCATGCCCTCACCTGTTTACCCTCACGTCCTCACCACCTGCTTCTTTGTTTGATCACCAATAAATAGTGTGGGCTCCCAGAGCTTAGGGCCTTTGCAGCCTCCAATCTAGTGCTGGCACCCTGGACCCACTTTATGCACTCTTAACTTGTCTTTTCTCATTCCTTTGACCCCGCCGGACTTTGTAGCCCCCACGGCCTGGTGTTGGGCCTGATCACCCCAACAACTACCACTTATTAGGTGGTTACCATGTACCAGGAATTTTACCAAGCATTAAGCAAACATAAGCTTATTCAATCCTACCCACCATTCTCTGCAACAAATACGGTAATTTCCACTTTATAGTTAACAAACTGAGGCTCAGAAAGTTAAATGATTTGCCTAAGCTCACCCAGTTTATAAGAAACAATAGTTGGGTTTGAACACAGGCTGGTTTTATTGAAAATAACTTGTGGCTGGGCATGGTGGCTCACACCTGTGTAATCCAGCACTTTGGGAGGCCGAGGTGGGTGGAACACTTCAGGTCAGGAGTTTGAGACCAGCCTGGCCAACATGGCGAAACCCCATCTCTACAGAAAATTTAAAAAAATTAGCCACTTGTGGTGGTGCGCACCTGTAGTCGCAGTTACTCCGGAGGCTGAGGCAGGAGAATTGCCTGAATCCAGGAGGTGGAGGTTGCAGTGAGTTGAGATAGTGCCAGTGCACTCCAGCCTGGGTGACAGCAACACTCCATCTCAAAATAAAATAAAATAAAATAACCTGTGTTCTTCACAGCAACAAAATTATTTTTGTTTGTTTTGTTTTGTTTTGCAGTTAGTGTGACTCTGGATCCAGATACAGCTCATCACGAACTAATTCTCTCTGAGGATCGGAGACAAGTGACTCGTGGATACACCCAGGAGAATCAGGACACATCTTCCAGGAGATTTACTGCCTTCCCCTGTGTCTTGGGTTGTGAAGGCTTCACCTCAGGAAGACGTTACTTTGAAGTGGATGTTGGCGAAGGAACCGGATGGGATTTAGGAGTTTGTATGGAAAATGTGCAGAGGGGCACTGGCATGAAGCAAGAGCCTCAGTCTGGATTCTGGACCCTCAGGCTGTGCAAAAAGAAAGGCTATGTAGCACTTACTTCTCCCCCAACTTCCCTTCATCTGCATGAGCAGCCCCTGCTTGTGGGAATTTTTCTGGACTATGAGGCCGGAGTTGTATCCTTTTATAACGGGAATACTGGCTGCCACATCTTTACTTTCCCGAAGGCTTCCTTCTCTGATACTCTCCGGCCCTATTTCCAGGTTTATCAATATTCTCCTTTGTTTCTGCCTCCCCCAGGTGACTAAGGAAAAGAGCAGAAGCTCCTTGGTTTAACCAGCACAGAGAAAATAATATAAATCCCATAAGGGCAGACGTTTGGTCTGTTTTCTTCGCTGTCATTTCCTTAGTAGTTAGACTAGTGCTGAGATTTTAGTGGATATATAATTGATTTATGTTGAATATATGGACTTAGCAACTAAAAATACCACAGATGGTTAACCTGGACTGGGGCAAAGCAAGATAATAGTGATGATCGTATGTTGCTGTCTCCATCCGTCTTTAATGGGTCAGGGCTTTGATTTCCAAGGGTCTTCAGGTGATGAGTAGGGGTACCCACAAGTCAGAAGGTCTGCGTTCTCCTAGTTTGTTTGCTGCCATTTGAACTCATGTAGGGAATGAAAGAAAGCTGCAATTATCCGCCAACTGCATTTAAAACAAAACAAAACAGAAAAATCAAAATAACATTGACTCTTCCAACCACTGACATGTTGTTTAATAATCTAAGCGGCAGTCCTGGAGGCTACCAGACTTACTGAGTTCTACCTGAGAAACAGCCAAGCAAAGTGTGAGAGAAGGGTTAAGACTGGCTTACAATGAGATGCTTCAAATGAAAAGGGAATTATGAGTAAAATTGAACTTTGATGGGGGATTCAGTTCTGGAAAAGAATTTGGTATTTTCCAGTCTGCTAGGACCAATTACCTTGAAATATTTTAAAATCTCAGTAAATAGTTATTGCTGAAATGGCTGTTGGCAGTTCTTATTATGATTCAGAGAAGAGCAAATAGACCTTAACTTCATTTTGAAAAAGACCAAATTACCATACCCGAGTGAGTAATGACAGGACTACAACTAAAACATAAACAACATTAATGATGACCATAAAAAGTCACAAAATTGCTAAATGTTATAATTTAGAGTTGACATAAAAATTGATGGCCAGGCATGGTGGCTCACGCCTGTAATCCCAGAACTATGTGAGGCTGAGGCAGGTGGATCACTTGAGGTCAGGAGTTCAACACCAGCCTGGCCAACATGGTGAAACCCTGTCTCTACTAAAAATACAAAAATTAGCCGGGCATGGTGGTAGGGGCCTGTAACCCAGCTACTCGTGAGGCCAAGGCAGGAGAATTGCTTGAGCCTGCAGCAGCTGCAGTAAGCCAAGATCATGCTGTGCCTCAAGGAAAAAAAAAATTAATGTTTACTGATATTTGTTGAAGTCCTACAACATCACCTCTGAGAATAGGAGAAATGAAGCAACAGTTGTGTCTAGATGTCAGAGGCATGGCTGGGCCTCCATCTCTGCCTAAGGGAGATATAAAAGAGTTCAAACTATTGCCCATGTTCCCCAGGGTCAGAAGTTCTAATTATGATGATAGAGGCTGGGTTGTAAGTAGTAAGTGAAGGGTAGCAGAATATGCCATCTTTGGCATAAGAAGTATTTTGAGTTGAAGACAATTGAGAAAAAAAATAGATTAAAAACAAACAAACACCTCTGCCCTCTCCCTATTTGCCTAAAAGCAGGATATGAAATTGTGAAGGTGTCTTCTTACTCGGGGAAGAACAAAAGTTAGTCACCAGAGACTTTAGACTCTTATCAGCCTGGACATAGCACCAGAGAAGTCTTTTTTTTTAAAAAAAAAAAAAAAAAAAGGGAAAGAAAAAGTTGCCTTCCCACAATTTACTGCACTAGAAACTCAAAGTCCTTTTCGTCTTCCTTGTCACTTAAAAAATGTATTCTTTTCTTAAAATGCTATATAAGCCCAAGTTCTAAATCCTCTTTTGAGTATTCATCTCAGTACTCCCCTGTGTTTGTACAATGCACATGCTTTGTTTCTGTCTTGTCAATCTGTCTTTTGTTAGTCTACTTGATAGGGCCACAGATGGAGAACCTAAGATGAATAGAAAAAAAAGATTTTTCTCCCCAACAGAAGGATTATCGCCAGTTGCACTTGTTCTATATACCCGTAGTCTCGGTATGCTGACCCAGACTTGGGTAATAGGACCCAGTGGGTAACCGAGGAACCCCACCTTTGTGCAGGATCAGTGAAGATGTAATCTGGATATTCATAAGCTCTTCTCTACCTCTTGGCATCCCACAGTCCTGTGTTAATGTAAGTGTGGTCTTCCCCAGAAAGGGGAGGCCTCCCTAACATTGTTAAAGCCTAGCATATGCTGCTTAGAGGAAATTCTATATCCCTAAGCACTTAGATTGCTGAATAAGAAAGAATGATAATAAAATAAACAATTAAATAAAAGTTTTAAAAAATGAATAAAATAAACCTGTGGAAACTATAAGGAAGGCCAGAAGAAATATAAAATTGGAGATTAATTGGGGTGCAGGAAAGTTATGGAAAGAATATAAGTCCTGCTAGATAAATCATTAGCTATTTTAATAAAGAATACAGAAGAAAATAGGAACAAAAGAATATATACTGGAATAATTTTGAGAGTAATTTGAAGAATTAGATGCAAATAAATTTGAAAACCTTTAAAAAGAAACCAATGGCCTAACTGACCCAAGAAGGGAAAGAAAATCTAAACAGACTGATAAATACAAAATGAAATTCAGACACTTACAGAGCAGCCAGGCATGGTGGCTCACACCTGTAATCCTGTCACTTTGGGAGGCTGAGATGGGAGGATCACTTGAGGCTAGGAGTTTGAGACTAGCCTGGGCAAGGCTCCCATCTCTAAAAGAAAAGAAATTAGCTGGGCATGGTGGCATGTGCCTTAGTTTCAGCTACTCAGGAGGCTGAGACGAGGATTGCTTGAGCCTAGGAGGGCAAGGCTGCAGTGAGCCATGGTCATGCCACTGAATTCCAGCCTAAGTGACAGAGCAAGACCTTGTCTCAAAAAAAAAAAAAAAAAAAGTTACAGAGCTCCAACTAAATAATGTGGGGAACAAAAGAAAAAAGAAGATGATTTTATGGCTGATTTTTTTTTTAAGGAAAAGCAATTCATGTACCCTTGAAGATTAGATTAAGTTCTATAAAATAGCCCAAAATGACAGTGGCTGAAACAAGTTTATTTCTCTCCCATTTAAAGCAAGTCTAGATGTGGAAGTCTGGGAAGCCCAGAAAATCCAGGTCTTGTTTGTGTATGGAAACTCCAGAAAATCACAGATTCCTTCCAGCCACCCCTCAATTACCCCTGGGATCCAAGAGAGCCACTAAAGTTCCAGCCATCATACTCACAACCCAAGTTGTAGGATGGAAAAAAGGACACAAAAGTAGGGTGAAGAGCATGTGTGCAACAGCTCTCTTTTACTCTAGTGTCCTAAAACCTATCATAAAACCTTTGGCTTGCCTTGCATTAGCCAGAATTTAGTACATGGCCACACTTAAGAAGTCAGAAAGATTAGCTTTTTTTCCAGGGTAGTTGGCTGAAAATCAGGAGTTCTCATATTAAAAAACAGAGAAGGGACATCGAATAGATGACCAACAATCTCCTTCACACTCATACTATTTAAACTGTCCTAGTCAATGACCAAAAAAGAAAAGCCTACAAACTCATTGATATAAAAGCTTAACAAAGGTACTCCCCGCCCCCCGCCCGCCACACACCATCCCCAAAAGGAAATTTCTAATCCAATTAACAGTCTTAGGTTGGGCTGCTGAAACAAAATACCACAGCCTGAGTGACTTAAACAACGACAATTTATCTCTCACTGTTCTGAGGTCTGAGTTGATTCTTTGTGAAGGCCCTTTCCTAGCTTGCAGATGGCTACCTTCCTGCTATGTCTTCACATGGCAAAGAGAGAGCTAGCTTTCTGGTCTTTTCTTATAAGGGACCAGTCCCATCATGCCCATCATGAAGACTCGATCTGCTAGGATCTCAACTAAACCTAACTATCACCCAAAGAGCCCACCTCCAAAGACCATCACATTGAATGTGAGAGTTTCTACATATGCATTGTGGGAAACACAAACATTTACTTCAACTGTAACTATTGAAGCAAAAATGTCCCCCCACCATAGACATCCAGCACCACAGTAGTACATTTATTACAATTGAACTTACATTGACACGTCATTATCAACGAAAGTCTGTAATTTACATTAGGGTTTATTCTTGGTGTTGTGCTTTCTATGGGTTTTGACAAATGTATAATGTCATGTATTCACCATTATAGTATCACAGAAGTTTCACTGCCCTAAAAATCCTGTGTTCTGCCTTTTCAACACTTCCTGTCACCCAATTTCTATCAACTAATCTTTTGACTGTGTCCATAGTTACTGTCTTTTCTAGAGTGTCATACAGTTGTGAAGCAGGAAGCAGGAGTGAACTCCGGAGGCAGGGACTTTACTCCGGACCAGATTGAAGACTAGCCGAAACAGGGACGAGGTTAAAGCACCTCTCCATAAGACACGCCCACCAGCGCCATGTCAGTTTTTCGTTGCCATGGCAACAACAGGACATTATCGACTTCTTTCCTCTGTACCTACTCCGAAGTTACCACTCTTTTTCTAGAAATTTCTGCATAATCCCCCTTAACATGCACTTAACTAAAAGCAGGTATATTACTGCAGAACTGCCCCTGAGCTGCTACTCTGGGCACATTACTTATGGGTTAGCCCTGCTCAGCAAGGAGCAGTACCTGTTCTGCTGTTGTACACTGCTGCTTCAGTAAAAGTTGCTAACACCACCACTTCACCCTTGAATTCTTCCCGGGCTAAGCCCTAATTTTTGGCTTGCTTGCCCTGCATCAGTTGGAGTCATATAGTATGCAGTCTTTTCAGGTTGGCTTTTTAGTAACATACATTTAAGTTTCCTTCATGTGTTTTCATGGCTTGATCGTTTCTTTTCTTTTTCTTTTTCTTTTTTCTTTTCTTTCTTTTTTTTTTTTTTTTTGAGACAGAGGAGTCTTGCTCTGTTGCCCAGGCTGAAGTGCAGTGGCACTGGCTCACTGCAACCTCCATCTCCCAGGTTCAAACGATTCTCATATCTCAGCCTCCCGAGTAGCTGGGATTACAGGCTCACGCCACTATGCCCGGCTAATTGGGGTTTTCCCATGTTGACCAGGCTGGTCTCAAACTCCTGGCCTCAAGCAATCCACCCACTTCGGCCTCCCAAAGTGAATGCATTTCTTTTTAACTCTAAATAACATTCCATTATTCAGAAGTACCACAGTTATCCACTTACCTACTGAAAGACATCTTGTTTCCAAGTTTTGGATAAATTATGAATAAAGCTGCTATAAACATCTATGTGCAGGTTTTTGTGTGGAGATAAGTTTTCAATTCCTTTGGATAAATACTAAGGAGTGTGATTGGTGAATCTTATGGTAAAAGTATGGTTACTTTTGTAAGAAACCACCAAACTGTCTTCCAAAGTGATTGCACATTTTGCATTCTCACCAGTAATGAACAAGTTACTATTGCTACATATCTTTGCAACCTTTGGTGCTGACAGTGTTCTAAATTTTGGTCATTCTACTAGGTATGCAGTGGTATCTACTTGTTTTAATTTGCAGTTCCCTAATGACATGATGTCAAGCATCTTTTCATATGCATACTTGCATCTGTGTATCTTCTTTGGTGAACAGATGTTCAGGTCATTGGCCTGCTTTAAATCAGGTTATTTTCTTACTGTTGAGTTTTAAGTATTCTTTGTATATTCTAAAAATATTGTTCTTCATCAGATCTGTCTTTTGCAAACATTACCTGCCAATGTGTGGCTTTTCTTCAACACTTCTTTGTAAATTTGCAAGTCCTTTGAGAAAAGAAATGCACCCAAAGTATTAATTTGGCAATCTCATATCACGAGAGTACTCTAAAGCTAAATAAATTACAGTTTTTCAAATTTTGAATTAATTGATCTTTGCTATTGTTAGCAAGGTCTTGTATTCTTTTTTTTTTTTTTTTTTTTTTTTAATAGAGACGGGTCTTGCTACAGTGCCCAGGCTGGTCTCGAACTCCAGGCCTAAAATGATCCTCCTGCCTTGGCCTTCCAAAGTACTGGGATTACAGGCATAAGTCACCACGCTCAGCCATCTGGTATTCTTTAGCAACTGTTTGGTAACTTAATCTTTCACTTTTTGAAAACAAAAAATAGTTTTTTTCTCATAGTTTTCTAACAAAATCTTCATAACTGAAATAATTTCTCTTTATCACCTCTTCTTATAAATATGGTTTTCTTTTTTTAAATAAAAATTTAAGACATTTTATAACTGGCCAAATTTACTAGCTTAGATACTATTAGATAGTCAATATTTTTTGTTGGATATTTGATTTTTATTTCAGGCAACTAATATCTATTCATTTTTGCACTGTTGGAAGAAAATTACTGATCAAATTCACTATGTATTTGCAGAAAATGGCTTTCAATATTGTCTACTTTATCATCCTTTTTTTTTTTTTCTTTCTTCCTTTTTAGATACAGGGTCTCACTATGTTGCCCAGGCTGGTCTCCAACTTCTGGGCTCAAACAATCCTCCCTCCTTGGCCTTCCAAAGGGTTGGATATGTTTTATCTACAGTTTTGTTGTTTTGTTCTGCTACAGGATATTTGCAATTGCCATTTATCATGAAATTCATGACATACCTTCTTCCACTCTCCTTTTTATCTTTATTGTTCTGGTTATAGGACTAGCTTTGCATCTCTACTCAATTCTGTATCAGTAGTATGCTTTCATTTTAAATTTTAAGTTTGTCCATATGTATATTGACACAGGGTCTTGCTCTGTTGCCCAGACTGGAGTGCAGTGGCAAGATCAGGGCTCACTGCAGCCTTGACTGCCTAGGCTCAAGTCATCCTCCCACCTCAGCCTCCAGAATGGCTGGGACTACAGGCACGCACCACCACACATGGCTCATTTTTTTGTATTGAGACAGGGTTTCTCCATGTTGCCCAGGCTGGTCTTGAACTACTGGGCTCAAGCAATCCTCCCACCTTAGCCTCCCAAAGTGTTGGGATTACAGGCTTGAGCCACCATGCCTCGCTTCTACACTTATTTTTAATTCTAAAATAATTTATAATAATAAATATTAACAATTAGATTTAATTACTGATAAATATTAAATGTTAAATAGGTTTTATTAAATAATTAAATAAAAATGAAAATAATCAGTATTTCAATTTAATTACTAATTATAATTCACAGTTATCCTTGTAACTCCTAATGTCTATATAAAAGATTTTTATATTTTTTAATTCTTAAAATTTTATTATTTATTTCACACCAGGCCATCACTGTGATACATTTTTTAAAACACATTAAATTATCACCAGAAAAGTGCTGTGATGGAAAATATAAATTGAAATACCTTTTCTGGTTAGGAGAGTAATTCTGTTTTTCTGATAGAGAATAGAAGAGTCCTTCAGGCCCCTCCAAACTGTCATATTCCGGGCATCGGGTGTCCCCATCCTCACTTCAGTCCACAGGCAGGGTCCTCAGTCTTCAGCGCTCCTTCTCTTTCCCCTTTGTCTTGTGTCTCCTTGGGTCTCTTTTCTCCAAGACCTAAACTCCCTGAGGACAGGACTATTTTTTACATCTTGATGTCACTCCTGAGCACTTGCTTTAATGTGTTGGACACTGGGTCCATTAAAGATTGTATGTGAAATTATAAAAGAAACGTTTTCACCTTTCTGTGGTACAGCTATAATTTCTGGTTTCATTTACCAACTGGGTGAAAGTGGACCAGTGACACCATTTGTCTGGGCCTTCCTTTCCTGAAATATAATATTGGGGCAATAGTCCCTGGTTCTTGTAAGGTGTTCAGGCACAAAACGCTAGGCATGTAACATACTAAATGAGGTTTTCCCAGTTAATTTATATGATTGCAAAGGACGTTCATATACACGGTCTGCTAAAGAATTCTGGGGCCAATTAATCTCTGTGGCATGATGGGTAAGTCGATCCCTTCTCTGGGCGTCTATTACTTCAGAAAAGGCATGAACTCAATTTTAGGGACCACACAAAAAAATTTATTCACTATCGTGTAGGACTTGGTCATTAGAGAGCTTTTGTTTCTTTTTTTTAAAATTTTTTTTAATTTTTATTTTCGTGTATGTGAATTTAATGGAGAGCTTTTAAATAACCAGATATTTAAATAACCAGATAATACAGATGCCCGGCCTGCTCCAGACAAATTAGAAAAGTATGTAGGTGAGGAGGGACCAGCCAGAAGGCGGTTTCAGCTCTGGAGTGACACTGAACGTACTTCTCTTCCAGGGATGTCACGAGGTGTCAATTTCTCTGGCCTTACCCAGGTCCATGCCCGCCCCCAGGGGCCCCAAGAATGACTTCAGCACCCCACCCCCACCTCCCTCTCCAGATGTGGGTCCTGGGAGCGTTCAAGGCCCGTCAGTCACTCGAGCCACCCCTTGGCGGCTGGACCAAATCTTGGGCTGCCGCCTGGATCTGCAGCTGGAAAGCGCCGTGACCACCGGTGTCCCCAGCTGGAGCAGGGCGGGCTGCACGACTCGCGAGGACGCCCTGAACCGCGGCTTCCTCTTTCATAGCCGCAGGACTCGTGGTCAGAAGGCCGACTCCAAGCCTCAGCGGATCCACGAAATGGCCTCTTTGAGGCTGTGGTGAAATTTAAGATACCCTTTCCCTGCCATTGTTACTGACGTACTTCAGCAAACAGGTTAAAGTTCTGAAAGGACGTGGTCACGACTTTATATTTCTTACAGATTTGTGTCTCATGTTTTGTGCGTAAAAACCATTCGTCCTCATTTGAGATTCTCATATCCGTAATTCAGTTATACATAAAACTGAATTCAGTTATATCATAAAATGTTCCCATGCGGGGAATGATTCGTTGGGGTCTCAGCCTGAGGCCAGACGCAGCAGAGAGATCGGGAGTTGGGGGATGGCGGGCGGGGAGCGGAGAGGAGGCCGCCCGCCGCCAGACTCAGGGTCCAGCAGAGCAGCAAATGCTCCCCGGCTCCCAGCCAGGGCGCAGCTGCTGGCCTGGGGCCGCCCCTCACGCCGCAGGAGCCCCGCCCGCAGCGCCGGCCCTGCCCCTGGCCTGTGAGGGCGCCAGCGCCCCCTACAGCTTGCAGTCGCCCTGCGCGCCTCCCCGCGAGGCTTGTTTTCTAGCGCCTCTGGTGGGCCGCCTCCCGCAGGCCTGGTGTGAGCCTGGGGTCCGTTCTCACAGCTGGATCTGGGGTCTGAATGCCGCGCCCTCTGGAGAGCCACAGATGGGTCTCCGCTGATGCTTCTCTCAATTTCCTCTAAGAGCGAGAGCTCCGGGAAAGGAGCCGATCCTGGTGGAAGACTACAGGTCTGAGTCCACTGGACGAAAAACGAGGTGCGTTAAGAGACCGCGGGAGTGGGGAAATGGGGAAGTGAGGGTGGGGACTGGGCAATGGGGGCGGGACGAGAGGTCTGGGGCTGGCGGGGACAGGGCTTAAGAGAGAGCCACCCCTCCTAGCCTTGAAGCTGTACCGAGCTTCCCTGTGATATTTTAAAATGCAAAAGTACAAAAATTGAAGTAATGGAACTATGCGTACGCACCTCCTAGATTTTTAAAGGTTAACGTGTGACTGTGTTTACTTCAGATGTTCCTGAAATAAATGAAAATGACCAGTTAAAATGAAGGAAGAACGCGCTTGCGTCCCTCCTAGAGGTCAAACACTCTTCTGAGGATAGGTTGTATGCTCTCAGCGCCTCTTTTTATTAAAAGTATTAAGAAGTACTTTTCCAAATATTAGATGTAGTGTGTCATATCATTTAAACGATTTTTTTTGTTTAAAATAGTCTTTTAAAAATAATCTTTTTATTTTTAGATTTTTTTGAGACAGAGTCTCGCTGTGTTGCTCAGGCTGGAGTGCAGTGGCGCCATCTCCCCTCACTGCAACCTCTGCCTCCCAGGTTCAAGTGATTCTCCTGCCTCAGACTCCCAAGTAGCTGGGATTAAAAGCGTGAGCCACCACACCCTACCAATTTTTGTATTTTAGTAGAGATGGGGTTTCACTATGTTGTCCAGGCTGGTCTCGAAATCATGACCTCCACTAATCCACCTACCTCGGCCTCCCAGAGTGCTGAGATTACAGGCATAAGCCACCGTGCCTGGCCACTTTAATCATTTTTGTTTTTGCATCTAGTCTAAGAAATTCTGCACTAAAATTCTGCACTATTTTCTTCTAAAATTTTAAAACATTTTCTATCTGTGTCTTTGTTAGATGTAGAAACTTTTGTGTATGATATGGGGTATAGCTATAATTTTATTTTTATTCCATATGAAAGCCAGTTTCTCAGCCCAGGTAATTGAATAGACCATCCTTTCTCCACCAACTCTTAAGGCTACTTCTGCTCTATTGTGTTCATAGTAGTTTCTAGGCTTTCTGTTTTGTTGTACTGATTTCTTCACCTATTTTTGCATCAAGGCTCTCCTCTTGGGGAAATAAAACAATCCTGCCAACCAAAGACCCCTCTGGATCCTCAAACACGCCATCAGCATGGAAGGCCGCTATGGCATAGCGAGAGATAAATAGGATTCAGGCAGTGCTGTCCTTACATCGCAATCATTCAGGTAGTTAGCAGGAGCATCAATCAGTACAGATATCCAGAGCTGATGGTCTTATTTGTATGAATGCCCAGTGCATATGGGATTGGAGGGGAGGGCTTGGAGTGGGATGAGGGGCTAGTGGGATCCAGAAAGGGGCTAGTCTTCAGGTCTTCCCTGGAGAGTATGTAATCTCTTATAACTAAGTGTTGATTTTTGTTTTGTTTGTACCTTCTTTAGATATTGAAGTATTCGCTAAGGCTTAACATGTAATATATTTAAATCTTCATATGAATACGTTTATCTGATAGATTTTGGTGAGACATAAACTATGAAACAAACAGAAAGATGGAACATGAGAAAGGGTCAAGGGTGGCCTTGGTTAGGGATGGCAGCTTTTACAACTATGAGCTAAGATAAAATTTAGAAGGTTTTCTTTTTATTTTAATTAATCATACCACTATTTTTCTCCTTTAATTTCCATATATAATGAGTTGATTGTAGTATTTTTATTGTGCTTAACTATTTTAAGATAATAGTTGTCTCTCCTCATTTTAGCAAATAATATATTTAATGAAAAATCAACTTTATTGAGGAATAATTTATACACAGTAAAATACACCTGTATTAATTATACAATTTGATGCGTTTTATATACCCAAACAGTTACTACTGTAATCAAGTTACAGAACACTTCCGTCAACCTAGATAGTTTCCATTTGTAGTATCACCTGTGCCGCCTCTTCCATCCTCTTGGCCCCAGGCAGCCACTGATGTACTTTCCATAATTACAGCTTAGTTTTCCCATTCCTAAAATTTCATATGAATGGAATTTATATCATATGTATTTTTTATTTTCCTTCACATTTTTGAGATTCATCCATTTTGTGTATATATCAGTAGTTTATTCCCTTTTATTGCTTTATAATATTCCAAGATATAGATATATTGCAATTTTTTTTTTTTTTGAGATGGAGTTTCCATCTTGTTGCCCAGGCTGAAGTGCAATGGCATGGTCTTGGCTCACTGCAACCTCCGCCTCTTCGGTTCAAGTGATTCTCTTGCCTCAGCCTTCCGAGTAGCTGGGATTACAGGCGCCCGTGACCATGCCCAGCTAATTTTTTAGTAGAGATGGGGTTTCACCATGTTGGATGGGCTGGTCTCAAACTCCTGATCTCAGGTGATCCGTACATCTTGGCCTCCCAAAGTTCTGGGATTACAGGCATGAACCACTGCGTCTGGCCGATATATTACAATTTATTTACCCATTCACCTGTTGATGGACACGTGGGTTGTTTCCAGTTTATAGCATTGTGAAACAAAGCCAGTATGAACATTTGTACATGTCATAGTATGGACATGTGTTCATTTATCTGGGAGAAATGACCCAGAAATATTGCTGGGCTGTATAAGTGTTTAATTTTATGTTAGAAACAGCCAAACTTTTTTCAAAGTAGTTGTAACATTGTCCTCTTACATTCACAATATATGAGAGTAGTTTCCTCCACACCCTTGCTCACCCTGGGGATTGTCAGTCCTTTTAACATTAGCTATTCTGTTGAATGTGAAGTATCTCATTGTGGTTTTGACTTGCATTTCCCTAGTAACTAATGATGTTTAAAATCTTTTCATGTGCATACTGGCCATTTGTATGTTTTCTTTTGTGAAATGTCTGTTGAAAACTTTTACTCTTTGTTTTGGCTTGTCATCTTACTAAGTTATAAGGTTCCTTATATTTTCCAGGTGCGAGTCCTTTGTCAGATACATGTATTATAAATATTTTCTCTCAGCCTGTGATTTTTCTTTTTCTTTTCTATTTATTTATTTATTTATTTATTTTTTAGGAAGAGTCTCACTTTGTCACCCAGGCTGGAGTGCAGTGGCACCATCTTGGCTCACTGCAACCTGTAGCTCCCGGGTTCCAGTGATTCTCATGCCTCAGCCTCCTGCTTTTCATTTTATAATGTTTTTTGAAAAGCAAATTTTCACTTTTGATGAAATTTATCATTTTGTTATTTATGTTTTATAAACTATAAACCTGTTGTTTTGTTTTAAAGAAATCTTTGCTAATCCTAGGGTGTTGATGATTTTCTCCTATTTTTTAAAGAAGTTTTATAATTTTAGCTTTTACATTTAAGTCTATGGTCTATTTTGAGTTAATTTTTGCATAAAGTTTGAGGTAAGGCTCCTGCTCCTCTCCCCCACACCGGATGTCTACTTGTTCAAGAAACATTTACTGAAAAGACGATTTTTTTACTTATTAAATAGCCTTGACACCTTTGTCAAAACCAGTTGTCCATAGATGTGTGAATCTATTTCTGGGTTCTCTGTTTTGTTTCACTGATCTTTGTGTCTAACCTTATACCAATTCATTCTGAAATACTTTCCAGATTACTATAGCATTTTAATAAAATTTTGATTGAATAGTTTAAGCCCTCGGACTTTTTTCCTTTTAAGTATATCAACTTGGAGAGGATTGATTCATATTTGTGTTTCATTTTTTCATTTTTCAAAATTATGTTTCAAATTGACATAATAATTATATGTATATATGGGGTGCATAGTGATGTTCTTTTTTTAAAAA
This sequence comes from Homo sapiens, assembly GCF_000001405.40. Taxonomy (NCBI): domain Eukaryota; kingdom Metazoa; phylum Chordata; class Mammalia; order Primates; family Hominidae; genus Homo; species Homo sapiens. The sequence continues at coordinate 25,996,700 of NC_000006.12, forward strand.
ATATTTATTTATGTATTTATTTATTTTTGAAACAGAGCCTTGCTCTGTTACCCAGGCTGGAGTGCAGTGGCGCGATTTCGGCTCACTGCAACCTCCGCCTCCTGGGTTCAAGCAATTCTCTTGCCTCAGCCTCCTGAGTAGCTGGGATTACAGGCACATGCCACCACGCCTGGCTGATTTTTGTATTTTTAGTAGGGATGGAGTTTCACTATGTTGGCCAGACTGGTCTCTAACTCCTGACCTCAAGTGATCTGCTTACCTTGGCCTCCCAAAGTGCTGGGATTACAGGTGTGAGCCACTGCGCCCAGCCCATAGTGTTATTTTTATACATACTGTGTATAGTGATCAGATCAGGGTAATTAATTAGAATATCCATTATTTCAAGCATTTCTCATTTCTTTGTGTTGGAAACATTCAATGTCCTCTTTTCTAGCTCTTTGAAATTATTTATTACTGTTAACTATTGCCATTCTGTAGTACAAATAGAACACTAGAACTGATTGCTCTTATCTAGCTGTAACTTATTTTAACGAATCTCTCTTTATCATCTCTTTCCCCTACCATTCCCAGCCTCTAGTAATCTCTGTTGTACTTTTTACTTCAATGAGATAAACTTATTTACTTAGTTAGCTAGCTTCTGCATATAAGTGAGAACATGTGGTGTTTAACTTTCTGTTTCTGGCTTATTTCACTTAATGTAGTATCCTGCAATTCCATCCATGTTGCTACAAATGACAGGATTTCATCCTGTCATGAACAAACAAAAATTTGCCAAAACAAAAATTACCTTAGTTATCACATTTCTTTTATTGACATAATTCATAATCATCAGAATCATCTGACTTGTACATCATTGTATCAGTTGGTTTTATGCTCAAGATGTTGTATTGGTTCATTATTGTCTTAATATCCCAACCAACCCAATCTAGACATAAATGCTGGCCCCTGTGACATGGCAGGAAAGGGAGACAGGCCTGGGCCAAGCATAGTGATAGCAATGCACCTGTGTTTGAAGCTGTTAAATATTTGCTACAGTCGTATTCCTAGACTCAAAATTAGATTCTTGTTAAGTCCTACTTGTCAGTGTCTATGGCTGTGTGAGTTCTGGTTAGTAGAAGGTGGGCAAAAGTGATGTGTATTCTTCCATAACTGGTCCATAACCACCTACCACTCACAATACTCCATGCCTTTTTTTCTCTTCAGGCTCCTTGGATTAGAGACCATCCTGAGGACATCCTTGGGAGCCATGTGCTGAAGATGGCCAAGCCACAGGATGAAAGGAGCTGCATCTTTGAGTCACCACTGGAGAAAGGTCTCTCTAAATGGATTTGCAGAGACGTCTTCTCGAATACTCCCCTTCTAAGTTCCACTTGTAATCCACTTCTTCTATTCTCCCAGCAATCAATGTGGTTTGGGGAAATTCCAGAATCTCATAATACCTTGGTCATGGGTAAATAAGGAAAGGACCTTTACATACATGTGATGCAAAGCAGATCAAAACAAGCAGAGCAGCCTAAGAGCAGCAAGACCCCAAAGGATAAGGGAAGTCCTGCAGAAGAGCAGAGCGGTGCTGCAAAGGCAGGCAGGTAAGGTAAGCAGACAGGGCCATCAGGATGGATCCTTTGGGCATGCCAGCATCCACCAGGGACTGGTAGAGCTATTTAGAGAAACTGATAAAAAGCTCTGCCAACTACAGTCACAAAAGATGGAGCTCAGAATGATGAGTAGATGCCTAAAACATCTCCATTTTGTTGATGAAGAAAGTAAAGTTTATAGAGCTTAGATTATTTGCTTTTGTACCTAGCACAGTACTTAGTTTATAGTAGATGCACAATAAGTATTTGTTTAATGAGTGAATGAGTCACTAGCCTAAGACCTTTAATATAACATGCTTAAACCTGCTACCAGGGATTGGGAACTCACCTATTTAGTAGTGAGTAGAGGGGTGTGGTACTGGTACTTAAGACAGATGCATTGTGGTTGGGTATGGTGTGTTTTTGTTTTTGTTTTGAGACAGGTTCTCCCTCTGTTGCCCAGGCTGAGATGCAGTGGCATTATCATGGCTCACTGCAGCCTTAACCTCCCGGGGCTCAAGCGATCCTCCCACCTCAGCCTCTGAGTAGCTGGGACCACAGGTACGCATCACCGTGCCTGGCTAATTTTGTTTTTTGTTTGTTTGTTTTGTAGGGACGGGATTTTGCCATGTTGCCCAGGTTGGTCTCGAACTCCTGGGCTCAAGCTACACCCGCCCGCCTCGGCCTCCCAAAGTTGTAGGATTAAGGTGTGAGCCACTGTGTCCAGCAGATATAATGTTTTTAAAAGTTTGAGAGTTAATATGCTCTCTGGTGTGCCCTAGGTCCCACTACTCCTATTGCCTTAAAACTCACGCAGTACACATTTGTCTTCCATGGGCTTCAGTTGTAAGAGAACCCTTTCTACTCTTTGCTGTTCACAAGTCTCCTTTTAAACAGAGCTTGTTCCCAATGCTGTTTTGTTTTGCCCTCTGCCATGTTCTTCCGGCCATCACCTCCTGTGGGGAAAAGAGAGAGAGATCACATTGTTACTGTGTCTGTGTAGAAAGAAGTAGACATAGGAGACTCCATTTTGTTCTGTACTAAGAAAAATTCTTCTGCCTTGAGATGCTGTTAATCTAACCCTAGCCCCAACCCTGTGCTCCCTGAGACATATGCTGTGTCAACTCAGGGTTAAATGGATTAAGGGCTGTGCAAGATGTGCTTTGTTAAAGAAATGCTTGAAGGCAGCATGCTCGTTAAGAGTCATCTCCACTCCCTAATCTCAAGTACTCAGGGACACAAAACACTGAGGAAGGCCACAGGGACCTCTGCCTAGGAAAGCCAGGTATTGTCCAAGGTTTCTCCCCATGTGATAGTCTGAAATGTGGCCTCGTGGGAAGGGAAAGACCTGACCGTCCCCCAGCCCGACACCCGTAAAGGGTCTGTGCTGAGGAGGATTAGTAAAAGAGGAAGGAACGCCTCTTTGCAGTTGAGACAAGAGGAAGGCATCTGTCTCCTGCTCGTCCCTGGGCAATGGAATGTCTCAGTGTAAAACCCGATTGTATATTCCATCTACTGAGATAGGGGAAAACTGCCTTAGGGCTGGAGGTGGGACATGCTGGCAGCAATACTGCTCTTCAAGTCATTGAGATGTTTATGTGTATGCATATCTAAAGCACAGCACTTAATTCTTTACCTTGTTTATGATGCAGAGACCTTTGTTCACGTGTTTACCTGCTGACCTTCTCTCCACTATTATCCTTTGACCCTGCCACATCCCCCTCTCCGAGAAACACCCAATAATGATCAATAAATACTAAGGGAACTCAGAGGCCGGTGGGATCCTCCGTATGCTGAACACCGGTCCCCTGGACCCCTTTTTTTCTTTCTCTATACTTTGTCTCTGTGTCTCTTTCTTTTCCAAGTCTCTCATTCCACCTAACGAGAAACAACCACAGGTGTGGAGGGGCAGCCCAACCCTTCAACCTACCTATCTTATCTCTTCCATTATCTATCCACATATGTCCTCTGTATTTTTTTGAGTAACATTTATAAGCATAAGTCCTTAGGTAGCTATGCCACTTACATAATGAACTAGAAAAGGTAACCAAACAGAATAGGGTTGTACTCAGATATACCTTCTACAAGTTTGTGTTACACATATTTACACATATTTAAAAATATATACATATTATTATTGTGCTGTGTGGTTATTAGGCAAACTCAATAAGCAGTTCTTATAAAGTATACTCAATGTAACTTTTATAAACTTACCATATTTTATAGTTATTCTGTTTTTATTAGCTGCTATAAACTACCTGGGTGTCTTGCATGAGTCATTTTATTGTAATGTTTTTGTATCTGTTGAATGAGGAGTTAGAAGGCATCATCTTTAAGGAGCTTTACAGGTACATGTCCAGGGCTCAATAATTTTATTATTATTTCCTGGACAGATAAAACCTAAGCAGGTGAAGGGGAAAGAATAAAAGTGCAGGGTGGAAGTTGCTTGAATGCTAACTGGGTCAACGATCTCCCAGAAAACCCCTGTAAAAGAAACCTAAGAACCTACATCACCAGGAGACCATTGGGACCAGTTCCTCTGGAATCCCTGAGGCCAGATAATCAGCTGAAGCTTTACATTCTGTCCCTTTCTGGTCATGACTTTCTCCACAGTCTGCTTGGTGCCTCCTCCTCTGTGACTCTAAATTCTTAGGATCAACCCCTCTTGCATATGCACATCCGCAGTGCCTGTGGGATACGGTGTGGTGTGGGGAGGAAACTCTCTTCTGCCTTAATATTTTCCTGTGTGCCCCAGGCCTTGACGGAATCCTGTCTCTCCATAATGTTGCTTTTCGAGGAGACTGATTGATTGAGATGGCGTCTCACTTTGTCGCCCAGGCTGGAATGCAGTGGCGTGATCTCGGCTCACCAACCTCCACCTCCAAGGCTCGAGTGATTCTCCCACTTAAGTCTCTTGAGTAGCTGGGACTACAGGTGCATGCCACCACGCCTGACAAATTTTTTTATTTTTTGTAGAGATGAGGTTTCGCCATGTTGACCAGGCTGGTCTCAAACTCCTGGACTCAAGTGATCTGCCCACCTCGGCCTCCCAAAGTACTGGGATTACAGGCATGAGCCAATGTGCCCGTCCTGAGGAGTTTTCTTCTGGAATTCCTGCTGGGTTTTTGTAGTCAGTCCTCTCCCCATTTCCCACATTGGCTCTTGCAGACCTTCCTTTTCCCCATTTCTATTTGCTACCATGTCAGACATGACTTTTGCCATAGGATCTCTATTCTACTATAGAGGAAACCAAAGCCATCAGTAGAAATTTCACTAACATGGAATCAGATTTATAGAAGAAAGGGGGAGGAAAGTTTTGCCTTAACACCTGGAAGGGTTTCGTTTCTTTTAGTAGCTGGGAGACAGAAACATAAGAAAGTAGCTTAGTAAGCTTTCTGCTGTTCAACTGATGATGTGTGAGCTGTCAGTAGTTCAAACTAGTCATTATCTTTATGAATTAATTATGTAATAACTTAAACAATGTCATAAACCTTCAAATCAGTTTAAGTCTAAATGTGTCATATTTAATAACAAGAGCAAGAAACATACGTTATGATGAAGAGCTCTTATATTTTCTTTGGATAAAAGTCAGTAGGCGGGGCGCGGTGGCTCATGCCTGTGATCCTAGCACTTTGGGAGGCTGAGGTGGGCAGATCATGAGGTCAGGAGATCGAGACCATCCCGGCTAACACGGTGAAACCCTGTCTCTACTAAAAATACAAAAAATTAGCTGGGCGTGGTGGCGGGCGCCTGTGGTCCCAGCTACTCGGGAGGTTGAGGCAGGAGAATGGCGTGAATCCGGGAGGCGGAGGTTGCAGTGAGCCGAGATTGTGCCACTGCATTCCAGCCTGGGCGACAGAGCAAGACTCCGTCTCAGAAAAAGAAAAAAAAAAAAAGTCAGTAAAATTTAAGAGAAAAATGCATTTGCTTTGGGACTTTTAATATTTAGTCTACAAATCTAGCCACCATAGAAATCTGCTGATTAAATACGGGTTCTGTTAAAATGGAAACATGCATTTTGGGGGAAAAAAGAGGGAGTGTTTTAGTGATTTTGTTTTTTACACTTGTTTATAATAAAATTTTAAGCAATCTTGAGGGGAACATTTTATTTCTACTTGTAACTGCATAAAGTTATGAGATAAAGTTACAAGCTATATCACATACAGTTTGTAGCTTTATAAATTATGAAATTCTAACAGAATAAATATGCTAATATGATGAAAATGTCATAAATTACATTAGAATATATTTTAATAAACCAATTCAGAAGGAGCCAATACCCAATTTCAAAATCATATTAATTGTAAAATTAATTAGGGCAGCCAAAATATTCTGGAATTCTTTCTAATAAAACAAATGAGTGTAAATACAGTCGTACTGACAAATCTGAAGAATTATGCAGCATAAAAAGTGATTATCCCAGCACTTTGGGAGGCCAAGGTGGGCAGATCATGAGGTCAGGAGTTGGAGACCAGCCTGACCAACATGGTGAAACCCCGTCTTTACTAAAAATACAAAAATTAGCCGGGCTTGGTGGTGCACACCTGTAATCCCAGCTGCTCAGGAGGCTAAGGCAGGAGAACTGCTTGAATCCAGGAGGTGGAAGTTGCAGTAAGCCAAGATCACGCCACTGCACTCCAGCCTGGGCGACAGAGTGTGACTCTGACTCAAAAAAAAAATAAATAAATAAAAATAAAAGTTTTAAAAAAGTGATTATTATGAACACAGAGTAATCTAGTAAAAATGGTTAAGTGAAAACAGCAAAATACAAAATTGAATATGTACTATAACAATATATGCAAAATATACTCAGATTTATAAAAATTAGAATGTAGAAAAGTAAATATAGCTCTTCATAATTTTGTTCTGAAGTTTAAAAATATATATATTTTTGAATGGATAACTTTCTTTTTCTAAATGCTTACAGTAGAGCCCACGATGGTTGTTAAAAGCCCCCAGGTTCAGCCTTCTTTAATTGTGTGGTCAGCCTGCCATCAACCCGAGGCCTCCCTCTGCTGGGCAAATTTGGGAACACATTGAGAAATCCTTACACGTAATTCCTTCTCTTCATGTTCCTGGTGAGCATTTTTCCCATTGGGTTTCCATACTCTGCCCTCTTGAAGTCCTGCACCCTGACATTGCAGTGTCATTCCTCTTCTACTGAAGTCTACAACTATTAGCTTATTGTCTCTAGCAAGTCTCCCTTTAGCTACAAATATCATTCAGAGTTTTACCTTTCAGAAACTTTCTCCATGAGCATTCTGGAGTAGACTCTAGGTGCACTAGGTGCAGTTAGAAAAAGTTCTGATTTGTTGGTGGAGCTATAGGAGGAGAGACAATGGTGGGCTGGAGAAGGGTGTCTACATGCAGAGAAACTGACTGGAAACTCAGAGAGATGATGGGGATTAAAATAATCCTATTGAATCTGCACAAAAGTGTTTTATTATAATTGATCCTGAACTATGTAAAGGTAAGCTCCAGTGAGTAGTTACAGTCTGTCCCTAAGATGGACTCTTTCTTTTTGCTTTTATTTTTATTGTATTTATTTTATTGTATTTTTTTTTTCTAAAGACAGGGTCTTGCTATGTTACCCAGGGTGGTCTCAAGTGGTCCTCCTGGCATCAAATGATCCTCCCACCTCAGCCTCCCAAAGCGCTAGGATTACAGGTGTGAGCTACCACACCCAAATGATTCTTTCTTTTCAAATACAGAGTTCAGCAGCAATTTTAAAGAAGTACTGAACTCTACTGCCTGGAAGATGGAATGGCCCTCACAATTCTTCCAGGCAAGCTCTGCACTCAGTGGTATGGACCACAAGGCAAGCCCATTAAGGGGTTAAATTACTGACAAACAATAATTTCTAAATATGAACATTTCAGGAGGAACTAAGATGGCTCCTTCTTGGAGAATAAGTTGGCCGGCTTCTCTAGTTATCAGACTATCAGATGGGGAGGAAAGAGCCCCTCTGTCCCGGTGAGACAGGACCCGCCAGCGCCCAAGCTCTAAGGCTTTCTGATGAGCAAATGGGGTTTCCATCTTTCTAGCTTCAGGACTCGTAACTACTCAGATTATTTCCTTCAATCTGGATATTCAAGACAAGAACAGTTCATGGTGTTGCGAAGGCCCAGATTTAAATCACATATGCAAAGATACTGACATTCAGTGGAGGGTCACTTAGATTATAGCCAGATGACTTTCCCTAAATTGATAGCTCAAATGGTAGTTGTGGATATTTTTGCTCTTAGTTACTTGCATAGTCACTTGCCAGAGGTAATAAAGTTTTAGTGTGGTTGTGGAAAATAATGGCCATATATTTAGGAACAAAATTTTAATGATGATTGAAAACTGAATTAGCTTTAACATGTGAATATGCTCAGGGGACATAGGACCACAGATCTCTGTTCCTTCCTATTGCCACTTCTTTCCTTTCCCTGGTAGCATGCTTCCATTACCCATTACTTCAAACACTGTTTCTGTGTCTCCAACTCCCTTGCATCATGGTCTTTTCATTATTCAGACACAGACACAGCTCGATTATGGGTAAACTTTTTTCTGTGGCTACAGAAGAGTTGAGCATGGCTGAAGCATCGTTGAGCATGACTGAAGAAAAACACCTAACCTTGAATTTTTTGATCAATATAAATTTATATCCACAGATTTTACCTGACTGATCTTCATTGCCCACCAGTCCTACAAAGTTTGCCAGATTGGTTCTGTTTCCACTTTACATACTCAGCAAATACTTATTAAGCACACACTTTGTGTTAGGCTTAAGTGTAGATATTGAAGAGGCACTGGTGAATGAGCAGAGGCTCTGCCCCCATGGGACCTGCATGCTATTTGGCAGCTCTTTCAGACATTCTCCTCTCTCAAAGCTTTGAGCCCCTCTATACCCCTATAAGCACCTACTTTCAGCTGCTCCCTCACTCCCCCCTTCATGGGGGAAATAACAGCCATCGTGGTAAAACCTCCACTGCCTGACAGAGCTATATTTACCATCTTTTCTTTAATTTTTATTTTTAATGGACACAGTTGTATATATTTATGGGGTACTATGTGATATTTTGATACATGTATAGATTGTGTAATGATCAAATCAGGAATTAGATCAGTTTTTTGTCTTTTTTTTGGTAAAAGATAATCTTTTATACTCTTTTGGTCCTGAAAAATGGAGGAGTGCCATATTAGGATTCCAACAGAAAAAGTTAAACCAAAAGAATATATGAAGGGCATATAATGAAGGGATATCTACAAAGTTGTGACAGGGCTAATGGGAAGAACAGGGGATATGAGGCAGCCCAAGATCAGCAACAGTAGTGATCCAGTGTCACCCTGTGCTGGTTATGAAGATTTAGTCTCTTCTATCTTTTCCAATACCGCTTTGCTAGCCACCTCCCCAAACCCTACCAATAGAAAGCACTGGAGGAAGACTAGAGGGCTGGAAGGATGTGAAAAGATTTCCCACTTTGTTTGTTGACATCCTCACAGAATGGGTTCTTCAACCTGGCAGTGGCAGTTGAATCCAGTAACAGCAGTTGGCTTCAGTTTGGAGATCTTCCATGCTCCTAAAATCAGCCTCATCATGCCTCTATCTACAGACATATCATCATCAGTGGTCCAGCATACACTCCTCAGAGGTCCCAGTTCTGGGGATCTCTTCAAAGAATCTTTTCCTTGTTCTCCTAAACCTGGAGGTGGTAGTTGCTTTCTGTCATTACTATCTCTGATACGTTTGTCCACTTTTCCATTTTCAGTCCTCTTATAACTAGTTAACAACCATTCCCATAAAATTCTTTGTTCAATTTCAGTGCAATTTCTAGCTCCCAGTTATACCCTGACAGACACACCTTTAAATCTGAAGAGGCAATGGGAGGGAACCTGTAACCAGAGCTAGGCCAGAGCTGGGACTGTGGAGGAAGAGCTGCCCACCAAGCAGGGGGGTGATGCAGGGAATAAGTACACTAACCTCTCTCTCCTTTGCCATCTACATTCCTGCTGGGCTGATCACTGGCCAAATCCAGCTGTTGCAAGAGGGCAGGGCTGCCCAGCTAATGCTATCTGTAGAAGCTGGGCTTCTGGGGCACAGAGCAAGTCAGAGACAGGCAGAACAGGGATGTGGGTTTGGACCAAACACTGAATAAACCAGATCAAGGATTCTTCTATCAAGACAAGTTTATATACTTGCAGCTTGATCCCATTGTTTCCCTTAGATAACTGTGCACTTGTTTTTGTCTGCCCTCTTTCCTGTGTCTACACTCTTCCTGTCTTATTCTATTTACACATAGCTCAGTCTTTTCCAATTAAAAAAAAAAAAAAAAAGCTTTCCCTCTCCCAAATCTCCATGCAGCTGCTGACTTCTCTCTTCCAAAGCCACACTGTGGGAGAGTCAGTTACACCTCCTGACCTCTGACAGGTGCAACACACTATAGTGAGGCTTCTGCCCTTGGTATTCCTCTGGCTCCATTATTTACAAGGTCACTAATGACTTCCTATTTCTAAATCCAGAGTGCCTTTTTAGTTATCTTCCTTGCCTTCTTGGCATCTCTAGATAACAATACTTGTCTCATTCTAACTTTTGTCTCTCCTTACAGCTCTTTCATTCATAATTCATTGTTATTCAGTTGGAGCCTTGATGGTGTTAGGGAGAAGCAGCATTCTGTAGTCAAAGTGTTAAGCCTCAGTTTATTAGCATGCCTATATCTTGGGGCTGGGACCGTCACAAGTGTTTATAATGATACAACTCCTCCTCCTCCTCCTTCTCCTCCTCCTCTTCCTCAAGTGTTTATAATGATACAACTCCTCCTCCTCCTTCTCCTCCTCCTCTTCCTCAAGTGTTTATAATGATACAACTCCTCCTCCTCCTCCTTCTCCTCCTCTTCCTCAAGTATTTATAATGATACAACTCCTCTTCCTCCTTCTCCTCCTCCTCAGACCTTTGCTCCTTTCCTGGCTGCACCATTTCCAATTTATTTTCATGAAGCTCTGATCCCTGTTGACTAATTTTCTTCCCTTAAGTGAGACAGAAAGCCTAGATGAGGCTGCAGTGGGAAGAATTACCTTCTCCCAGCTGGGATAAGACTCTGGCAAAATGTTTTCCCCTTGAGAGTAGGCCTTTGTTTTGAAGAAGGTTCTGGGGTGTATTTCATAATAATTCTTCTCTCCCTGCCAAAGCCACAAGAGGATCCTTCTCAGATCTTCACTGCAGGAACCTGGTGGGCTTTCTGATGCCCACAAAAGTGTGGGAGCTTCTCACTCTCATGGGCATTCACAGTTGGCCTCCAGCTTTTTGTCAGAGTTACCAATTTAAATGTTCTCAAATGTGATACTGTCTCAACTTCCAGGACATCACACACTCATGATTTTCTACTATCCTGACATTTGCAGTCTTTTTAGCAGATCTCCCTCCCTCTCCCTGCACCATGGGTATTGGTCATCTCAGGATCTGTCCCAGGCTTTCTACTCTTCATGCCCTTTGAGACAACACATGATCTGACCTGCCCTTTCAGGAAGAAATGTTCTGTCTACCTACTTGCTCCAGTTAAAAACCCTAGTGTCATCTTTGACCCTTCTCATCCCTACATCTAATCTGTTGATTCTACCTCCTAATTTTCTCTCAAACGCATCTATTTTTCTTCAATTTCAGTGCTACTCTCTTGCTCTAATTGTACATCATCTTTTTTAGAATTACTGTGACATTTTCTTGCCTCCAGTTCTGCCTCAGTCCATCCACTTCACAGCTAAATTTTGGATGTACACTTTTGAACTATTACTGTAGCAAAAGTAATATGTAATAACTGTAATGCAGAAATATAAAATATGCAATATAAAAGAAATACATGCATAAATGATCCCAACACTAAGGAAACAATATTGATCAATAATTAAATAATTGGTGGATAGTGAATGACAACATAGAGCAAAGTGTTCAGTAGGTTTTAAAAGCTGTGGGTTCAATAAATGCTCATGAAGCTTGTTCAGGGGCTTGCAAAATATGTAATTTGAATTTTTAAAGAAAAGGAATTTCAGATAAGAAAAAACATACATAACATGAAACAATACTTGTGGTGGTTTCAGGGAGGTCATGTTCTCACATTCAGGTGCCAAGGCCACCGTACATCCGGACACTGAGGCCACGGACTTGGTCTGCAACCTCCATGACAGCCTTGTAGATTTGAAACCGAACTCCAAGGAGCAGTTGTGCTGTGAGTTCCAGAGTTTGGGGACAGAGGAAACACCATTCTTTGGAAGTCTAACTTCCTTAAGAGGTGTCCCTTAGACATCTAGTGTCCGGTGTTATGGAGGTCCTTGTGCTCTGAGGAAGGAGCCCCTTGTTGATTGATGGAGCAAAATTTTTTTAAACAAGGAACTGTACCCGTATCTGGGCATGAAGCCAGAGAAATCCCTGAGGGCAGGGCCAAGGCTCTCAAAGATTTTCAGGGAGATTCCCAGCCTTTTTAAGTCTCGCCTATTCTTTTTTTTTTCTCTAACTGGCCATTTTGTATATATGGAGGTTATTGATTTTTTTGCTTTTATATCCTGATATTTTAATAACTGTTCATTTTTTAGTTATTTGAATTATCTACATTGATTATTTGAATGTTCTTTTTTTTGTTTTTTTGAGACGAAGTCTCGCTCTGTCGCCCAGGGTGGGGTGCAGTGACAGGAACTTGGCTCACTGCAACCTCTGCCTCCTGGGTTCAAGCGATTCTCCTGCCTCAGTCTCCTGATTAGCTGGGATTACAGGTGCCCGCCACCACACCCAGCTAATTTTTGTATTTTTACTAGAGATGAGGTTTCACCATGTTGGCCAGTCTGGTCTCAAACTCCTGACCTCAGGTGATCCACCCACATCGGCCTCCCAAAGTGCTGGTATTACAGACATGAGCTATTGCACTTGGGCTTTGAATTTTCTACGTATCTGACTTCTACGAAGAAAACTATAATGTATTACTCAGATAAATTAAACAGGAAAACTAAATAATGGAGGAGTATATTTACAGTTGAAGCGGTCAATATTTTAAAGGTATTAATTGTCCCCAAACTGATCTACAAAACCATTGTAATCCTAATCAGATTCCCAATAAGCTTTATTATAGAAATTGACAAACAGGGTTCAAATTTAATACACAAATCCAAGGGCCCAAAATAAACAAATCTGTTGCTTTATTAAATATCAAAACTGATAAAATGACAATAATCAGGGCAGTGTTGTCCAAAAATAGACAAACGAATGGAACAGGCTCAAACAAATATGGACATTGATTTACATCTAAAGTGGCACCATACAACAATGGTGAAAGGACTCTTGTAAATAAATGGCATGGGACAATTGTATAGCCTTTTAAACAGAAAAAGAACAAAAAGGAAAAAAAAAGAAACTTGACCCCCTACTTCACACTATACACAAAAAACAATTCCAGGGGAACTAACATGAAAAGCAAAATAAAGTTAAACATGAAAAGCAAAATAAAGTATATGGTAAAAAATTTATCTTACCCAAAAAGAGGTCTAGCCTTTGCCCTCAGCTACTGGGAGATGAATTTTAGACCCTTGAAATGTTCTCACTGATAAGTGTGTCTTTGTTTACCTGGAGGTTTTGACCACCACACAGTCAACAATGTGATTTATAATAGGAACTTTGAGCCACACAGTATCAGCTCTACCTGTGGAGGTAGACTAAAAGATCGGCCATGTGAGCAGTCAACCATGGCAGGCCATTAAAACTGCACACTGAGGCTCGGGTGAAATACAGTTCTCTTGTATACGGTTTCTACATGGTTTTAGTTCCTGTGGTCTACTGCAGTCCAAAAATAATAAACGGTAAATTTCAGAAATAAACATTCACCTAACTTTTATACAGTATATTCTTAACAATTATTCTAATTTATTGTTATTAATCTCTTACTGTGCCTAATTTATAAATTAAGCCTTATCATAGCTGTGTCTGTATAGGAAAAAACAGCTATATAGAGTTCAGTACTATCCATGGTTTCAGACATCCACTGGAGGTCCTGGAACATATGTTTTGTGCATAAGTGGGGACTGCTCTGTACGTCATGTGTATTGTCACACATTAATGCTGGGAAAGTAATACTGTTCATATTACTGGGAGAGGACAACTGGAAGCTCATATTTGGAACTTGCCTGGATTGTGCCTATATTAGTTTCCTAGGGCTGCTGTAACAAAGAGCTAGAAGCTAGGGTGGCTTAAAACAACAAATATATTCTCTTGTAGTTCTGGAAGCTAGAAATCTGACATGAAGGTATCATTAGATCTATGCTTCCACTGAAGCCTGTAGGAAAATCCTTCCTTGACTCTTCCTAGCTTCTCGTACTTGCTGGCAACCTTTGACATTCCTTGACCTGCAGCTGCATAACCTCAGTCTCTGCCTGTGTGTGTCTGTCTTCACGTGACCACCTTAGAAGAATACTAGTTCTATTAAAAAATATATATATACTACTTCTTCTAAGTCACCAGCCCATCATACTGTACTATAACCTCATCTTAACTAATTATATCTGCAACTATCCTATTTCCAAATAAGGCCACAATTCTGAGGTACTGGGAGTTGGGACTTTAAACATATCTTCTGGGGGCAAGGGAGATCTGCATACAATTCGATCCATAATACTGCCTTGTGTGTTTCTTTTCTCAGCTGATTTTAATCTTTATTCCTTGAGTTGTTTCCCCTTTTCAACTATTACAAACAATGAATTTTGCTGTGTATGTGTCTTGGTATATATGTGCACACATATCTGCTGTTTGTATACCTCAGAGTGAAATTGTTGGGTCAAATGCTAAAATCTTTTTAAAAGTAGTTGTATAATTTTACATTGCATTGGAATGACATAATAAGCTATATATCCTATAATAAATTGTAACCATGAGGCTAACAGCTTCAGCAAGTTCTGTGAGTCCTTTTAGCAAATTACTAACCTAAGGTTGATTGGGAACCACAGACCTCCCAACTTATAATTGGTGTTAGAAGTGAGGGTAGTCTTGAGAACTAATTTCACAAGAAGGTATTATAAAATAAGATCTTCATGACCTTGAAATAGAAAATGATTTTTTAAATAAGATACAAAAAAGGTTGTGCATAAAAGGGCAGTGTGCTTAATTTGAGTACACTAAATTAATGACTTTAATGCATCATGAGATATCATTGGCTGGGTGCAGTGGTGGCTCACACCTCTAGTCCCAACACTTTGGGAGGCCAAGGTTGATGGATTGCTTGAGCTCAGGAGTTTGAGACCAACTTGGGCAACAGCACCATCTCTACAAAAAAATACAAAGATTAGCTGGGCATGGTGGCCTGCACATGTAGTCCCACCTACTAAGGAGGATAAGATGGGAGGATCGCTTGATCCTGGGAGGTGGAGGCTGCAGTGAGCTGTGATTGTGCCACTGCACTCCAGCCTCTGACAGAGTGAAGACAAGTTACAGAGGAAATACCTGCAACACATAAAATGGATAAAGGGTTCGTGAGCAAAATTTAAAAACTTAAAACAGAAAAGACAGGCCAGGTTTGGTGGCTCACACCTGTAATCTCAGCATTTTGGGAGGCCGAGGCAGGTGGATCACCTGAGGTCAGGAGTTTGAGACCAGCCTGGCCAACATGGTGAAACCCCGTCTCTATCAAAAATACAAAAATTAGCAGGGCGCGGTGGTATGCACCTGTAGTCCCAGCTACTTGGGAGGAGGAGAATTTCTTGAACCCAGGAGGTGGAGGTTGCAGTGAGCTGAGACAGCGCCACTGCACTCCAACCCGGGTGACACAGCAAGAGTCCACCTCAAAAAAAAAGAAAGGACAAAAAGGACAAAAAGACAGCTATCTTAAACCAACAAGAAAAAACACAATCTTTTTGGCCTAAATTGTGTTCCCCCAAAATTGATGTTGAAACTCTAACACCCAATGTGCCTATATTTGGAGATAGGGATTTTGGGACTTTATGGAGATATTTAAGGTTAAATGAGGTCATAAGAGTAGGCCAGTAGTCTGATAGATCTGGTGTCCTTATAAGAAAAGGAAGAGACATGAGGTCATTTTATGGGCATATGAAGAGGCCACATGAGGACACAAAAGGCGACTGCTGTGGTTTGAATATGAGATGACATCTCACATCTGCCATAACAGTAAGAAGGCCCTTGCCAGAGGTGGGCCCCTCGACCATAGGCTTTATAGCCACCAGAATTGTAAGAAATAAATCTGTATTCTTTATAAATTATTTGGTCTCTGGTATTCTGTTCAGCACCAAACAATCTAAGACAGCAACTATCTTCAGGTCAATAAGAGAGCCCTCACTAGAAACTGAATCTCTTGGCACCTCAATTTAGGATTTCTGGCCTGGCCTTTAGAACTGTGAGGTAATAAACTCCTTTTGTTCAAGCTACCTAGTCTAGTATTTTTGTTATGGCAGCCCAAGTCGACTGATATACAATCCAATTAAGAAAAAATGGGCAAAAGATGTAAAATAAAACCATAATGAGATAATACTGCACATCTGCCACAATGGATAACATCTTCAAAAGATTAACAATTTTAATTGGAAAAAAATATTGGGAAGTATATGGAAGAACAGGAATTCCCAGCTAGATTCCATCAACATTAGGTTTGTGAGGTTCATCCATGCTGTTTATAACTGTGGTTTTAATTTTCATTTCATCGCATGTAAACCTAATATCACCACTTTCAAAAAGAGTTTAGCATTTGACCCAACAATTCCTCTCCTAGGTATACAAACAAAATATGTATTCCTATATATACCAAGACACATACACAGGAATATTCACGGTATTGTTTATATTAGCTGAAAAAGGGAAGCAAATATGCATCAACAGTAGACACCTAAATTGTTGCACTCATAACATGGAATATTACATAACAATAAAAATGAATTAAAGTTATACACAGCAACACAGATGAATCTATTCAAACCTAATGTTCTGGAGTGAAATATGTCAGGTACATAGGATTACATTTGTTTTATTTCCATT
The DNA here is from genome assembly GCF_000001405.40 of Homo sapiens. Lineage (NCBI taxonomy): Eukaryota > Metazoa > Chordata > Mammalia > Primates > Hominidae > Homo > Homo sapiens. The sequence goes on from NC_000006.12 coordinate 26,013,269, forward strand.
TTATATGTTTCAAAAACAGGCATACTAAATTACAGCATTGGAAATCAAAATAGGGGTTATGTTTAGGGCAGATGGAGTGATAATGTGACTGGAAGCAAGCATCAGGCGGCTCTGGGAGGGTTGGCTGATTTTCTGTTTTTTTACTTGTGTGGCAATTATTATGGTGTTCACTTTGTGTTCATTTATTGAGCTTTGCATTTTTGTTTTGCTGTGGTTTTCTGTTTATATGTTATGCTTCTCAGTTTAAAGAATGTTGAAATCTTCTAATACGAAATTTTTTTTCAATGAGAAGGATTTTAAGCATCCAGAATCAATTTTAAAATCTCCAATTTGCTTTATATGTAGGTTTATGGACTGCTTAACTGCTACTCATTTTTTCCTTCATTTATCAATAGTGAAATATGAAATTAAAATAATGACTATTTGTGGCAAAATTAGGGACTATGTAGCATATTAACAACTTTATAAATAAAAGAATAAATCAACTCACCTGGGAGTTGTTACTGTCATTGACCTAATGCTATTTCCCATGGTACTCCTTGTCCCCATTGAGAGACATGAGATACTGCAGATTTATGGGTCACTTTCAACATGTCTCCTCCAGGCCTCATTTTAGAGAAGCATAACATCATGAGGTTCTATACAGGCAAGATCTAGGCTTGTGTCCTTGAACCTTGCATTCCCTCTCAAGAGCCAACCAATAATTGAATGATCCTATAAAAAACACAGAAACACAGAGAATGGTAGCAGAAAGCGGATGCTTACCAAACCTATTTTCTCTTTTTCTAAGCAAGGAATAAGAATAACTTACCTTCCTCCCTTGGAGTTAGGAGTTCTTATGTAGAAAGGGAGGCAGAGTGACCTTCAAGAGAGTTTGGAAGGGGGAGTGATAAATCAGTTTAAAGAGAGCACCCACTGATTCTTAGATAACTTATTCTACTTTCCTTCTCACTCTTTTGCATTGACCATGGCTTAGAATATATTTGAGGAAAAGCATACTGTCCATAAGGTATTATTGCCCTTTAAAGCTGTTGGGGGGTACTATGGGATGGTATTCAGTGAGAGCAGGACAGAGTCTCTACAGAATTTTCTCTGACAAAACAAAAACTAAATGACTTCCAAGGCTTCTCTAGCTCTAAGCATTCCACAATTCTTTGGAAAGCTGGAATCTAAAATTGCCTTAAAATTAAAAAATAAGAACAGTTAGGGTGTACAGTCTTTACCATATTTATATAGAATCATCAGTCTTCAGTGTGATACTGTGCTTGAACCAACAGAAGGACTGATGAAACAGAAGACAAAGTCCAGGTCTGGCGCCATGGCTCACACCTGTAATCCCAGCACTTCGGGAGGCCGAGGTGGCCAGATCACTTGAGGCCAGGAGTTTGAGACCAGTCTGGCCAACATGGTGAAACCCCATCTCTCCTAAAAATACAAAAATTAGCCAGGCCTGGTGGCAGGTGCCTGTAATCCCAGCTACTCGGGAGACCAGAGGCATGAGAATCGCTTGAACTCAGGAGGCAAAGGTTGCAACTGAGGTCATGGCACTGTACTCCACCATGGGTGACAGAGTAAGACTCTGTCTAAATAAATAAATAAATAAATAAAATAATAAAATACAACCTAAAACCTAGCAATCTCAGCCCTGGAATTCTATTCAATTGCACCATGTTCAGCAGTGGTAACTGGAAACATCAATGCTTATCAATAAGAAATGGATGAATAACTTATGCTATTCCATGTGAAGGATTTCTTTTTTCATGACAGGGTTTTAGAAAAGTTTGGTTAAGAGAAAAGCAACATGCAGAAGTGTATATAACATCGTTGTAAAAAATTTTTATTATTTTTGTTTTGAGACTGGGTCTCATTCTGTCACCTAGGCTTGAGTGCAGTGGCACGATCTCTGCTCACTGCAGCCTCTACCTCCCAGGTTCCAGTCATCTTCCCACCCCAGCCTCCCAAGTAGCTGGGACTATAAGTGCGTGCCACTGGGCCTTGCTAATTTTTTGTATTTTTTGTCAAGATGGGATTTCACCATGTTGCCCAGGCTGGTCTTGAACTCCTGAGCTCAAGTAATCTGCCCATCTGGCTTCCTAAAGTGCTGGGATTACAGATGTGAGCCACTGCGTCCAGGCTTTGTTTTTTAAATTAATAACCCTAATCAAAAGACAAAACAATTATGCATACAAGGCCAGGCACAGTGACCGTAATCCCAACACTTTGGGAGGTCGATGATCACTTGAGGCCATTTCTAGACCAGCTTGGACAACATGGTGTGACTGTCTCCACAAAAAATAAAAACAAAAAGCCCGGCTTGGTGGTGCGTGCATGCAATCCCAGCTACTCCGGATGCTGAGGCTGCAGGATAGCCTGAGCCCAGGAGTTGGAGGTTACAGTGTGCTGTGATTATGCCACTGCAGTCCAGTCTGGGCAACAGACTGAGACCCAGTCTCAAAAGATAACGTGTTTTTTTTTTTTTTTTTTTAAAAAAACAAAACCACAAGTATGCATGTATATAGATAGGTGTATGTAAAATACTTAGTTCAAAGAAAAACATGTATATTTCTCACAAAAATAGGTGAGAATTTTTGTTTTAAAGGATAAACCTAGGTAGCTACATATTAGTTTGAGGAAGGGGGAACAGGGATGTGATGTGCCTGTATCCCTGACTTTAGACGATGGAAGGAGCTAAGCAAAACAATTGAAAAAAGACCGTTTGAAAAATACAACTGATTATTAACTCATATGCACACACGCAAAAATAAACTTTTAGAATTGAACTGCACTAAGTAAAAGTGAGTAAACTTGGCTCATCATATACTCTTGTCAGATGTAAACAAAAAAGTCCAATTATTAAAATCTGACCCCCAGAATTAAAATTGCAAAAGCTTAAAGGGGCAGTTCTGAGAAAAGGATCTTCAGTTTTGAATGTGTGGGCTCCACCAGGGTTGAAAATCCTGCACGACTGATGAAACACGATCCAGTTAAGCACAGTAATTTTCAAATATCCAATCAGGGCGCTTCCGTTTCTAAAAACAGAGAAACCGAGCAAGGGATTTTGGGTTGCAGCTCTAAAACTCCAACAAACTAAGCTCCTTTGTCCTGACAAGGGCCTAAACCAAGTCGACAGCCCGTAAGTGCACCCATGGTAAGGCGCTGCACAAAGAAAGCATTTTGCGTTTCAAAGCTTTGTCATGATGGCGCTGCAGAAAGCAAGCGAGCTAGGCCTACCTGGCGGGGCTTTCAGAGGACGCCAACGTGGGCGCCAGCCACGCCAGCAGGGTCACCGTCCTTCCCAAGGACAGACAGCTCGCTAGCCACTCCTGTGGAGAGGGCGTGGTTAAGCCATATATTTTGCCAACTATCCCAGAAGCATTTCTTAGGACCACCCAATTTCGGAAAATGCTACTTTAGCAATATTGACCCCAAAACGCAATATCCCCACTTTAACCTTGTATAATAAAAAGCCTCAAGCCTGGGACTGGGCTTCAACCTTGGTTCAATACGGTTATGACTAATTAGCTTGGAGTCGTGAGACGCGGGACTTCCGGCTACCGAAACCCAGGTGACTTTAAAACTCGATTTTAACTCGGTGCATTTGAATTCACCTTGCTATCTTTGATAGATTGAGTAGTAAATTCTTACTAGATGAGGCTATGTTAAAGTTCTATCGACTCTCCAAGTGATTCTAATATAATTGAGGGCGTGTTGCATTTGCTTGGGGGATTTCATCTGTGTACTACAGCTCTTTTCCTGAAATGCGTAGGTGGCTCTTAAAAGAGCCGTTGGGTTACTAGAAGAAACTTCTAACTGAATTTACTTTTTCTTGGGTGCCGCTTTCTTGGGTTTGGCAGTCTTTGGCTTCGTCACCCTAGCCTTGGCCGCCTTGGGTTTTACAGCCTTAGCTTTAGCAGGGCTTTTAGCTACTTTCTTGGGCTTTACAGTTTTGGGTTTTTTTGGATTCTTGGAGGATTTCCTTGTTGCCGCAGGCTTTTTAGCCTTTTTCGGAGTCTTGACGCTCTTTTTGCTAGCCCCCGTGGCCTTTTTGAGCTTTTTAGATGCACCCGTTGCCTTAGTTTTTGTAGCCACCTTTGAGGCGCCGGGCTTGGTTTCCACGGAGGACGCCTTCTTGTTGAGCTTGAAGGAACCCGAGGCTCCGGTACCCTTTGTCTGCACCAACGTTCCCTTGCTTACCAGGCTCTTAATGCCCAGCTTAATGCGGCTGTTGTTCTTCTCCACGTCGTAGCCTGCGGCCGCCAGCGCCTTTTTAAGAGCTGCCAACGACACACCACCACGCTCCTTAGAGGAGGAAGCAGCCTGCACGATCAGCTCTGACACGGAAGGGCCAGCGGGTTTTTTCTTGGAGGCTGCTGCAGCCTTAGCAGGTTTCTTTGCCTTCTTGCCAGCTAAAGGTTTCTCAGGAGCAGCAGAAGCGGCGGGGGCGGGAGGCACTGTTTCAGACATGGTGACTAACACAGCACACCAAATAAAGTGGTATAAACCTGACGAAGCAGGATGCGAAAAAAAGGCCCCAACGCAGCCTATTTATAGGGTGGGACTGCGCCGTGATTGGTGCCCGTCAGTGCCCGCCCCTCGCGCCCTAGCGCCCCCTGCGCGCTGCCGAGGGTTTCGCCCAGTCTCAGAAGGCAGCTGGGGGCCTCTAGGGCCTATGGTCCTGCTCCCCTCAACGCAAGCAAACACACAGAAAAAGCCGCTCTGGTTGCCTCATTGTGAAGGAAATTGTAGGCAGACTGCCGCCCAGTAACATCAGAGGGTACCGCTTCTCTCTCAAAAAGCAGCTCTTTTTTAGGGAGTAGGTTGAGAGGGGGCGGTTTACAAATGCAGTGCCACAAGCATCCGAGGAGTTTTATTAGAAATTTTTAGAGGTCCGTTGCCAGAGATGTTAGTTTTTAATTTGCAAGAAATGTAAAATACAGTGTTTTGAATAGTTGCGGAGGGAGAGAAAAGTGCGAGTTTTAGGCCGTGTTAGGGCCAGTTGTCATCAACTCTATTACATTTTCTGGCAATGTTTTAGAGCGATGTGTCTCGCGAATACCTTTCACGTCAAACAAGAATGAATCGTAGACAACACCAGAATTCACAAACGCTGCAATTAATACTCAAACTGCAAGTGTGGAAACGTTTCTGCACTTGCAACTTATTTCCACAGTCCAATGTGGGATGCACTTCAGGAATTTCCAATGCCCTTTTCATCCATACAACATGCCCCAAATTGGTATTAAGGTTTACAACCTGTGTTCCATGTCAGCACACGCAATCAGCGCACCATGACATGGTCAACTCATTCTTTTATTCAACAAATATTTATGGGCCTCACAAGCCTGCGAAAGGCGTTAAATGCTGGGTCCACGAAACCGGTTCCCTGACAGGCATTCTGCTGGGGAGTTAAGTCCACTTAGTGTGAAAGCAAACACGGGTGATAAATGCAAGCACACCCTGGGGATAAGATTTTATGGTAACAACCCTTTAACTTGTTTGTGGCTGTTAAGTGCATTTCAAAGTATCAATAAGCTAAAACGATCTCACATTGCCAATCAGAGACTCAGCTAATGGGAGAATAAAAAACTATTAAATCGACATCCACTTCTACAATCCTATTCTGGATAACCCCCTAGCACAGCACAGCAGAGAGTGAGGTAATGCGGTCTTATTTCCGCTCCTGCTGTGGTAGTTTTCAAATAAGTCCGAACCATGCTAAGTAACCTGAGCTTTTCCCCTTTTTGTTCAAACAACGTGCCAACCAAATAATGGAGTGGTCCCAGATAAGTATTGTACCCATCTTCTGCACCAGTGCTTCCTACGTCCCATTTTATTGAGAAGGCATGCATTCAAATATTTCACGTAATTTCTAAAAATTTGGAAAATAACGGTTGGAAACTCTACATCTTGGTTTGACGGCTAGTCAGTTATGAAACACAGGTATACAAAATTGGAAGATTTTTGTAAGTAAACCCTTTGTGAAAGATATAAACCTTTCTTAGTGTAATAAGCGAGGTATCTGAAAAAACGCAACTTTTGAAAAGGAAATACTCCTAATTATCTGATTCAGGAGTTTCCACTTTAAATAATGGGTTCTGCCTCCCTTTTTTCTATTGGGTTAAACTGGTTTCAAATAAAATGGGAACGCTCCATGCAAATGAAGGATGATAGATCTGCTTTCTAAATGGCTGTTCAAGAAAATAGCCTAAACCAATCAAAAGATAGAATGTGGCCTGTCTCTTGTGAATTTAAAAAGGTCACAATCCACTTTTCAGTGTTTTGAGATTTTCAAAATGATTGCATTAGCTCTTGGCAATGCTAAATTATGTTCCTTGCGAACCACTATCCAGTTTCTCTTGGGCCAAGTCCACCTCCTGCTCCGCAAGAGGAACAACTCCCAGCTGGTGGTACCTGGCGGCAGTGCTGGAGAAACGCCATTTTGTGACTGGCAGAGTACACCTAGGCTTTAGAAAACAAAAGCTGCAGAACGCTGCAAGTTTAGGATTCAAAGAGCATAATCAAGAGAAAGACGTCTCATAGAAAATGTTTCTGAGTAATAGTGTAATCCTACTATGTTTGAGATGCTTTGTAGATTTCAATAACACTCCTAAGTCAATTAAAGCATTACAAAGGAATCCAATTCTTGTGAAAGGTTTCAGAAATTCCCGTAAAGGGTACATTTCCGGAGAGGAGGTGAGCAGTATTCCCTCTTTTTTTTTTTTTTTTTTTTTTTCCTAAAGAGCTGAAGGTTATACGGAATTGGGGAATTATAATACCTTTGGAATCAATGCCTTGTTTTATGGAAAATAAACACAGCCTTCAGGTTATGAAAACCAGATGTAGAAGAGGACAAGTTTAAAAAATTAAAGTCCAAGCCGGCGCAGTGGGGCTCCCCTGTAATCCCAGCTACTCTGGATGCTGAGGCGGGAAGATCCTTTGAGCCCAAGTTTAAGACCAGCTTGGGGAACAAAGCAAAAGTAAAATAAAATAATAGTAGTAATAAAATACCACTTAAATAATCATCTGTAGAGTTGGAATAGAATATAGTAGCCGGTGAAACTGCACGATTGTTGCTGGCTTAAAGATAGACCAATCAGAGTGTGTAACGTCATATTTAGCGTCTTCTATCATCCAATCACTGCACTTTACACACTATAAATAGAGCAGCTCATGGGCGTATTTGCGCTAGTGTTGGGTGTTCCGCTGTGCTGTTTTTCCGTCATGGCTCGCACTAAGCAAACTGCTCGGAAGTCTACTGGTGGCAAGGCGCCACGCAAACAGTTGGCCACTAAGGCAGCCCGCAAAAGCGCTCCGGCCACCGGCGGCGTGAAAAAGCCCCACCGCTACCGGCCGGGCACCGTGGCTCTGCGCGAGATCCGCCGTTATCAGAAGTCCACTGAACTGCTTATTCGTAAACTACCTTTCCAGCGCCTGGTGCGCGAGATTGCGCAGGACTTTAAAACAGACCTGCGTTTCCAGAGCTCCGCTGTGATGGCTCTGCAGGAGGCGTGCGAGGCCTACTTGGTAGGGCTATTTGAGGACACTAACCTGTGCGCCATCCACGCCAAGCGCGTCACTATCATGCCCAAGGACATCCAGCTCGCCCGCCGCATCCGCGGAGAGAGGGCGTGATTACTGTGGTCTCTCTGACGGTCCAAGCAAAGGCTCTTTTCAGAGCCACCACCTTTTCAAGTAAAGTAGCTGTAAGAAACCAATTTAAGACAAAAGGGAATGCATTGGGAGCACTTTTCGTTTTAATGCTACTGAAGGCTTCAAAACCAATCGATTTCGGCCGGTCGCGGTGACTCACGCCTGTAATTCAAGCACTTTGAGAGGCTGAGGCGGGCGGATTACCAGAAATCAGGAGTTCGGGATCAGCCTGGCCAACATGGCCGAATCCCGTCTCTACGAAAAATACAAAAACACGCCGGGCGCGACGGCGAGCGCTTGTAATCCCAGCTACACTCTGAAGGCTGAGGCAGGAGAAACACTTGAACCTGAGAGGCAGAGGTTTCAGTGAATCGAGATGGCTCTAATGTACTCCAGTCTGGGCGACAGAGAGATTCGGTTAAAAAAAAAGTTCGACTTAAAATAATTCTGGAGTCAGAATGGGTTTACATTTAATTCTTAACCCAGTTCCTCAAAGCCTGTAGCTCTGTTAAGAAAATAAAGGCCATTGGTCAAGCCTGCTTGGTCCCACCCTCATCTCCCCACCCTCCCCCAATCGCTGCTCCCGCCATTTCCTGGGGCTTGGAGGAGGGGTTAAAGGAGCGGACTGTAGGCGTCACATTTCCCGCCTGCGCGCTTTTCAGTCTCAGTGTCCGCTGGAGGTGGGGGCAGGGGTAACGTAGATATATAAAGATCGGTTTCCTATTCTCTCACTTGCTCTTGGTTCACTTCTTGGGAAGTCATGTCTGGACGTGGTAAGGGCGGGAAGGGTTTGGGTAAGGGGGGTGCCAAGCGCCACCGCAAGGTGTTGCGTGACAACATCCAGGGCATCACCAAGCCGGCCATCCGGCGTCTGGCCCGGCGTGGCGGTGTGAAGCGGATCTCTGGTCTGATCTACGAGGAGACTCGCGGGGTGCTCAAGGTGTTTTTGGAGAACGTGATCCGTGACGCTGTCACCTATACGGAGCACGCCAAGCGCAAGACAGTCACTGCCATGGACGTGGTCTACGCGCTTAAGCGCCAGGGACGCACCCTTTATGGCTTTGGCGGTTAAGGTTGCTGATTTCTCCACAGCTTGCATTTCTGAACCAAAGGCCCTTTTCAGGGCCGCCCAACTAAACAAAAGAAGAGCTGTATCCATTAAGTCAAGAAGCTCAATGTGTAATTAAGATGAATGATACTGAGCTGACATCCTAAAAAGGAAAGATTAGGGGAACTCCAAGTTTGCCCTCCACTCACTACATATGGGTAGGGGAGCAACGATATTCCAACTCTGAAGAAAGAGTGGAAAAAAAGTAGTGTTAAAAATTTGTATTAGTTTCCAAGGGACAAAGAAGCGCTGCCCAATCAATGAGGGCCATTCGTAGCTGTCAACCAATCAGAACTGATGAGCTAATATTTCCTGAGGCAAGCCAGGGAGCCGGAGGGGAAGCTAAGAAGCTTATTGAGAAAAAACAAAAACCCTGTTTTAGGAAAAAAAAAAACCATCTTTTAGCGATTATGAAATAAAATCACAGAGACATTTAAGTATCCCTCAATCATGTACTGAGAGCAATACTAAATTTATCGCCACCAATACAGTTTTACTCTATTAAAAAGACCCTGAAAATTGAAACCCTATTCAGACTCCTGGAATACCCAGGACACTAAATTCAGGGGAGATTAAAATCTGTTTTAGAGAGAAAAGGCACCTTTTTCAGTGTTACCGCGGCCTTCAGCAGTTAACCTTTTTTTTTCCCCCTTTACGCAGAAATGGAAATTTGGGTGATAGAAATATTCCGAAATTAAATTGTGATGATGGTTGTACAACTAAGAAAACACGGTAAAATTCATTGAACTGTACCTAAAGTGGGCAAATTTTGTGGTACATTAAATATCAATAAAGCTGATTATATACATACACATATATTTTTATATATGCAGAGAGAGAAATGATGCAAGCAGGGTGGTAGGACATGAGGTTGGTAGCATAGGCAATGTTGGTCTGTGAAGGGCCACCTGTGCTAAACCTGGAAGCCTGGGGTTTGTCCAGTCAAGCCATGGTAGCCATAGTTTTAAAGGATGTTCCTGATGCAGTTATGTGTTCCAGTTAAGTACATCTAGCTTCAGAACTCAGCTGGAAAAGGGATGTGAACTTCAGGTTAGCTGATAGGGAAATATCTTACTCTCATCTGAGTAAATATTCACAAATGCCTCTCATTGTGCTCTTTTTGGTACCATTGTTATAGGACTGATTTCAGCCTCACGATGTTAGCTTCAGTGATGGATGTCTCTTTATTTTGAGGTCCTGTTTTCCACCTGACAGTTTTCATCCAGGATTTCTTGAGGAATTACACAAGTACCCAGCTTGGCTTAATTTAAAACTGACAATGGAGAGAATTCATAGCTGCATTCTGGATAGTTTCAGGAATCAGAGGAGCAAAAATGAGCCTGGTATGGAGGGTGGGTCATTTTATGTCTTTCTTAGTTGGTATTTTAAAGATATTTATTGATCTCATATGCCAGATATTGTTGAAATCATTGGGGTACATAAGTTAGAAAATTTTAATTCCCTTTCCTGAATTCCAGAGTCAATGTAGAGGGGTGTGTGGATATCGATTACCCATATGGGAGGTATAGTCGTTGTAACAATAAGCCACGACTAGCTCCTGTTACGTTTTGCCTGGCCTTTCATAGCATTGCTATGTTCATAGCATTGCTGATATGTCATACTCATCTTAGGCATACCCACCACCACCTTGGGCCTTCTTCAGTCCTAACACTCATGCAGTCCTTGTTCAGAACAAAGATAATGTTGCTTAATTTGCAACCCCTAGACTATCCCCCAGATTTTCTAAAGAGAAACTGCACGCTGATTGCTTCAGGCAGTGGCAGGTCAAGGAATGAGATGGGGAATTGATTGTGTTAGCATTCTGGTGGGCTTAGTGGAGAGCCTGGAGACTTACATAGAAAATTCACACATCCTTTCATTCAACAAACCTCCATAAACTACCTGTTAAACGTCAGCCCTGTTCAAGGTGCTAGGGATACTTCTGGGACAAAACAAAGTCCCTACCTTCAAAAAATATATTCCAGTTGGGGGAGAGAGAACAAACACAAAATAAAATATATCTAGTTATATGTATTTTTTGTTAAATATATTATTACATATATAATTCTAGGTGGGGAAATGTTATATATATATGCTATTGAGGATAGTCAACTATATATATATATGCTAAATGAGCAGAAAAGCTTATTTTACAAGGGATGATTATGGGAGGTCTCTTTCGTAAGGTTGGTATTTGAGGAGAGGCTTGAATGAAATGAGATCTAGAGCCATTCAGATATCCAGGACAAGACCCTTCTAGGGAGAAAGAATAGATATAAAGGTGCTGATGCTGGAAATGCTTGGTCCATTCCAGAAACAGCAAGGTCAGTGAAGAGAAAGAACTGCGAAGAGAATGAGGTCAGAGGGTAGCCAGAGTACAGATCTAGTAGGTTGAGCAGCTCATCCTAGTTTGCTTGGAACTTTCTAAGTTTCAGCACTGTAAGTCTTACACCCTGAGAAACCCCTGAGAGTCAGGCAAACTGTAATGGTTGGTCATCTTACTTGTAGGCTATGATAAGGATGCTGGTTTTTATTATGAAGGTGATGGAAAGCCAGTGGAATCTTTTCAGCAGACAGTGGACATAATACCTTCAAAAAGGATCACTGTTGATGCTGGATAGAGAAAAAACTGTATGACAGGGGGATTAAAAGTGAAAACAAAGACCAGTTTGGGGTCACTGTGGTCATTCAGACAAACCGCCATGGCAGCTTGCTCCTAGAGAAGCAGCAAAGAAAACAATGAAAGGTATTCTGATTGATTTTCAACAGAGCTGACTGCATTGGGTGAAAGTTGTAAGAAGCTCAGGACAAACAATATTGCACAATTCCTGGCCCAAGCTGCTTGAAGAATGGAGTTCTATTGATTGACATGACAAATATCAGAGGAAGAACAGACTTGGTGTTTACGTATAAACATATTTTGGACAAGTTCGAGATGCCCATTATTCAATTAGATACATCAAATATGCAGTTGTATATGAGTCTAGAGATTTAAGGTCAGGGAGATGGTTTATAATTGCAAACACTTATTTAGAGACACAGTTTCACTCTTGTCTCCCAGGCCTAAGTGTAATAGCGCGATCTCAACTCACTGCAACTTCTGCCTCCCGAGTTCAAGCTATTCTCCTGTCTCACCCTCCCGAGTAGCTTGGATTACAGTCGCCCGCAACCATGCCCAGCTAATTTTTTTTTTTTTTTTAGTAGAGACGGGGTTTCACAATATTGGCCAGGCTGGTCTCGAACCCCTGACCCCAGGTGATCCACCAGGCTCAGCTTTCCAAAGTGCCGGGATTACAGGCGTGAGCCACCTTGCCGGGCCTATATTTCTTAAGCTCTATGTTTCGTTCTGAAGCTTGAAGTGGGTGGAAGCAAACTGATAGAATTTGGAGAGGTGGTTAGGCATCCCGGGAATGAGAAACAGCCCGAAGCTGCCACTATCACAGGCTTTGGCATTGCTAGAAGTTAACGTGGCACTTACAGCTAGGCCGTGGTGTTCTGTTGAACAAACTATTTGACAGAGCACAGAGCATGTAAGTGGTGAGGCCAGTTGAGTTAGCCAAGAAAAGAGGAGTCCAAGAACTGAGCCAGAGTACACCAGAGTATGTAGTGGAGTACAGCTTTCTCATTCTTTAGTAGGGCTGTGTAGAGAAATACTCTATTTTATGGATGTATAGATCACTCTAGTCCTTTCTGATGAAAACTTTACAGTTGCCACTCATTTACTATTACAAACAATGCTGCACTACATTATGTTTCAGTTTTTAGCCATCTCATCTGGTCTCAGCATTTATTTATCTGCTGATGACTCACACATTTTTATCTCCAGCTCAGACCTCTCACCCGAACTCACTTATTCAACTGCCTATTCACTATATCCTCCTGTCAGGAGAAGCTTGTTAGCAAAGTAACCAGAAAACAAAGTTGATTTTTTTTGCTGAAGTAGCCATCAATATATTTGTTACTAAATCAAAGATGCTGAATATTTGGCTGACTTCTAAAAATCTGGTCACCTAACTTTGACACTTCCTAGGTCGTACAGTTTGAAACTTTCACAATTAAATCAGTTTTGGAATTTACAATTTAAGGCAGGAATAGAAGACTATTGGGTTGACAGGTACAGTGAAGATGCAAGTCATCTGAGAATCTTACATCAGAGGGGGCTTCCATCTTATAGCTGCTGCCACGGACCTCGGAGTCAGAAGAAATTTGAGTCCTTATTTATAAAACAGACTCCCTTAGTCTACTAAGTGGGAATTTACGAACTGCGTAGGCAGCCTGCTTAGGGGAGCCTCCAGCCTGAGGACTGAAAATAGCAAAGCAGCTTTAACCGCCAGTCCTACTCCAGAGAAGGGGGAGGTGACGTCACTCAGCAGGACGCCAAGCTCAACTAGAAATGGAAGTAAAGGCTTCTGGCGCTACCGGCAGGGGGCGGTTAAGGACGGCAGGTGTTACCAGGGAAGCTAAAAGTACAGCTTTTGCTGACGTTAAGTCAGATACGCCTGGGAAAACAGACCTGACACCCATTTTAATCCACCTACTCAGTTCCAGGCAGCTAGCATCTTAGGCTCTCGTACAAATAACGCACAACTCGTTTTTAAAACTAAAAAGCTGAGCTACTCATTTATCGGACTCGCGCTGCACGTTAAGTTGCTTGACATGTCAAAACTATAGCATTGAAGTTTATAGCTCACTTATCTCGGAGACCTCGTTTACTTAGCTGATTTCTGCTTTAGCAGCCACTCAGACCAAACAACCTGGTCTCTCCCAACTGGTTTATAATAGTTCTACATACTAGGCAGAATAGCCGAGTAAAGCCATTGAGATGTTACCATCCGAAAGAATACAATCACAGCTCTTTCTGAGAGGGAGTGGGCGGCCCTGAAAAGGGCCATTGGAAGAAAACTGACGAAAAGATTAACCGCCGAAGCCGTACAGAGTGCGTCCTTGACGCTTGAGCGCGTAAACCACATCCATGGCAGTGACAGTCTTGCGCTTGGCGTGCTCCGTGTAGGTCACGGCGTCCCGGATCACGTTCTCCAGAAACACCTTGAGAACGCCACGAGTCTCCTCATAAATCAAACCGGAAATTCGCTTAACCCCACCACGCCTAGCAAGGCGCCGAATGGCCGGTTTGGTGATGCCTTGGATGTTATCCCGCAGCACTTTTCGGTGACGCTTGGCACCTCCCTTACCCAAACCTTTACCGCCTTTGCCGCGACCAGACATGTCTAACCAGCTGACAACAAAAACCAGGTACGCGAAAAGAAAGCAAGCCACGAGCATTTATACACGAACATCGGACCTTATTGAGAACTGAAAGCGGGAGCGAGGATAAGGAGGCGTTGCTGCCTCACTTTTTGCTCCGCCCCTCGAGGGGCAGTGACCTAAGGACTGCGAGGGAGAACACAATAGTTTCACTTTTTAATCCCTTTAGTTTTTCCCTCCCGTTTACGACACTACTATTTGAATCTGAATTTATACCCTCGACTGAGAATTTTAATAAGGGCTTATATTAAGGGCTTTCACTAATATGCCGGAGTGGTAAACTTTTTAAGTCTTTCAAGTGCTTGAAGACATATTGACTATTCAAAGGTACTTAAAAGAGCAGGCGTGAAAAGATCACTCTGGCCTTATGTTTTCTTGAAAGCTGACCTGTTTCTTAGAAGCAGTAGGTGAAATTCTCATATGAAAGATGTTCTCACTGTAGTTTAAAAAAAGCAACATTCTTCTCAAGGATAGGAGGCTGAGGCCAAGAGAATTCTGTACAAACCTTGCACTAGCCCTTGCTGGGCGCTTCTCTACACAGTTATATATTCTAGCCTAAATCCCTTTGCTTTAGCGCATTTTTACATTTTACTAATTGTCCAATTCATTATATAAGTAGCTAACTGCTTTTTTTGGGCTTTCATTACCTTATGAGAGCACCTGTGTCACGTAAAACCTGTGTTAAATAAATGCATATACCTTTCTCCTGTTAATCCATTTTACATTAATTTAATTTGCTGGTCCAGCCAGAGCCCTAAGAGGATGGGAGTGGAGTTTTGCTATCCTTCACACTGTACTGTCTCATTCAGAAGAGGGTGATAGCTCATTGCAACCGTGCCTTCATCTGTAAATCGGGTTATGATGATACTCAGGGGACTTTTAATTAGCTAATGTGAACGAGGCATGAGAAGAGACTGTGGAAAAGAAATAAATATTACATAATATGGTTTAATTTTAGATGTTACTACTTAAAAAAATCTGCTCAGAGTTGGGATATTGTCCTGAACTCTCATTTTCGTGTTTTTACTCCCAACACTATATTGCTAGCAGCAACTATGTATGTATTAGTAAGGATTGTTTTTTTAAAATCACAGCCTGTAATAACGTACAAGGTGTTGACAGATTCCGTTTAGCTTTTCATATGTGACATGTTAAAATTGTCCGAAAATATTCCTTTGTTCTCTTTTCCAAGGTGCAATACAATAGCAGCATTCGTGCTTTCCTATAGCCAAGTCTGGAGTGTAGTTCAACTCTCCATACACGCTTCTCACTGTTGTTTTAAATTTCCTGAAAACATTCTTAAATCACTTCTATTGGAAAAACTGCAAGGGCTACTGCTAAATTTTTAAGTCTGAAAAATGCACCCCAAACTTGACTTCTTTCTCTGAGAATCTTAGCCATCTCACCCAAATCTAACAAACCAAAACTGATTTTAGACTTCAACAGCATTAGCTGTAAACTTCAGCCTGCAGCATAACATCACTTTGTTGTGACTGGGCAGGAAAAACCCTGTTAAACTGTTTCAGGCGCGTCCGTGTGAAGAGACCATCAAACAGGGTTTGTGTGAGCAACAAGGCTGTTTATTCTACCTGGGTGCAGGCGGGCTGAGTCCGAAAAGAGTCAGCGAAGGGAGATGGGGTGGGTCCGTTTTATAAGATTTGGGTAGATAGTGGAAAATTACAGTCAAAGGGGGTTGTTCTCTGGCTGGCAGGGGTGGGGGTCACAAGGTGCTCAGTGGGGGAGCTTTTGAGTCAGGATGAGCCAGGAGAAGGAATTTCACAAGGTAATGTCATCAGTTAAGGCAGGAACAGGGCATTTTCACTTCTTTTGTGTTTCTTCAGTTACTTCAGGCCATCTAGAGGCATACGTGCAGTTCACAGGGGATATGATGGCTTAGCTTCGGCTCAGAGGCCTGACAAACTGAACAACTGGGAACAAACAACATTTAATGCACACAATCTCTATCTTGTAGGGAGGCAAAATTTTACCTCTACTCTGTTAGGGTCTCCAGCTGGACCTGATAATTCATTTGCCATAAAACAGATTAGCAGAATGAAAGCATACAAATGTATTTAATGTAAATTTTATGGGACAGGAGAACCCTCATAAAAAAGTGAAGCCCCAAAGAAATGGCAAAAGCTAAATGCTTTCACATTAAGTTAAAGAGAGGCAATTGTGGGAAAGTAAACCATATGAGGAGATTAAAGGAATATATGATTATTTTAACAAGGTTTGTTTGTGTATAGAAGTCTCTCGGCTATGACTCCCTGCTGTGTTTGTGCAGAATTATCTCATCTATGCCTCTGGGCTGAAGAATATGTCTTTTCACCTGGTACAAGCAGAGCATTTTTCACATTGGAACTTTTATCTCCTGTTTTCAGAAAGAAAAGTTTAGAAGAATTCCCTTCTTGAATGCTGTTTTTGAAGTGCCTTTAGCTCAAAAGAATCCTGATCCCACAGTGGTCTATTTTTGGATGGTATATTCTGCAAACAACACCCCCTTTTTGTCTCCAATCTCTCCTTAATTACTCCTCTAATACAAAACAATAGATTCTTAATATAATATTAAAATGTTTGCACTACTCACAAATACAAAATGCTCAATAAATTTTCTTTCACAAATGAGAATTTCATCCATTCGTTAATTTTTAAATATCAACTGTCAATGAAGAGTTACAGCAGAATCCTTGTTCTGTTGAGGAGGGGGCAAAGAATGTAAGTGAGGGAGTGGAAAATAGCTGGACTGAGCTACCACCCCCTGTCCATCTGATCCTCAGACAGTAATGTAACTTTATTCTTTTATGCTATTCGTCAGACCCAGTACCTCCAACACATTTGTTTCCTACAGATAAAGAAAATATAAAAAGTCAAGCGCTATACATCAGATCCAGCACATCTATAACTGGAAAAAAAATACTTGACCTTCAGCTGGGCCCAGAGCTTGTGAGTAGTCACCTTGGCATAGACCAAGTCCATTGGCATCTCTAACATATCTATACTGTCTGTGGATAACAAATGTCTATGCCAGTTAGAGTCGCTTGTATAAGAGTCAAGAAAAACGAATCATAAAACAAACTGACATATTCATTTTCATAATTTTTAAAATGCAAATATTACTTTATAAACCAAAAACTGCCTTATTAAAAGCTGGAACACAAATGAATTTAAGTAAACGATGCAATTCAAATTTAATCTTTTGTGTGTGTGATTTGTTGTTGTTGACAGTTGGTCAGGCGATTTTAGTATGGTACATCAGTTTACATTCTAGATGTAGGCCAAGAAAGAATGTTAGGTGTAAAAAATATTTATTGTAAAAAAGAATGTGAGGCAAGGTCTTTGGAATTAGTAGTTTTAATGTTGGACATTCTGTGGTTGTTCTAAAGTTAGTCTGTAAAATGTGATGTAAAAGCTATATGATAAAAAAATACAAAATATAAAAATTTTAAAGTAAATATTACTTTTGTTTGCGTACAGTATTCCCATCCCTCTAAATTTTCTTCCAGTACTCAATCCCCAACCTCCAAAACCGAAAAGCAAGATCAACAGAAAGAAAATGGTTAAAACTTGTAAATTCTAGATTTTAATAACTACAGGCAAGAAGTACTGAAAAAAAGAATGTGGCATGTCATGGTGCATAGTCCTAGAGGAGACAAAGCAATGCAACCAGATAGACTATTTACAAGCAAAGCCACACATATAAAAATTCATATATAAGGGATTAAATTATGCTTGGTCGACAGACTGACAGATTTAAAGTGGGTAGCTAGCTATGGATAAAATGAGAGCCAGTTAGATCCCTGCCTCACATTTTGCACCAGAATAAATTTCAGGTTAATGTTAACAGCCAAATGAATTTAACAGTATATATATATATATATATATATATAATATATGAGAAAACCTAGGGGACTATGTATTGAGCTGAGAAAATCTTCCTAAGCATTTTGAGGAAGACACTGGAACTCGCAAGACACAATTTTCTAATCTTTTCAAAGCTTTGCAAAAATGCCTAGTAAGCGCCAGTTAACTACTTACCAGATTTTTCCCTTACTCTTACAAAGTTGTTTAAACAAATGCTAATCATAGCAAGCTAGAGGCCTGAATGATAGTGGACTTACACAGCTTCTCTCCAAATAGCACCTTAATAAGGTCAGAAATAACCTACACTGCAAGACTGACCAAACCGTTATTTCTGTTAATCAACTTTAAGACCATAGTCTAATGCTTTCCGGGGGGGTCCTTAGAAATTTGTTCTGTTAAGACAACAAAAAATTATCACAGCTACTTTCGTTGGAATAAGTGGGTGGCTCTGAAAAGAGCCTTTGGGTTTTAAGACTGATGAAAAAGTGACTTTACATTTACGCTCTTTCTCCGCGAATGCGGCGAGCGAGCTGGATGTCTTTGGGCATAATAGTCACTCGCTTAGCATGGATGGCGCAAAGGTTTGTGTCCTCAAAGAGCCCTACCAAGTAGGCCTCACAAGCCTCCTGCAGCGCCATCACCGCAGAGCTCTGGAAGCGAAGATCGGTCTTGAAGTCTTGGGCGATTTCTCGCACCAGGCGCTGGAACGGCAGCTTCCGAATCAGCAACTCGGTCGACTTTTGGTAGCGGCGGATCTCGCGCAGAGCCACAGTGCCCGGGCGGTAACGGTGAGGCTTTTTCACGCCGCCGGTAGCCGGCGCGCTCTTGCGAGCAGCCTTGGTAGCCAGCTGCTTGCGTGGCGCTTTACCGCCGGTGGATTTCCGAGCTGTCTGTTTAGTACGAGCCATGGCAAAACCACAGAAAAGCTTGCCTGCAGAGACGTCTGTGGAGGAAAGGAAAGAGCTACTCTTCTTTTATAGAGTCAGACCACCAACTATTGGACCCAAGAAAATTCAAAAATCCCCGCGCCCTTCTTGGATTGGTCCATCTCTGTGCCTGGTTGCAGATTAAGAGAGGCTCCTGCCCATTACCGTAGCTACTCTGACGTCATTTTGTTAACCCCTTAGCTGCTATATCCACTGTGGACAAGTCTTGTACTGGAAAAGTTTCCTGAAGTCTTAAAATTTACAACCACACAAAGCAACGCGGAAACCTCCAATTGTTTCTAGTTAAAATATAAAAAAGAAATCAGAGAATATTGGAGACGATTAGGGAAATTTGCATATGCGCTTTATTTAAAATTGTATTTTTCTGGGTGTCGCATAAGAAGTGTGGGCAATTAGAAAAATGCTCTTAGCCGGGCGTGGCGGCTCTCGCCTGTAATCCCAGCTACTCAGAAGGCTGTCAAGAGGATCGCTTGAGCCCGAGTTCGAGGTTACAGTGAGCTGTTATCACGCCGCTGCACTGCAGCTTGGGCGAGAGGGAGACTCCACCCCAAAACAAAGCAAAACATCCCCAAACTGGAAAAAAGCTCATTTTGGGAAATACATACTCAAATGTTCAGTGGTAATGTGTGTGCTCTCAATTGTGTATGCCATTAATTGCTACAGCAAATGGTATGACATATTCAAACTTGTGTGGGGCATGCGGGTTTTAACACTTCCATTCAAGATAGTTAGGAATGCACTCATGGGTATAATTTCCTTCCTCTAAAATGTAGTAACTGCTGTGTGTGAAACTTAACGCGAATCACCCCTGTAAACATGTTTTGTGCTGCATGGCACTTCTCCCACATACCTAGAATTCCTGAGGTTTCTATGGATCTAATTTCTGCAGGACAAATTACTAAAAGTGCCACACTCAAAGCCATTAAAAACACCTCAAAAACATCTTTATGGGCGGCATAATCCAAAGCACAACAGCTCATTTAATGGAAGTCGTAGGTGGCTCTGAAAAGAGCCTTTGCTGTTAGGCTGATTTTGTCTGCTGACAGAAAAACAGCAGTGCATGAAGCGTTAACTCTTCACTTTCCCTTGGCCTTATGATGGCTCTCAGTTTTCTTAGGCAGCAGCACCGCCTGAATATTAGGCAAAACGCCACCCTGCGCGATGGTCACACGCCCCAAGAGTTTATTAAGCTCCTCGTCATTGCGGATGGCCAATTGCAGGTGGCGCGGGATGATGCGGGTCTTCTTGTTGTCGCGGGCCGCATTGCCCGCCAGCTCCAGGATCTCGGCGGTCAGGTACTCAAGCACCGCCGCGAGATACACCGGCGCGCCAGCCCCGACGCGCTCGGAGTAGTTGCCTTTGCGGAGCAGGCGGTGCACTCGGCCCACAGGAAACTGCAAACCTGCACGAGAAGACCGAGTCTTAGCCTTGGCGCGAGCTTTACCGCCTTGTTTGCCGCGACCAGACATAACTACTTCTGATAAGGGAAAATCGCCACAAGAAAATGTAATGAAACTACATTAGAACGCAAGGCAGAGAAGTATTTATACTGACTGGAGGTAGGCTGTGAGGAATTCTCCCATTGGCTAATGTCAAATACCCAATGGGAAATCAGAATCTGCATCCTTCATTTGCATGTAATCCTTCCGTCTGGTGTAAGGTTTATGTTTGACCCAATCCCCAGTCTGGCTTGACGAGCCTTCGACTTGAATACTAATAATAATTGGCCGAATTAGGATTTTGTCAAAATACCTTTTTTAAGCATGAGTGGAGGTTTTGTTCTGGTTATTTTGACTTTCAGCCGCTCGTGCTTTTCCCGGATTGTGACTCATGTTTTTGGAAAGGAGTGGACTCCGACCAATTTCTAAATAGATATTTAAGAGGTCCTTCAAATCGGGCGCAGTGGCTCATGCCCGTAATACCAGCACTTTGGGAGGCCGAGGACGGCGGGTCAGGCGTTCGAGACCAGCGTGGACAACATGGAGAAACCCTGTCTCCAGTAAAATAACCAAAAAAGAAACGGGGGAGAAAAAGAAAAAAAAAAGCCGGGCTTGGTAGTGCACGCCTGTAGTTCCAGTTACTCGAGAAGCTGAGGTGGGAGGATCGCTTGAACCCGAGAGGAGGAGGTTGCAGTGAGTTCACATAGAGCCACCACACTCCAGCGTGGGCGACAGAGCCAGAAGACTGTGTCTCAAAGACAAAAAAAGGGGAGGGGGAGTGGGAGGGAAGAAAAGCGAATACCCCAAATCCCAGTGAACTGTAGAAGCTTATAAGCTCTCTTGATTCATAAGGGAGAAAGAAGGGGGATGTAGGCAACTTAGGGGAGAGTATATGATTTTGGAGAAAAATAAATGGGTGTTTCAAAGAATAGGTGACAGCTGTGACAAAGTCTGTTTAGATGGTGTTAACCACCAGTCTCCTCTCCTGTGATACAGTTAATCTTCTCTGGTTGATGAGATTCCCCAGGGAAGTGAATCTTAACAACTAAATTCCTTTTTGAATTTTTTTTTAATTTTCAAATTTTTGATTAGAGTTCAGCGAAAGCCCTTCCTTGAATTTACTGTTTCCTAGGTGCCCTCAGTTCAAAGAAATCAGCGTAACAAAGTGGCACATTTTTGAGTTGCATTTCCTGAACTTTTTCACAACACTGAATGAGGAGTCTCTGGAATCTTTCAGGAAATGAGAGAACAAACATTCCATAACACAGAAATACTCAAAATGGGATTATGATTATAAAAGTGTTTCACTGACCACCTTCTGCCTTCCTGTCTGTAAGTCCCATTCTCCCCAAAGTCTAGCCATAGAAACCAGAATTCCTCCTCAAGGTAGGCCATACAAACCAGAACTCCTTTTCCCTAGAACCAGCCATAAAACCTAAAAGTATTACTCTAACCTACCTTGTTTGCCTGTAGGTCATAAGACCCCCCATTCTAAAAGAGAGTCTTGTCCTATAACCAGAAGGAAGAAATGCTGCACTGAGAGGTCAAGAAGAATCTTGACAGACAAGCCTTGCGGGGCTTCCCCACTCAGTCTGTTAGCATTAGATCGTACCCTATACAGCTGTTTATCTTGTTGAACCTAAGCATAAAAATGGGCAATTTCCCCTGTATCTTTCAGTCTTAATTCTAAAATCTCCTGTAAAATTGTGATGAAATAAATATATATGCCTTTTCTCCAGTTAATCTGTGTTTTGCCAGTAATTTTCCATAAACCTTGGGAGGGCAAAGGGGAAGTTTTTCCTTGGCCGGGACAATATTATTACAGCCATTGTCTGGCTCTCCTGTTGAGGAACCTAAAATCAAGACAGATTGCCTAGGGAAATCTTGGTGTTTTTCCTTTTATATTCCATGAGATAGGAGCAGATGGAGTACAGATGAACGTGGATTAATTATTCCAGGAATTTCTGAGGTATCTACTACTTCTATCTGTGGTCTGCTTATACTGAAACAGGATGACAGAAGGAAAAAGAAACATGAGTGTAAAAAAATCTGCTCCTGGCTGGGCACGGTGGCTGATGCCTGTAATCCCAACACTTTGGGAGGCCAAGGCGGGCAGATCACTTGAGAACAGGAGTTCGTAACCAGCCTGGCCAACATGGTGAAACCCCAGTCTTCACTAAAAATACAAAAAATTAGCTGGGCGTGGTTGTGGGAGCCTGTAATCCCAGCTACTCCATAGGCTGAAGCAGGAGAATCGCTTGAACCCTGGAGACAGAGGTTGCAGTGAGCCGAGATCGTGCCACTGCACTCCAGCCTGGGCAAGAGCGAAACTCCATTTCAAAAAAAAAAAAAAAAAAAATCTGCTTCTAAGCCAACGCTGTCACAGAACTATGGATTTGATTCAGAGAAACTGTCAGGAGACTAAAAGTGCTCATTTTTAGTTTGTTTTTTGCCTTCTCCCAAGTCTTCTGACTCTAGTGTTATCTTTCCCTTCACAATATTCAACTTCCCTTTTCAAAATTATAATGATCTTCACCCTCAACAATAGCCGTAAACATCAGTAATCACTGGCTCATTTTCTTTGAAAAGGTACAAGATTCATGATGGAGATGTTAAAAAGTTATCTCAGATAGTGCCCTGAAGAGATTATACTCAGAGAAGGGAGGACTTACGTACATGAAGATTAAATAGCAGTGCACGTTCTGCATATAAAATAAAGATTTTGAGCAATAAATCATACAAAAGCACATGGAAAAGAAGATTGATCAATGTAAATTAGAAGGATTTAGAGAGTTCATGAGGGAGATGTATATCCAGCATTATTAGTTCAGCATATATTTACTGAAAACCTGCTAAGTGCCAGAGAGTGTTCTAGGTGCAGGGAGCATAGCAGTGAAAAAGCAGACAACCTGTTTCCTTACGGTGCTACTTGTCTTGTAGTGGGAGGTGCACAATAAGGTAAATACATAATGAAAATGTAGAGATAAGTGATGAGTGCTGTGGAGAAAAATAAAGAAAGGGGATAAGAAAAAAGAATAGAAATAAGGATGGAAAGTTTCATCAGGAGAATGTCATTTGAATTCAGACCTGAAGGCAAGGAAGAAGCCAGCCAAGTAGGAAGGATAAATACTTCGATAAAATGCTGGATGTGTTTGAAGTCCAGAAAATGTCAGGAACCGTGGTTCAGAAAGTACAGCTATTCTAACTTCCTAAACAAATCGTAGACCATTTTGGAAAGAGCCTTGGATATGTACAGGGCTAGATAAAATTGAAACCAAGATTAAGGGTAGCTTCAAAAACTCAGACTAGAAAGCAGGAGTACATCCAGTCACAATATCAGTAATCTATACTCCACTGAGCCATGGATGAGAAAAACTCTTCTTCTCATCCAAGTTACCTTGAATTAAGCAAACCAACAAGCGCCTGGCATGTACTATTAGCAAAACAACTTGATGGCAATCCTTTCAGTAAGTGCTTCAAAAACAGTAAATTCTAGGCACTTGCCTTCAAAAAACATACAAAAGGCAGATATTGGGGAGGGAAATATTGGGGGTTATTTATTCCATATAAATATAAGAGGAAAATAAGTTGTTTCCCAATAACAACTCCAACACCAGGAGCAGAGAAAGTAAGACAATCTATGCCTCGTGGTTTGCGAAAACAATAAAAAAAATCTGTTAATTGCATAATACAATTCACCCTTGAACACGCTCCAAATCAGTGCCCACTAGCTACAAGTAGCTACTGTGAAGTTGAAAAAGGGTACTTCAGATTGAGCTATTCTGTAAATATGAAATAGACTTAGTGTGTTAGTTCGTTCTTGCATTACTATAAGGGAATCCCTGAAACTGACTAATTTATAAAGAAAAGTAATTTTTTTTGGCTCACGGTTGTGCAGGCTGTACAGGAGGTGTGGTGCAGGCATCTGCTACTGGCAAGTCCTCAGGAAACTTCCAATCATGGTGGAAGGTGAAGAGGGAGTAGGCATATCATATGGTGAGAGCTGAGCGAGAGAGATGGGGGAGGTGTCACACTCTTTTAAAGAACCAGATCTCTTGTGAACTCAAAGTGAGAACCCATTGATTACCCTGAAGAGTGCGCTTCATGAGGGGTTCACCCTCACGATCCAAAAACCTTTCACCAGGCTTCACTTCCAACATTGGAGATTACATTTCAACATGAGATTTAGAGGGGACAAATATCCAAACCATATCACTTAGTATGAAGAAAGAATGTAAAACATCTGACTAATAATTATGCATATTGAATACATGTTATAATGACATTTTGACTACAAAAGTTAACGAAAATATACTATTGAAGATACTCAAAAATTTAAAAATACATATATAATTTGTAGTACATTTGTACTGGGCAGAGGAACCTCTAACAATGTTCCAAATGTGGCCTGTGTATGTGTATGATGTAGGAGGGATCAGTCATGTAAGATGATCATAATATAGTTACTTAGTCCATTTTGTGATACTATAACAGAATACCACAGACTGGCTAACTTTTAAAGAAAAGAAATTTATTTCCTACTGTTCTAGAACCTGGGAAGCTAAGGGCATGGAATTAGTATCTGGTGAGGGCCTTCTTACTGCATCATAACATGTTGAGAGAGCAAGGGTATGTGTGTCAGCTCAGGTGTCTCTTCCTTTTCTTATAAGGCCACCAGTCTAAAGGAAATCAAAATATTTTACCCCAAAATATATTTCTTTGACATATTTTGAAATGGCTGCTGCTTGGCCAGCAGGCAGAAATGGGCTTGCAAAGCTGCCTTAAATGGGAAAAATTTTACATCTGTAGAGAATCTCCATTAATGCAGCCATGCCTCCTCACCTTTCTATACCTTTCCCCAGATCCAGGAGAGACTGAGAGTCTGACACTTAAAAATCATAAAAGAAACATTTACCATCTGTTCTTTCTGAGGGAGGCTTCACCTACCTAACAAGGCCACCTTTGCAAGCCAAACCTCTTTTGCCTCCCATAACCTGTTTTACCAGAATCTAAGCCCCAATTCTTTCTGTGATCTAAAAATGGTATATAAGCATCTATAACTCATTGGGAAGTTAGGTAATTAATTCTGAATGCTCCCACATAGACACGTTAAACAATAGGTAAAATGCCTTTTCACCTATTAATCAATCTGCCTTGTCAGTGATTTCTGGCAAACATTTAGTGGGCCAAGAGACTATGGTTCCCACACTACCCTTCATGAACTTAAGCCCTAAGATATCAATAATTGCATTAAATGTGTGTGGTATAAATACACCCATAAAAAAACAGTTTGGCTGGGCGCGAGGTCTCACACCTGTAATCCCAGCACTTTGGTAGGCCGAGGCTGGCGGATCACTTGAGGTCAGGAGTTCGAGACCAGCCTGGGCAACATGGTGAATCCTGTCTCTACTAAAAATACAAAAATTAGCCGGGTGTGGTGGCGCATGGCTGCAATCCCAGCTGCTCAAGAGGCTGAGGCAGGAGAATCCCTTGAACCCAGGAGGCGGAGGTTGCAGTGAGCTGAGACTGTGCCACTGCACCCCAGCCTGGACAACAAGAGTGAAATTCCATCTCAAAAAAAAAAAAACAACAACTGTACACTGTCTGCAAGAATCTCACTTCAAATATAAACATAACGCAGGTTGAAATTAAAGGCTGCAAAAAAGATAAGCCATATAAACATCAGCCCAAAACTGCAAGAGTATCTGTATTAATAATATCTGGGATCTGAAAGACCAAAATAGATGCCCCTATACCAACTAAGACAGACTCTAAGATTAAGCAAACAAAGTTACCTACTGGTAGAGCATTCATGGCTTGGCTGGCATGGCAAATTCCTAAATTCCAAAGACTACCAAAAAACTCACACTTGCTAAATTCCTTAACTATAGGAGCTATCAGAAGCCCTCCTAACTCTGATTTACAGTCCAGTCCACTACAACTCTGATTGGACAGAGGACCGCCTTGACACACATTCTATTCTTACACGTAATTGTAGACCTTAAGCCATTTTCAGCCAGCTGCTAGAGGCAGCACGTAAACTTTGTTCCTATAGTTCACCTTGTGATGTAAAGACCTAAATTCTACCTCATTTTAACCAAAATTTAACCTCGAAGTGAACATGGGAGGTATATTACACGTGTTTATCCATTGTGAATGCACTTGGCACCCCTCATAATATATATAGCTGTCCCCCCAAACGTGCTAAATATGTATGACTCTATTGTGTAATATATAGCCTATGAGGCATAAAAATAACCAACCTGCTCCTTCTCCCCAAAGAGAGAGTAATTTTGGCAGGTTCTGGGACCATCTCTTCCTGGCTTGCAAATTAGTATTGCCAGTAAATCTCTCCTTTCTACTCTTTAGCCATCCTGGTGGTCTTTTGGATGATATATCAGATAAGTATATTTCAGAGCAAAGAAAATTACTAGGAACAGACAGGGATATTACATAATGATAACAGGGTCAATCCAATACGAAAAACAAGCAATTCTAAATGTATATGCACCAAATAACAGAACTGCAAAATATGTGTAGCAAAACCTGATAGAACCGAAAGGAGAAATAGACACATACATGATTTAAAGGTAGAGATTTCAACACCCCTTCCCCAATAATTGATAGAACAACGAAACAAAAAAATTACCAGGTGTATAGAACTCAGTAAGTGACTGTATTACTTGTTTTGATCTGTAAAACAATGATAATAATAGTACTCACACTTCATTGAGTTTTGGTGAAGATTGAATGAATTTATACTTATAAAGAATTTAGAAATGTGGCCGGGCCCAGTGGCTCATACCTGTAATCCCAGCACTTTGGGAGGCCGAGGCGGGTGGATCACCTGAGGTCGGCAGTTCGAGACCAGTCTGACCAACATGGAGAAACCTCATCTCTAATAAAAATACAAAATTAGCCAGGCGTGGTGGCGCTTGCCAGTAGTCCCAATTACTGGGGAGGCTGAGGCAGGAGAATTGCTTGAACCCTGGAGGCGGAGGTTGCGGTGAGCCGAGATCGCACCATTGCACTCCAGCCTGGGCAACAAGTGTGAAACTCCGTCTCAAAAAAAAAAAAAAAAAAAATCTTAGAAATGTAACTGACATATCATAAGCCCTCAAACTTAATAATCTTTTAATACATGGAGCTATCTATTTAAAATAATGTACATAAGGCAACATCCCAAAAGAAAATGGGCAAGAATCATGAGTAATCAAACCATAATAGAAGAAATGTTATTATCAAAATGTGCAGTCTCAAACAATAATTGTCTTAAAAATAAAAACAACAATGAGATTTAATTGTTCATGTCGGCAATTTGAACAGACTAACACACCCACTGTTCAAGAGCATTTGTGGAAGTCAGGAAAAAACACCCTGTTGGTGAGAGTGTAAACAGACCTTCAGGAGGCAACTTGGTAACATGTATTAAAAATCAAAATATGTATATCAATGGATGCATGATTCCTATCTCTATTTTTGCCCTTACAGCAATCTTGTGTGTAGAGAAATACTGAAAAGCATTTTCATGGTAACATGGTTTAAATTTTTAAAAAGCGAAGGTCAGTGAATAAAGGGCAATTATCTACTTCCCTACAATGAAATGCAGTAATGAAAATAATCATTAGAATCTCTTTTATTAATTTAAAAGGATACTAGAAAAGTGAAATACAATCTCACTTATAGAAGATTTACATATTGGTTTGCATAGACTTGCACAAGATAAAATTTCTGTAAGATTGGTCACCAAAATGTCCTGAATGATAACATTACAATTAATGTTTATATTGTAGGGGAAAAGAAAATTCTGTTTTTCTCACCCATCAGTAAGTTCATGCTTGAGGCCCCTCTACAAAAAGACAGATTGGTCGGGTGCAGTGGCTCACGTCTGTAATCCGAGCACTTTGGCAGGACGAGGCGGGCGGATCACGAGGTAAGGAGATTGAGAACATCCTGGCCAACACGGTGAAACCCTGTCTCTACTAAAAATACAAAAATTAGCGGGGCATGGTGGCACGTATCTGTGGTCCCAGCTACTCGGGAGGGCGAGGCAGTAGAATCGCTTGAACCTGGGAAGCGGAGGTTGCAGTGAGCCGAGATCGCGCCATTGCACTCCAGCCTGGGTGACAGAGCAAGGCTCAGTCTCAAAAAACAAAAAAAAAGATTAGCAAGAGAAAAGCATACAAATGTATTTAATATAAGTTTTATATTACATGGGACCCTTCGGAAATGAAAACTCGAGGGAAGCGGGAAACCTGTGAATTTTTATGGCAAGTTTTGTGAAATGCATAGTTGTGGATTAATATGATTGACAGTAGGCATATGATCTAATGGTAATAAACTGAGGGGGACATAGCAAGGCTTGTTTGTTAATTACCTATTAACGATCAGCCGAGTATCAGCAGAGACAGCAAAACATCCTAGTTTTGAGTTAGAAGACCTAGGTTTTTGTTTTGGCTTATCAATTATGGGTATTGTTTTAGATGAAACATCAAGTATTCTTGATTTCTTATTTCAAAAATAAAAAATAAAAAATAAAGGAAGGAAAAAAGAAGAAAAAAAGAGAAGAAAAGTGTCAGAGTTACTTGAACCAGAGTAACTCCATTTTGAGTGAGGGCTAGGAAAATGAGGCTGAGACTTTCTGGGCTGCATTCCCAGAAAGTCAGTCATTCCTAGCTTCTAGATGTTTACGGTTAAGGGAACAAATAAATAATGTTTACTAAACAGACTCAGACTTAGGAGTGTCCAGATATCCCTATATCTGGAGAACAAAGGCATTCTTAATTTTGTTTAAAGATAATAATGTTGATTCTTGCAAAATATAGTAACTAAGAAAATTAATCCTTTATCACAAACTTGTAGCAGAGCACATCTCCCCATATATACAAGTATTGTACCTAGGGTGGATGCCTTCCTCCTCTTACTTTCGGGAATGTCCTGCTCCGTCTATGGAGTAGTTGTCGTTTCACCACTTTACTTTCTTAGTAAACTTGCATTTACTTTGCACTGCGGACTCACCCTGAACTCTTTCTTGCGCGGGATCCAAGAACCCTCTCTTGGGGTCTGGATGGGGACCTCTTTCCTGTAACATATTTCTGGCCACCACAGAAGGGACTATAGTACAGAAACCCTGACCCAACAGCTACCTTTGGGTAAGTGTTGGAGTTCTGTAACAAAGGAAGAAGGCAGGCAGGCAAAAAATTTATGAAAGAACATACGACAAAATAATTTCTGCTTCAAAACTTCATATTTTTTTAATTTTTTTTTTTTTTTTTTTTTGAGACGGAGTCTCGCTCTGTCACCCAGGCTGGAGTGCCATGGCGCGATCTCGGCTCACTGCAAGCTCCGCCTCCCGCGTTCACGCCATTCTCCTGCCTCAGCCTCCCGAGTAGCTGGGACTACAGGCGCCCACCATCACGCCCAGCTAATTATTTTGTATTTTTAGTAGAGACGGGGTTTCATCGTGTTAAGCAGGATGGTCTCCATCTCCTGACCTCGTGATCCGCCCGCCTCGGCCTCCCAAATTGCCGGGATTAAAGGCAAGAGGCACCGCGCACGGCCCCGTCCAAGTTAACCTTGGCTCTAAAACTTGTCTTCGCTAACATTCCAGTTGATCCTCTAGAACTGAAACAGAATAGCAGCAGCACCACCTTAAGAAATTGTGGTTATAGCTCTCCTTGTGACAAAGTAGGTGGCTCTGAAAAGAGCCTTTGGGTTTGGAAGTGCTTACATAAGCACTTATTTAGAGCTAGTGTACTTGGTAACTGCCTTAGTGCCCTCGGACACAGCATGCTTAGCCAGCTCCCCAGGCAGCAGCAGGCGCACAGCCGTCTGAATCTCCCTGGAGGTGATGGTCGAGCGCTTATTGTAGTGAGCCAGGCGAGAAGCCTCGCCCGCGATGCGCTCGAAGATGTCGTTGACGAAGGAATTCATGATCCCCATGGCCTTGGATGAGATGCCGGTGTCGGGGTGGACCTGCTTCAGAACCTTGTACACATAGATAGAATAGCTCTCCTTGCGGCTGCGCTTACGCTTCTTACCATCCTTCTTCTGCGCCTTAGTGATAGCCTTCTTAGAACCCTTTTTAGGGGCTGGAGCAGACTTAGAGGGTTCAGGCATTGCTATTCCTAAACAGAATAGAAAAGCTACTAACACTCTCCACTACAGAGTAGTACAGAGAACAGTTCAGAGCCCATGTATTTATAGTCCTGAGATTCAAATGACGGTTTAAGATTCCTCACTTCTGATTGGACAAAAGAAACACGGTTTCACTGAGGGGTGGGGTTTATGCAAATATGGAATTTATGTTATCTTTTTCTATTGGATAAAGCACCAAACATAATTGACCAATAGGATAGCTTCCTATTGCAGCCTTGCAGTTTGTATAAAAGGATTTGTTCAGGCGCCATTCCAGCTTGCTTGTCTTTCACAGTTTTCCGCTGCTTTCATAGGTCGCTATTTGCGGACGTGGAAAATGGAGCTAAAGCAAAAACTTGTTCGTCGCTACCGGGCTTGCAGTTCCCAATAGGGCAGAGTCCGTCATCTTTTTCGAAAGGGCAATTATTTTGAGCCGGTCGGAGCCGGTGCGCCAGTGTACTTACAATACCTGGCCGCCGAGATCTTAGAACTGGTGGGCAGCGCCATACGTGACAAGACCCGCAGCATCATCCCCCGCCACCTGCAGCTGGCCATCCGAAACGACGAGGAGGTCAACAAGCAGCTGGGCAACGTCACTATTGCTCAGGGAGGCGTCCTGTCCAATATTCAGGCCGTCCTGTTGCCAAAATAACAGAGCCACGATAAGGCCAAGGTCAAGTAAACACTCAAATCAGAAAACGTAGCTTACACTTGAAACGGCATTTTTCAGAGCCGTCCATAGTTACACAAGAAAGGATGATAACTTGCTTCTGTTAGGGTATTTTTTGCTTTTCGTTTGGATTGGTTTGTTTTGAGACAGTCTAGTTCTGTCACCCAGGCTGGAGTGCAGCGGCGCGATATCGGCTTACTGCAACCTCCACCCCGCCGCTTCACGCGGTTCTCATGCCTCAGCCTCCTGTGTACTTGGGATTACAGGCGTCTGCTACCGCGCCCAGCTAGTTTTTGTATTTTTATGCGAGACGGGGTTTCACCATTTTAGCCAGGGTTGTCTTGAACTCCTGGCCTCTAGTGATCGTCCCATCTCGCCCTCCCAAAATGCTGGGATTACAGGCGTGAGCCACCGCCCCCCTAGCCTAATGGTGTTAAAAAGTTAAGTTTCGAGAAAATAACACCTTCCTTTAGAAAGTACATTTTAGAGTATACAAAGTGAAACTTAAGGCCAACCAAAATAAGACATTTTGAGAACAGGCAGGGTGGGAATGTGACTTGGACTTAGAAAACAAAGGGCAAGGAAACTTGCTGTTCGCCAGTAACAAAATAGCATGGAATCTCATTCTCTGAATATAAGCGTTATTTCCCGACATGAGTCTGAACGTTTCTGGTGGTTTAGTGAGTGTTCACCAGCATTGATAACTTGCGAGACTGTCAGGAATGCAGAATTTCAAGTCCCACTCAAACTTACTGAATCGGAATTTACATTTTAAAAATCCTTAGATACCTTGTTATACACTCTGTTCTTTGGGACTGGATGAACTAGAATTTTAGACAATTTGTCGCTGCAGATAACTGAAACGAAAAGGACAGGATGGGCGGTGGGGCAACTCATCCAATAAGATTGTCTAGTAATGAACCAATCAGTCTGGTCACTCTTCAGCCAATGATTTTATCGCGCGGGACTTTTGAAATATTACAGGACCAATCAGAATGTTTCTCACTATATTTAAAGGCCACTTGCTCTCAGTTCACTACACTTTTGTGTGTGCTCTCATTGCAAATGGCTCGTACGAAGCAAACAGCTCGCAAGTCTACCGGCGGCAAAGCTCCGCGCAAGCAGCTTGCTACTAAAGCAGCCCGTAAGAGCGCTCCGGCCACCGGTGGCGTGAAGAAACCTCATCGCTACCGCCCGGGCACCGTGGCCTTGCGCGAAATCCGTCGCTACCAGAAGTCCACCGAGCTGCTGATCCGGAAGCTGCCGTTCCAGCGCCTGGTGCGAGAAATCGCCCAGGACTTCAAAACCGACCTGCGTTTCCAGAGCTCTGCGGTGATGGCGCTGCAGGAGGCTTGTGAGGCCTACCTGGTGGGACTCTTCGAAGACACCAATCTGTGCGCTATTCACGCTAAACGCGTCACCATCATGCCCAAAGATATCCAGCTGGCACGTCGCATCCGTGGGGAAAGGGCATAAGTCTGCCCGTTTCTTCCTCATTGAAAAGGCTCTTTTCAGAGCCACTCACAATTTCACTTAAAAACAGTTGTAACCCATTCGGTTGTCTATGTTAGTTTCCAGGAGATATAAAGGTGATAACTACACACAAGTTTTGTAACTGCAGACAAGTCTATCAGGCCTTTTCAACCGGTTTTACTGCGAGAAAACAAGCTGAGTTACTGTTTTGCCCTTGTTAAAAAATTCCTAGGGGTCTTTTTAGCATGTATATGTGTAAATACTTACATATTGAAAGGCTCCTGGGGACACCACCGTCACTCCTTTTAATCCACGTGACAATTTTAGTTCTGATGGCAGTATTATTAAAGCTATCATAAAGACAATGTGTGTGTAGTTACCTAAGTCCACAAAAACAATAGCTGACCCCAAAATTCAGTATTGGTTTTGGGCTGCTGGAGGTGGAGTCAGAGCTCAGGTGGAAGAAACTGGCCTCAGTACACACTGCCAAAAGTCCACTAAATAGATTTATGTAACAAGTACACAAGACTTGCGTATGACCATCCAAAGATTATGCGGTCATCCTTATCCAGGGAATTTGAGAATGAAGGGTGGCAACTGCAAAGCTCTTTTACCCATGTCCTCTTTTAATAAATATTTAAAAATATTCAAATGCTGATTTCATCCATTTTCTAAATATATTAGTATACTTAACTGATGGGGTAGATCAAGGTTTTCTGGGGATCAAACCTTTTACAACTTGTTAACTATTAAAAACTATAATGTAAAATTAAAAATGCAAAAGTACTGCAGACTGTAAATATAAATTTATAATGGGAAAATAAAATCAAATTCCAATTTTATAAAAGCTGACAAAACAACAGCCATCACAAAATTCAGAAAATAGCATATTTTATTAACTTCTGAATATGACACTACCAAGTATATTTTCCTGTAGTTTTGACTGAATACTCTGATTCCATCTTCAGATCGAAATTATTTTGTAATGTTGTCTATAGGTAATGGAAATAGAATTCAATCTTTCCTCCAGGGTGGCTGATGATAATATGTTTTCTTCATAACTTAGAAGTATTTCAGTTTCAAAACACATTATTGGTAATGTCAAGTAAGTTTTTAGGATTGTTTTCAAATTTGGAAAATCCTCTGTTAAGCTCCTTTCACATGTAAGTTGTAAACTTTGTAAGAATTCTTTCCAGACTAGCTTCTGGCTCTATACGTTTCTACTCTCCACTAGACACTCACTCTCAGTGCTGGGAATGTGTTTTGAATACTTAGATGTCATAACATTTTATCTAGACCTGCATCTTGCCAGGAATTTAGGTGAGTTATTCCAGTGAGCAGTAGGAACATTCCTTGAAGCCATTCTTTTTTTTTTTTTTTTGAGACGGAGTCTCGCTGTGTCTCCCAGGTTGGAGTGCAGTGGCGCAATCTCGGCTCACTGCAAGCTCCGCCTCCCAGGTTCATGCCATTCTCCTGCCTCAGCCTCCCAAGTAGCTGGGACTACAGGCGCCCGCCAACACGCCCGGCTAATTTTTTGTATTTTTAGTAGAAACGGGGTTTCACCGTGTTAGCCAAGATGGTCTCGATCTCCTGACCTCGTGATCCGCCCGTCTCGGCCTCCCAAAGTGCTAGGATTACAGGCGTGAGCCACCGCGCCCGGCCTCCTTGAAGCCATTCTTACGTCAGATTGGCTGGCAACGAATGAAGTACACATGATCACATATGCAAATCACGTAACTTATTATCCCCATACTAGATACATCTTCAACTAAACTTTCTCTTACTCAAATTCCAAATATTTTCATCAGGATTCTAACATAATCAGACAATGGTGATTTTAATAAAAAGGAGGATTGAGTGAAAATAGCAGCCTGAACCATCCGTGATTAAAGTACCTTAATACTGCAAATTTTAAAATCAGAGAGAGAGAGAGAGACAAACTAACACATTTGTAGGGCCCCTCTCTGCACCTTGGAAGTACAGGCCCTTACACTTGTGTTTCATTAGCTTCAGGATAAATCTGCCCCAGATCACTGGCCAAATTTTACGTGGCCTTCTTCAGCATCCTACCACTCTATTCAAATACATCTCTGCAGGAGCACCCTGTGAGTTGAGAATTACTGGTCTGGGATGACCACTGTTTGCATGATGCTTTGGATGGTGGTGCTGTTCTCAGAAGAAATACCAGAAGGAGAAAGGTTAGTCAGGAGAATATAAAGTCAACCTTAAGCAATTTGAACACTTCAGTGGTTAAGTGAGTTCCCTGGGACAACTCTGCAAGCTGTTTTAACTTTATTTGTATTGAATATTACCTTCTTTTAGAGAGGCCAACGTGTAGAAGGAAATAACAATGAAACAAAGGATTCATTAATAGTATAAACTATAAACTAACTGTCATTGATAGTCTTCCACGGGCCAAGTACCACATGAAGTGGTTGGTCTGAATTATTGTGTAAAATTCTTACTTCAGCATTGTAAGGCAAATTATCTCACTGTCTCCATTTTACAGAAGTGGAGGTTCAGCCTCAGGAATTTCACTAAATTCGCCAAATTCTTACTACCAGCAGATATCATTGCCAGGCAGTGTCACACTTTAATATCTTCTAATCAATAAGATAACCCTAAAATTGATTATCATATATAATTTCCTTCTCATATATAGTTTCATACTATCATATATAGTTTCCTTTGTTTCAGAAATTGGACTCCCTCAGGGTGGATAAGGAGACATGGTGGTGTCCTGGCCTAAGTATTGTTGGAATCCTCTAGTCAGAGGCCTGATGTGAGGTGAAGTGGACAGTGAAACTGCCTTTGCAAAAATCATAACTGAGAAAATTATTACAGTGAAAGAGATCTTACCTAACCGACTCCATCTAACGTCTAAACTCCAAGCTGTCCTTTTCATTCCTGAGTTTGGGATTAACTAACTTTGGGAGGAGCTTAGTTTATACTTTTGCTTTTAAACAAAAACAATAACAGCCCTTTCAGAAACAAACCCCTTTCCTGCCTGGGGACCAGACTGCTTTTGCAGGACTAACAAATTAGCCACAAGATTATAAATTATGGTTTAGGAGTCATGCAGCTGGAAGCTACAAGATTCTAAACCTCAAATTGCTCCTGGGGATAAAATCACTATTTTAAAACCTAAGATCAATGCTTGAGCTATTTTGCAGACCCTGAACACAATGGATTAGCTGGCACCACCCATATAGATAAACTGGATTATCTGGTCTTGAGTCCCCCACCCCACCACTCCCAGGAACTGATTTAGCACAAGAGGACAGCTTAGGCTCCCTATAATTTCATCTCTGACCCAACCAAGCAGCACTCCCGACTCACTGGTCCCCTACAATCAAATTATCCTTAAAAACTTTGGTCCCCAAATTCTCAAGGAGACTGATTTGAGTAATAATAAAACTCTAGTCTCCTGTAGCGCTGGCTCCTTATTGCAATTCCCCTGTCTTGATAAATCAGCTCTGTCTAGGAAGTGGACAAGGAGAGCCCGTTGGGTGGTTACAATAGGACAAACCAATAAAATATAAAGTATTAGAGACACTACCTGGGTTTCAGGAACAGGTCAGAAAAAGTGTTTTCTTGGAAAACATCTGGATTCTGCTGCAGAGCAAGTATTTGCTTGTGTCTTCCCAGAGTATAAAAGCTGTCCTGTCCAAGATAGTTGCCACTAACCATATGTGAGTATTAAGCATTGGAAATGTGGCTACTCCAAACTGTGATGTGCTTTAAGTGTAAAATACACACCAGATTTCAAAGAACTAGTAAAATAACAAAGTAAAAACTCAATATTTTAATATTAGATACCTTGTTGAAACAATTTTTGGTTACACTGGATTCAAATCATTAAAATAGATTTCTTTTTTCACTTTTTAAAATGTGCCTATTAAAAAATTTAAAATTACATATGTGGACCCTATGTTTCTGAGGAACAGTGCCAGGACATAGAGGATAGTTATATTCACTCACAGATCAAAAACTAGCAAAACTATGAAATACCTAATAATTTAATTTTTCACCTTAACTTTTGGCATATTCCACAGATCTGTAGTATATTTGAGTGTGATAGCTTAGGAATAAATATGATTGGAACTCATTCATGTTTAGAGAGAAAGGGTGTCAAATTGAGAACCAGGCAGATACACCTAATCTTAAAATGACCCCAAAGTAAAGTGGTTGAAGAAATTAAATCCCAAAGATTTTTGGTGAAGAATGTTGTAGTTTTCATCAGTATGTGTATGTTCAAATGGAGATTAAAGAAGGCAAAATAAGGCCGGGTGCAGTGGCTCACACCTGTAATCCCAGCACTTTGAGAGGCCAAGGCAGGCGGATCATGAGGTCAGGAGTTTGAGATCAGCCTGGCCAACATAGTGAAACCCTGTCTCTAATAAAAATACAAAAATTAGCCGAGCACGATGGCATGCGCCTGTGGTCCCAGCTACTAAGGAGGCTGAGGCAGGAGAATCACTTGAACCCGGGAGGCAGAGGTTGCAGCGAGCCGAGATCACGCCACTGCCCAGCAGCCTGGGTGACAGTGAGAGACTCCGTCTCAAAAAAAAAAAAAAAAAAAAGTCAAAATAAAAGAACTGTGGGCTGACAACTGTGGATTAAGCATCAGTTCTATTAAGAAGGGCTAACTTGAAGATGAATCTTTTGAAGATACATTTTGACTCCAGCTCTTTAG
This sequence comes from Homo sapiens, assembly GCF_000001405.40. Lineage (NCBI taxonomy): Eukaryota > Metazoa > Chordata > Mammalia > Primates > Hominidae > Homo > Homo sapiens. The sequence continues at coordinate 26,050,515 of NC_000006.12, forward strand.
AGGAACAAAGTTTACCTTGATGTGAAATTCTTCAAATAAAAATTTATTGACTTTAAATTTAAAAAAAAATGCACACACACACACACACACACACACAGCTAACTAGCTACATCCTTAATGACACCAAGCTTTAGTCCTTCACCCTGAAGTGGGAATGACAATGGCACTTACTTCAAAGTGCTGTGACAAGAATGTGTTTGAAAATAAATATAGAGTAATCAGCAACAGTGCTTGGCATATTGTAAATAAGTGCTCAAAAAATGCTAGTTCCCAAAACTGTTGTTGCCACTGTACCCTAAATCCCTATTCTCTTCTGATATCCTTTAGTGATGTAATTCTGTCTTGCACTGGGCCTGTTCATCTCTGGTATGAATTTCAACCACAATGTCCTTACTACATTTCCCTCAGGCTTATATAGCCAAAATATCCAGAGCTTTGCCTAGGAGTGTATAATATGATACTTCAATTTGTAGCCATGATAGCACTGTGTATGAAAGTTTGGAATAATGCGCCGGGCATGGTGGCTCACGCCTGTAATCCTAGCACTTTGGGAGGCCGAGGTAGGTGGATCACTGAGGTCAGGAGTTCGAGACTAGCCTGGCAAACATGGCGAAACCCCGTCTCTACTAAAAATACAAAAAAATTAGCCGGGTTTGGTGTCAGGTGCCTGTAATCCCAGTTACTCAGGAGGCTGAGGCAGGAGAATTGCTTGAACCGGGGAAGTGGAGGCTGCAGTGAACCAAGATCACGCCATTGCACTCCAACCTGGGTGACAGAGAGAGACTATGTCTCAAAATAAATAAATAAATAAATAAAAAACAGAAAGTTTGGAATAATGCATTACAAGTAGCCTCTAGTTTTTATGTTACTCATAGTTTTATCACACAAGAACAATGTCATAAATTTTCATGGTTGAATTATCAGTTGTTTATGCAATATTCATTGATGTTTTTGGCTTATCAGCAGTGTTTCTGGAATTATTTGAATATTATTACCGTTTTTCAAAATTATTTTATAAAACTAATTTAAAAATCAAAAATGATATAATTACTAATGTGAAATTAAATATAAGTTTTGAAGAATATCAGGATGTCACCCCCAAATTATTCTACTTTGGCATAAAAGTTATTTTCAGCTGAAGGCAATTGAAAATCAACAGGTGTAGGAAGAGGTCTCTGTCTTCTCTTTACCCAAATTTCCCTTTGTGAAGGTGACAGAAATTTCCCTTGTAAAAGTGTCCCCAACTGCTATACCAGGAAAAAGAGAGCAATTCTTATCACTAGATATGGAAGGTTGGCACTGAGATGACTCTGCAAAAACAAACCTTACTACAATTATTTCTATCTTTCATTTTATCTTCCATGGTTTTTATTGCCCATGTATTTATTTCCTTGTCACATTCCCAAATTCGTCATCCCATGAAGTGCAAACTCCCTTTCCTTTGTTGGAATGGTGTATAAGTCTGTGAGTCTAACCGCGTTTTTAAGGTTTCAATTTTTTTTTCTTTGGGAACTCTGTGCATGTAATATACTAATAAAATTGCATGCTCTTTTTTTCGCATGTTAATCTGTCCTTTGTCAGTTAAATTTGCAAGACACTACTTAGTGAATCTAAGAGTACAGAAAAACATGTGTCCTCATTGACAGTTTCAAAAACTAAGTAAAATTGAGGCAAGAATCTTTTTCATCTTAAAATGGCCAATTTTAATTTCCAAATGAATGGTTCATTAGACCTAAGCCAGTAAGCTATGTGAACAATTGTGATGGAATAAAACAAAACTAAAGAGCATGAACAAAATTGAGAAAACATATGCAAGACTGAATCTAAAGGCCAAATAGAATTGAAAATTTTTCTAATTTTTAACTCTATAAATTAAAGGAATGTGTTTCATTTGACGAGTTTCATCTGTGGAAACATGTTTGCAGAAGACATTCGAGGTTAGGATTAATTGAAAGTACATAAATCAAATGGATTAAGACCCCAAAGGGCATTGAAGGAAAATTAGAAAATCAGCTATTTTTGCTTGGGTTGATTCCTCTCCTGACTAACTCTTGGAGATGATAAGAACATCAATTAAATGGGTAGCCATGAAAGTATCTAAGGGAGAAAGGAACACAGAAGTTCAATGTACCATAACTTTATTTTTATTTATTTAGTTTTTTGAGAGAGAGTCTGGCTCTGTCGCCCAGATGGAGTGCAGTGGCGTCATCTTAACTCACTGCAACCTCTGCCTCCTGGGTTCAAGTGATTCTCCTGTCTCAGCCTCCCGAGTAGCTAGGATTACAGGTGTGTGACACCACGCCCAGCTAATTTATTGTGTGTTTTCATGGCCAGGCTGTATTTTCATGGCCAGGCTGGTCCTGAACTCCTGACCTCAGGTAATCTGCCTGACTCAGCCTCCCAAAGTGCTGGAATTACAGGCGTGAGCCACTGCTTCCGGCTTTTTTTTTTTATGACGGAGTCTCGCTGTGTCACCCAGGCTGGAGTGCAAGGTCTCGCCTCACTGCAACCTCCGCCTCCCAGGTTCAAGCAATTCTCTGCCTCAGCCTCCCGAGTAGCCGGGATTACAGGCGCCTGCCACCATGGTTGGCTAATTTTTATACTTTTAGTAGAGACGGGATTTCACCATCTTGGCGAGGCTGGTCTTGAACTCCTGACCTCGTGATCCACCCGCCTAGGCCTCCCAAAGAGCTGGGATTATAGGCGTGAGCCACCGCGCCCAGCCTTTTTTTTTTTTTTAATTGTTTGATGTTGAGATGGAGAAACAGGAGGAGGTGGAAGAGATCTTAATATACATATGGAAAAATAAAAAATGGAATAACCAGGAAAATTCTGAAAAAGAAGAGTAATGAGAGAAAATTAGCTCTATCTGCTATTAAAGTCACGTTACAACATCTCAGTTAATTAGTCTCCCAAAGGGGAGACTAATGTAAATGCATGTTTAATAAACTGCACCCCCAGTGGATGCCTGAAACCACAGATAGTACTGAACCGTATATACACTGTTTTTTTCTATATACACATGGCAATGATGAATTTAATTTATAAATCAGGCACTGTAAGAGATTAGCAATAACTGATAATAAAACAACAATTATAACAATATACTGTAATAAAAATGATTTGAGTCTGTGAACGGTGGTTCACGCCTGTAATCTAAGCACTTTGGCAGGATGAGGTGGGCGGATAACCTGAGGTCAGGAGTTCGAGACCAGCCTGGCCAACTTAGTGAAACCCCGTCTCTACTAAAAATACAAAAATTAGCCGGGCATGGTGGCAGGCCCCTGTAATCTCAGCTACTCGGGAGGCGGAGGCAGGAGAATCGCTTGAACCCGTGAGGCGGAGGTTGCAGTGAGCCGAGAACGTGCCACAGCACTCCAGCCTGGGTGACAGAGGGAAACTCCGTCTCATAAATAAATAAATAAATATAAATATAAATTATATGACTGTGATCTCTCTCAAAATAGCTTACCGTTTTACTTGTGATGATGTGAGATGACAGAATGCCAGTAATGAGATAAAGTGAGGTGAATGGAGTAGGCATTGTGAAGTAGCATTAGGCTTGATAAGATACTACAGATTTAGGTATTAGTTGAACACTTGCCATTTGTCACATAATCATCTCAGCATTGAGGATAGCACACAACACAATGTTTAAAACAATACAATTCTACCTTAAGAATTGTGGGAATGACTAAAGGAACAAAATAGAAACCTGAGAAACCTAAGACAGTCCAACTGTCCATGAAATTATAGCGTATTAGCCTATGACAAAACAGCCAAAATTGATAGGAGCGTGGAGGGTGGCACGGGAGGAAGAAGGGGGAAGCAGAAATGAAAGTTCATAAATGGTCTTGGGAAAAATATGTCCATATGTTAAACCTTACACCAAAATAGAGGGTTCACCATGTTAAACCGTGTTGTAATGTAAAATTAACAACACAAAATTACTTAAACCATGGGAGAATGTTTTCTCCTTCTTCCCTGCCTCTGTCTTCCTGTCTCTCTGCTTGCCTCCCTCCCCTTTCTCTTTCTTGGGATGAATCCGTGGTCACTATCACTAACAAATCAACTCACTATATTAATCATTGTGGAGATGGTAGAATAATTGAGCAGCTTATCTCCAGAAGCCCCAGTCCCCATAATTTAGGTCTCACCAAAATGTGCCCACCAGATTTTAAAAGAAGCGAATATAAGACGCTAGGCTTTCTGTATTCAGAAGCACCATGGATGTCAAACAGAGGGAACCATTAACGAAGGCCTTTATTAGAAATGTCTCCCATTTATCCATACACTCTTCATAGTTAATAGTACAAATACTGTTTTCTGCATAGAAACATTTGGACTGCCAAACAAAATACGTTTAAAGGAACTTCGATTTTTAAATGTTGCTGTCTGTCTAAACAGGATAAGCAACCGTAGTCATGCGAGGACAAAATGGCTGGCTAAAAGTTGTGCTTTCGATACGCTCAAAATCGATACGCTCAAACCTGTCAGTTTAGCGGAAGGCTACATGTTATGTGGCACAAAAAACTCCCTAGGTCCACGATTGCCTTGGGTGGAGGAAGGGCTATTGCCGCTGTTGTGGCTGTTTTTTAAATGCATTCCTTCGTTGCCACAGGAATGAGAAATTAACAGCAGAGGAATGTAGGACAAAGGTACCTGCACGCACTCTCCTCCCAGGGCTGGATGTTGCCACTACCTCCAGGAGACATCAACTTGACTACCAACAACATGGAAAGCGTCCGAAATCCCAGACATTAATATAAAGAGAAAAGAGGCAAAACTTTTAAGTCACAGTAAAGCAAAAAACACAGAATAAGCAACGTCTTCCACCATCCAATTAAATACAGAATGAAAGTCATGTACTAGAAGAACGGACCAACCCGGGAGCAGGGCGGGACTTTTGAAAATTTTTTAGTCCAATCCGGACATCCCTTTAGACTAAGAAACTGGCTCTTGTTTTGCGGTCTTTTCTGCCGTTCACAGGCCTGGGGCGGGACTGCCATCCCAAAACCATCCGCCAGCGAGAAAAGCCTCCGGTCAGGGACCTAGAAGCCGCAATAAAGGTTTAAATGCTGTAACCTCACCACGGCCACTCTCCAACCCCGTCACCCAATTCGTCTGATACCTCAGTAACTCCCATACGACTAACCTTAAGTAACAGGGCAGAACAAGAAAAGGCAGATAGTAAAGAAATTATCCAGCTCTTTTATTGAGATCAGTGGTGGCTCTGAAAAGAGCCTTTTGGGTTTTAGAAGTAGGCGTTCGCCTATTTCTTCTTGGGCGCCGCCTTCTTAGGCTTGACAACCTTGGGCTTAGCGGCCTTGGGCTTCACAGCCTTAGCAGCACTTTTGGCAGCTTTCTTGGGCTTCGCAACCTTGGCCTTCTTTGGGCTCTTAGCCACTTTCTTGGTTACAGTGGCCGCGGCCGGCTTCTTCGCTTTCTTCGGTGTTTTCTTAGCGCTCTTCTTCGGAGTTGCGCCGCCAGCCGCCTTCTTGGGCTTCTTGGCTGCCCCAACTGGCTTCTTAGGTTTGGTTCCGCCCGCCTTTTTAACCTTGGGCTTGGCTTCCCCGGAGGCTGCCTTCTTGTTGAGTTTAAAGGAGCCAGAAGCACCGGTGCCTTTCGTTTGCACCAGAGTGCCCTTGCTCACCAGGCTCTTGAGACCAAGTTTGATACGGCTGTTGTTTTTCTCCACATCATAGCCGGCGGCAGCCAACGCTTTTTTCAGAGCAGCCAGAGAAACTCCGCTACGCTCTTTAGAGGCGGCCACAGCCTTGGTGATGAGCTCTGACACCGGGGGACCAGACGCCTTACGAGGCGTACCCCCAGCCTTTTTGGCCGCCTTCTTCTTTACAGGGGCCTTCTCCGCAGGAGGCGCGGCAGCGGGAGCGGCAGGAGCAGTCTCGGACATGTTGAGAATCAAAAACTCGGGTACAAGTGGCAAAGCGCCGATGAAGCAGCGCCTGGGCAGGGCCGCTGTATATATAGAGCGCAGGCGCGCTCTGATTGGTGCTCTGGTCGCCCGCCTGGCTGGCAGGCTCTGAGCCGCTGCGCTGCTCCCAAGTTGTGTTTGTTCCACCTCACAAAAGGGGAAAAATATTAAAATTCCCCGCACCAAATCACTTGGGTTTGGTCAGGAAAGGATCTCAGAAGCCTCGGGCTTCATGCTCTTCATTTATTTTTTCCACAAACACAAAAACAACGCGTCCAGGCGTCCCCAATTCCCCCAACTCCGAAGGAAGTCTGGGGCAGTCAGAGACCACTTTCTGTTTTTCTTATAAATTACCTGTTCGCTCCTTTGCCCCTGAAGGTTCTTTTTCCCAGGGGTGGTTGGGCACATGCTTCCCTTATTTTTGAAGAAAAAAGCGAAATGGTTTCCACCTAAATTTTCATGATAATTCTGTTTCTTCACAAGGGAAGTAACACAGGTCCTCTGTGAATTCTTCGTGCAGTCGCACAGGAACTGTGGACTGGGACAAGGATTCCACGGCCAGTCCAAAGCAATTAGGGCGGGATGGGAGGGGGTTCATGAGCCTTGCTAGGGTCCGGGGTGGTGGGGGGCTACAGACTTAAATCTTTGATTTGAAGACATTGAAACTATCAAATCCCTCTTTTCATAGATGGGGGTGGGGCATCCTTTTCACTTCTCTACAGGCGAGAAATTGGGCTCTTTTTAAAGAGCTCTGAGGTCCCCCTCTGAGTTGTGTAAGGCAGGAGGTCTGGCCCTCAAGATAGAGATCATAAAGGAACAAGGGAGAGCCCTTAAGCCTGCAAAAAAGCCAATAGATTTGGCAGTTAGAGGCACTGAGATAATATGTTTTCAAAGAAAACAAGCATTTTTTATTTATTTATTTTTGTACGCTGCAATATAGAAATGAATTTCAGCCCATGAAAATTGTAGGTTACTTTCAGTAACCATACCTTACGCAAGTTACCATATAGGACAATCTCCAGTTGGGAACTCAAATATATCTTTTGAGTTGCAAATAAAGCAACTGACTTTAATAAAACACACTCTTGACTTTTAAGATGAACAATGTATTTGAAATTTATTTTTTTAAATAGCAAAATTTAACACAGAAAGACAAGAAAAGTACCAGAACATGTAATTTATTATAAGATCTGTTGTTGATGAGCTGAAAAATCACCTCTTCTCATCCCCTCTGAAACTATTCTGTTCTAAAGTTTGCTACTTTAAGGTTCACTACTTCTTATTTTACTCTCCGACCCCAAGTAATTGCTATTTTTTTCTTGAGATTAAAGGCAAAGTAAATTGTCTGCCCATATATTTGATATAATTATAGATTCATATTTAGGGACAAAGGTAATATTACAACTCCCCAACAATTTCTGCTCAAATATATGTTTTCATGAAAATATGTGTTAAAGAGAACAGCCTTAGATTGTGGGAAAGTCAAAAGGGAACCTACAAATAAGAGTTCAATGACAAATGAAAAGTGAAACATCTTTTAGACTAAGGGTGACCCCATTGTTTTATTAAATAACATTTGTCCAACATTTGTAAACATTGTCTGCTTGTGTGCTTATGTCCTCTGGGAATTAACAGTCTAATGAGATTAGTGATGGATGAATTAGCAGTGGTGGAAAAACACTTAGACCGGCTATTCCTCAGAGTGACAGGGTATAAGAATTATACAAAATTATGGAAAGTGTATAAACAATTGAAGCACCTGCATCATACTAATATATTGTAGTAAAAGAAATAATATAAGGCTGGGCCCCGTGGCCCACGCCTGTAATCCTAGCACTTTGGGAGACTCGGGGGCGGATCACCTGAGGCCAGGAGTTTGAGATCAGCCTAGCCGACATGGTGAAACACCATCTCTACTAAAAGTACAAAAATTAGCTGGGGGTGGTGGCACTCAGGAGGCTGAGGCAAGGGAATCGCTTGAACCCGGGAAGCAGAGGTTGCAATGAGCCGAAATGACGCCACTGCACTCCAGCCTGTGCAACAGGGTGAGACTCAGTCGAAAAAAAAAGAAAGAAAGGAACAATATAAGAACATGTCACTTAGGCCAGGCTTGGTGGCTCACGCCTGTAATCCTAGCACTTTGGGAGGCTGAGGCGGGCAGATCGCCTGAGGTCAGGAGTTCGAGACCAGCCTGGCCAGCATGGTGAAACCCCATCTCTACTAAAAAAAATACAAAAATTAGCCTGGCGTGGTGGCAGGCAACTCTAATCCCAGCTACTCAGGAAACTGAGGCAGGAGAATCATTTGAACCCGGGAGGTGGAGGTTGCAGTGAGCCGAGATTGCCTCGTTGCACTCCAGAAGCCGAGATTGCCTCATTGCACTCCAGAAGCCGAGATTGCCTCATTGCACTCCAGCCTGGGCAACAGAGCAAGACTCCATGTCAAAAAAAAAAAAATAAAATAAACATTTCACTTAGATCTTATTCTATGTGCAATGAACCCCCTTCTCATTTAAAACTCAGCTAAGTATATCCATCATGAAAATAGCTATGAAACGTCTTGATTACCAGGTAACTGGACCTTCTTTCACTATAAATTGGTGTCCTGGTTTATAAATCGACATGTAAATTTAATCGCTGTGATTCAGTTCTCTAATATGATTTTTCTAGTCGACTCAATCTAATCACATCTCTTTATATGCAAATCTCAAGTCCAGACCTCAAGCCATTAGGACATCCAGCCACCCAGAATCTTGTCCCCAACCTCCTGGCAACATGGTGGAGGCCAGAAGACAGAGAAACATGTAACCAACCCTTTTCTAGATCCTTTATAAAGTGTGTTGAAAAAGTTATGCAAAACTTAAAAGCAACGCAAAAATATTTCTCCATATCCTTCCAAGCTATATTAGAGAATTATCTAAAAAGCCTACTTATGGGGTACCTGATGATGTAAGGCAATACTAGACAGTAAAATAGAATGTGAATCACATAAATACTTTCCAGATTTCTAGTGGTCACATTGAAAGAATGAAAAGAAACAAGTAAAATTAATTTTAAGATATTTTATTTAACTTAATATATCTAAACTATTATCACTTCAACATATAATAAATAAGCTAAAAAAAAAGACAGTTGACATTCTTTTTTAAATGATAAATCTTCAGAACCTGGTGTGTATTTTACACTTTTAGAACATTTTAAATCAGTCTAGCTATAGTCCAAATGGTCAATGATCACGTGTAGCTAGTGGTACCTTATTGGACAACACTGTCCTACGTGAAAGTAACTCTGACTTAATGTTTACATTTTATTGGGTCCAGACTATCTAAAAGTAAACATTCACTTGTAGAAGTTTAATAAATTAATAAGGATTTTGTCATAGAGATGGAAATGAATTCTTAATATAGAAAAAATGACCCTAAAAGTTATTATTGTATTGCCTAATAAGTCATTAAACAACTTTATATCTGATTTTCCCTTCCTCTTCCAGTATACATCCTTTCCCTGACCAAATACATATTTTATTCTCCCGTATCTTCCTTTGACCTAATTGTGATTCTGCTTCCTCCTTCATTAATGAATTAAATCATTCATTGACACATACACAAGCTCACTATATATAGTACATATATGTCAGTCATGTTTTTAACTTCCTGAATGTTGTACTTTGACACTTGGTTGTTCAATTTCGCCTAAGAGCTCTGAATCAGAACCTTTAGAAGCCATTCTGAAAAACTGGAAGATACAAAGCTTTTGACTATCAACTCCATAGCAACCTGATATCTGGTTGGTGTTCCATGGAAACTGTATTTCTCAAATTTTGAAATAAGATTGAACAAGCCTGTGAGCAACAACAAAAAAAAAGTCTATTAGAATGACCTCTGGCCGGGCGGGGTGGCTCACGCCTGTAATCCCAGCACTTTAGGAGGCTGAGGTGGGCAGATCATGAGGTCAGGAGTTTAAGACCAGCCTGACCAACATGGTGAAATTCCGTCTCTTCTAAAAATACAAAAATTAGCTCGGCATGGTGGCGTGCATCTGTAATCCCAGCTACTTGGAAGGCTGAGGCAGGAGAATCACTTGAACCCAGGAGGCGGACGTTGCAGTGAGCTGAGATTGCGCCACTGCACTCCAGCCTGGGTGACAGAGCGAGACTCTATTTCAAAAAAAAAAGAATGACCTCCAAGGGAAAGTTCAGATTAAGGATGTGGTCGTCCCACCCAAAACTGATGTCCTCAAGAAAGCCACAAACAAATTGAGGACACAGTTAAAATATTGTAATGCAATATATTGTGTATTCTTTTATTTACACACACATCATAAATATTATAGGTTGACTAGTTTTGTTTCATGCCACACTCTTCAGGGTCTGGAAACCCTGGTAGAAAAGTTAAAAATGCAGAGCAAAATGTCAAGTCCAAACAGCAGTAATGGGGCTAGAGAGAGACTCAAACAGCCAAGATATATTCAAAGGATAGTGAGAGGAGTTGTTAGGACAGGTGTAAGGAATGAGGGTGACAGCTGGTTTTTCTTTCACTTTTTCCTTCTACTATGCCAATTAGAGTTCTTTGTTTTTGATAGAGACAGGGGTCTCACTATGTTGCTCAGGCTGGTCTCAAACTCTTGGCACCAAGTGATCCTCCTGCCTCAGCCTCCCAAAGTTTTGAGATTATAGGTGTGAACCACCAAGCCCAGCCTTAGAGTAGGGTTCTGTCATCTTTTGGATGTAGCTAACCTAATATTACTAAATCCTGTATAGGCCAGAACTTTGAATGATTTAAAGCTGTTTTTTCCTGACTCACCAATTAATGAAGCTAATAATAACAGCCACCCCACTGGCAGTGCCTGCCTCAAAGAGTAAGTGTTAGTGTTGCTATCTGCTTGAGACCAACAATACAGGGACTCCAGGATATTTTCAGCCTAAATAAGATTGTAGGGGCTCTTGTCTGTTGCCTGGCTTCAGCCCCATAAACTTTTTTTTAACATATAACCCAGAGCCACAGTTTTGCTCATATTTCAATCTTTGAAGGCAAATGGCCAACAATTAGATTAAACCTGAGGCTAAATATTTCCTCACCTCAAGGGCTGAGACGAAAGTTACTGCATCTGTATTCCCTAACACGCCCTCAAAATGGGTTGCAGAAAACAACAGAAAATATACTAAAGCACACAGTAGGAGCATAATAAATAGTGATTAGCTGGGTGCAGTGGCATGCGCCTGTAGTTCCCGCTACTCTACTCATGAGGCTGAGGCAGGAGGATCACTTTTGCCAAGCAGTTTGAAGTTGCAGAGAGCTATGATCACAACACTTCACTCTAACCTGGGCAACAGAGCAAGACTCTGTCCAGAAAAATAAATACATAAATATAAAATTTAAAAATATAAATAAATACATAGAGAGTATTACAAAAGGAACAATATATTGCAAAATATATTTACCTAACATTTTGAAATTGCCATTATAATTGTATAAGTGACATAGGAAACTGGGTCATTAACAGCTATCTTATTCTTCAAGCTTCTTTCAAATGATGTCAAAGCATTTCAGAAAGTCAAACCTACCCTCAAAGGATAAGAATTTGTCAATTGTGAGGATATGCACATTTTTACACCTTCTCAATCTGTGTCTATATGAAGGCAGTTATAAAGCACAAGATGCAAACGTATATTAGGCAATAGTCTTCATCAGAATAAGTACATAACCTGACACAATGACTATATTGGAAGAAACATGGAAATGCAAATTTCAATAGATTGGTTGACATTATTTTTTAATGTCTAGTTTTTTACTGTGCTGTGTTTTTACACACTTAATGAGCACTTGTTAAGCACAGGACACCAGGAGAAATAATAAAAACTAAGATCAGCCTAGCAGTGTGTCCTCTCAAGAACTTATACCTGGTGGGACAGATACAGACAAATATAACCATCATACAGTGTGAGAAATCGATAGAAAAGACACAGCCACTGAGAGCACAAAAGAATAAAAACATAAAATGTTAATGTGCTGGCTAAACGTTTGCCTTCAAGTATTTACCAGTCTAGCTGGGAAAATAAGACAGAAGACAACAGCCTAAAATAGTGGTTCTTAAACATTTAGATATCAGGACTTCTTTACACTCCTAAAAACTATCAGGCCTCCAAAAAATATTTTGCTAAATATAGGCATTTATCACTTTGGAAAACAAAGCTGAGTATTAATTATTTAATTATTTATATTAATATTTATTTGATAACCTTTAAAATATTATAAAATTAATATTTATTTATAATGCATATATGTGATTATATAGTTCATATGTAGCCATATATTTATCATATATACCATAGATTTATGTTATATATTACATATGTATGAAGAAAAAATGGAAAGTAAACCCAAAAGTTCCCCATTCCCTAACCCATTCAAAACCCTGGAAGTCCCAGGCTAATCTGAAACTTGTAAAACTGCCTGCATGTAGAGAGCACAGCTGAGCTGGTAGTGTGGAAGAGCAGAAAGACAGCAGTTCTGGAGCAAGGAAGCTTTATATTTAATCCCAGTTTCTCCATTCATGAGCTTGGTTACCCTGCCAAGTTCCTTCTCTGTAAAATGGGAATAATACTCCCAGAAATACAGTGAGGATTAAATTAGATAATGTGCATACAGTTCCTGGGATTGGGATCAGCACACAGTAGCCTCTCATTTGAGGCATATTTGCATTAGATCCTTGCTGTATGATATCCTTCTGTTTCTTTCTTTTTTTTTTTTTTCCTTTGGTGACCCTAAGAAAGATGGTACTCTCCTTAACTTGGAGGGCTGGATGCGAAGAGACCAAATCCAACAAGCTGGTTCATTCTTTCTAATTATGTGTGCTTCCCTTAGCTGCCTCTGAAAGGATACAGGCCCTAGGTACTAGCCCCAAGAAGCCTAATGATAAGAGATAGAGCTGGACCACCAGAGAAGAGATGAGTGTGTATGTGTGTGTGTGCAAGCAATTATATGTGTGCATTTAGGAGTGGTAGGTGTGTAAACAGTCTAGAACACTCATTCTCACTGTGATGTGAGGATGTATCCCCACATCACTGTTCTGGGAGCTCACTCCTTGTCCATCATCCAAGCTTATGATGGACAATTCTTTCCCAAGTGGGAAAGAATTCTGATGACACTCACATAACTACCCAGTCCCAACTTTCTGTATCCAAGGTGTGTGCATACCTTTGATAGCAGGCAGGTGTGCCTAGCCAATATATTAGGAGCATGGTATTCCAGCACTCTGCACTTTTTTACTATAGAATTCATCTCAACCTGCTTACATTACATGAAAGTTTTGATTGATATCAAATTTTTATTATGTTTGCTTATCAAAGGATTTGTAATTATGCTTCAGTTGATACATAGATTGTTTATATTTTTCATGGTTACTTGAAGCACTTATATTTTCCTCATACTTTTACAAAGTAATCAAGGAAAAATACAGAGGCAGCTTAGTATATTAGTCAAAAGAATAATTAGACTGTCTTGGAACCTGGAATGTCTGAGTTCAAATTCAATTTTGCCGTTTTACCAGCTGTGTGACTTTGGGTGAGTTAATAAACCTTTTCGTGTCTCAGTGTTCTCACATGTAAAGAGACAATAATAAGCCTACCTGTTTCATGGGTCATTATGAGGATTAAGGAGTTAACATTTAAATAGTTCTTAGAACAACCTCTGACATATTTTAAGTACAAAAATATATACATATATTAAATAATAACTTTTCTAAAACATCCTACCTACAATCTTGTGTGCAAATTGGTGGCTCAATTCTGCAACTGTTGTTGGTGGTGTTGTTGTTAAGCTTTTGTTTGTCATGACTGTTATCAGTAATATTAATACAGACAGTTAACTGAACCCTTCCTCTGCACCAGGCATTATATGGACTATTTTCATTCTGACTCCCTGCATTCTATGAGACAACCACCATTGTAATCATTCTCACGTTGCCAATAAGGAAATGGAGAATGAGAATTCAGACTTCTCCAAGAAGTGCTGCAGACTGATTATAAATCATGCATCCTAAACACACACATATTAAAGTATCAACTAAATCAAACAGAATAAAACTTTTGTTTTTCTATCTACAAAATGCATGAATTAAAATATGCCCCAACTACTTAACTAATATATTTAGTAAGTAGAGGGATGGAAGCGTTTTCACTCCTTCAATACATTCTTCATCAACCTCTCTCACCTTACCCCTCTGTCACAGGCATTTCCTATGTCATGCGGTTTTTCTGATGTACGCTAGGTGGCAGTCAAAACCACGAACTCTTGAAAGAGAGTATATTCCTATTTTTCTGCAGCCTCAACCTCCAGGGCTCAAACGATCCTCCTGCCTCAGCCTCCTGAGTAGCTGGGGCCACAGGTGCGAGCCACCACACCTGGCTAACTTTTACATTTTTGATAGAGACGGGGTCGCCATGTTAGCCAGCCTGGTATCGAATTCCTGACCTCAGGTGATCTGCCCGCCTCAGCCTCCCAAAATGTTGGAATAACAGGAGTGAGCCACAGTACCTGGCCGGTAATTTTTAACTTCTAGCTATACACTTAGTTTTTTGTCCTTTTCAGTGGACAGAAATTATAATGCCTGTTTGACAGGGGATAATTCTGAGGCACTGGGAAGCCATGAGACTGCATGGATTGCACAGGCAGGCAAGAACATGGGAAGGAACAAGTGTCTTAGACACTTGTCTCAGTGGTCTAGAAAAATCATGCTAGCTGATTCATTCACTCCACAAACAACTGATCAACATCTTCAAGAAGCCTAACAATGTACTGAGTTCAGGGGACAAGAAAATAATTCAGACAGGCTCTACCTTCATGGTGGTGTTTGAAGAATAGGGATCTAGAAAACGGTAGGTAATAGTGGCTGTGCAAAAGATATCAGAGATGATATGAAAAGGAGGGACTAGACCATTTTACCCAGGAGTGGAGGTTAAACATAGGGTCTTTAAGGGAAACGTAAAAATATTAATTCTTTTCATTTTTGAAGTAAAATGACCATCGCTTCTCGGCCGTTTGGCTAAGAACAAGTGAAGTAAAATGACTGAGGATGACAGACATAAATACTGCTATACAAACATGGTAGCACTGAAATTGGCTCTTGCCTGACAGGAAGCAAAATTATAAAATTCATTATTTAGATATATCAATAATGATGGTGATCAGGCTGTAATAATAATGTTATTAATCATTATGTATCAATAAGAATACAGGTGTGTGACTTTACAATGTGCCTAAGAGCAACCCAATATTTTGATTGTAAACCACATTCCCTTAAACACACACACACCTCAAACAAGACCCCATAAAGCAGACTGCACTAAAGTGGAGGTTATGTAAAAGTCCAACAGAATAAGAACCCTCCCCCATTGTGTATTAATCTGTGAACTAAAAAAAAATTTCATTAAATTGAAAATATCTAATTGTCAACTAGCAATTTTAAAGAGTTTAGGCAGAAAATGAAATATAAAGCTTTTTTTTAACTTTTAGATTTTTCAAAGCTAGCAGAACTGCTGAAGAATAACAATTCAAAACATAGGTTTGCTTTGGTTTCAATCTCTGTAGCCAAAGGCATTTACAATGTAGGATGTTGTTTGTGCTTTCAGACACTAGATGACGCTCCAAATCAAAATGCCGGTAGTTGGACAGCCCCTGATCAAGCCGCCCGGCAAATCATTAACTGGGTTGACACTGTATTACTCAGCAGATTTCAAAACTCATTCACATACAGAGTCTTTTGGTGGACAAAAATAATTATTACCCACAATTGACAGTGACAGTACTGAGAAGCTGGGAAACTGAAGTAGGACCCTGGAGCAGCCAAGTACAGAGACTGGCTCCCAGGACCTTAGGAGTTAATACTATTCCTAAAGAGAATAAATTGTCAAATAGACAAGAAATTCATGTGGGTTGATGCATTCACTTCCCCAAAACAATTATTAAGCAGTAGAAATGATAACTACGCTGGTAGTGGAAATAGTTTACAGTAAAAGGGAGAAGACATGCAAAAACCAAAAAAAAAAACGGGGCCGGGCGCAGTGGCTCACTCCTGTAATCCCAGCACTTTGGGAGGCTGAGGCGGGCCGATCACGAGGTCAGGAGATCGAGACCATCCTGGTTAACAAAGTGAAACCCCGTATCTACTAAAAATACAAAAATTAGCCGGGCTTGGTGGTGGGTGCCTGTAGTCCCAGCTGCTCAGGAGGCTGAGGCAGGAGAATGGCGTGAATCCGGGAGGCGGAGCTTGCAGTGAGCGGAGATCACACCACTGCACTCCAGCCTGGGCAACAGAGCAAGACTCCGTCTCCAAACAACAACAACAAAAAAACAGGCAGTGATGTTTTATGTGGGTCAGTGTGAAGTAGAGATCAAAGGAGAAAACGGCCAATCTTACCAAATAATGGATGCAGAAATAATCTTCATGGAGAAGCCACTTTAATTATGTCTTAAATGAGAGTAACAAATTAAACATAAGAACCTGTAGGGGCTAAGGGAAAACTTACTCTTTGGCCTCTGAAGAGTCGCTGAAAACCACCGACAAGAGGAAGATTAATAGGATAAAATGCATCCAATTTATTATTATTATTATTATTATTATTATTATTATTATTATTTTTAGACGGAGTCTCACTCTGTCACCAGGCTGGAGTGCAGTGGCGCAATCTCGGCTCACTGCAACCTCCGCCTCCCGAGTTCAAGCAATTCTCCTGCCTCAGCCTCCCCAGTAGCTGGGACTACAGGCATGTGCCACCACGCCCAGCTAACTTTTGTATTTTTAATAGAGACGGGGTTTCACCATTTCGGCTAGGGTGGTCTTGACCTCGTGGTCTGCCCGCCTCAGCTCCCAAAGTGCTGGGATTACAGGCGTGAGCCATTGCACCCGGCTGCATCCAATTTATTAATGTGTATATTAATAAATTATCCAATTTATATCCAATTTATTAATGTGTATTAACATGTACAGGGGAAATTGTCCATTTTTATTTTTTAGATTCAACAAAGTATGGGCCGCCGTGTAGAAATAGGATTGCTAATAAACAGAGTAGGGAAACCCAGCAAGGCCTGTCTGTCTAGATTCTTCTTCGCCTCTCTGTGCAGCATTCCTTCCTTCTGGATCCTCTCTGGAATGCGGTCTGGTGATCTATGATCAAATAAGGTAGTTCAGATAATTTCTTTATGGCCAGTTTTTACACAGAAAAACAGAGGGAAAGTTAGAGTAATATTTTTAGGTTTTATGGCTGGGCTCTGGGGAAAAGGTGTTTTGATTTCTATGACCTAACTTGAGGAAGAGGAATTCTCATTTCTATGGCTAGACTCCGGGGAGAATGGGACTCAGAGACAGGAGGGCAGGAGAAGATCAGAGAAAAACTTTGGCTTCTGCGGTCTTTATTTTGGGGTATTGTTTTCTGAGTTCCAACAAACCCCAAGGACCTACAAAGACTGCATACTTTTTTTTTCCTTTTTATTAATTGTGAGATAACCACAGCATAGGCAATTTGTTTTTTGTTTTTGTTTTTGAGACAGGATTTTGCATTGTTGCCCAGGCTGGAGTGCAGTGGCATAATCATAGCTCACTGCGTCCCCAAACTTCTAGGCTCAAGAGATCCTCCCAGCTTAGCCACAACTGAGAGGTGCTACTAGCATTTAGTGAGTAGAGAACAGATATGACTAGAGGTTCATTAAGTGTTTTGAGCCTTTACAGCTTCAAAATTGTCTTTGCTAACCCCTAACTTTTGGATGCTACAGAGGGCCCCTGGAGTATCCAAAGGAGAGGTAAACAGGATCATTTGACACGTTTAGTTATATAGGATTGTTGAAATAAGGTGATATTTGATCTTCAGGTCATATTTCAGTGAAAACTGTGAATGTGTGTTCCAAAATTATAGGGGATTTCTAGAGTTCTGATATCTGAGTTTGTGTCATCAGTTATAATTAGAGTTATTGTGTTAGGCTATTGTAAATCACAGAGGTGACTAAATTTCTTTGTCAATTGTGTTTTTGACTGTGACTACCCTAGGACATTTTAACATTCATAGACAAATGTTGTCTTGTTTTGAAACTCTGCAAAGAATGGATTATAACCCTCAATTGCAGGTTTCTGATAACTTTGAAGATTGTGAACAGGAGTTAACTAGGTGAGCTGAACTATTGGAAAACTAATCTTCTTGACTCTTGCCTCTGTACCTAATTCTTCCTGGATGCAGGACAAGAACTCAGGCAAAGGTGCTGCAGCATAAAGTCTGGCCAGAGAAACTGACACTCCAGAGGTTTTGTAACAATATTTTATGTTAAATAATTTATACGTATTTCCTATTCTAAGCATTTCAAGTGATTGTAAAAACTCAACTCATGAAAACTTATAGCTGAGATGATGTATCCTGTGATTTTTAACTCAACTTTATACCAATCTAAGTTGATTAGCATTCTTACAAAGTTTAAGAAGTTAAGATTTGCCATATTAAGTATTGTCTTAAGATTTTTAAGAATTGAAAAATTTGGAGCAGTTTTGTTCATTAGTCAATTGGATACTTTAAAAGTCCAGTATGTCAGATTTAAAAATTGCAATTTATAAGTTTTCTTCTTAAAGTTCGTCAAATTGCAAAAGCCTTGCCAAAAATGAATGTTAAAAATTTGGTAGATTATTTGTTCTATGGGTTCTATGGGAAAAAATTGGTAGATTAATAAATGCCAATAGTAAGCATTGTAAATTGAATTTAAAAGTTTAAGGAAGAGCTATTAATTTAATTTTGTCATAATAATGAATTGAATGTTGTTTTTTAAGTACCATAGTACTTGCTGAATGATCTTTCTGTATGGAAAAGGACATAAAAATGCACATTGGTAACATCAACTCTATTTCAGCGGCGGGATTGTGGGGTGAGCTTATCTCCAGGTTTGGGAAGGATGTGTTGTATCATCTGCCTCTTGTGTGTGTACTACCTGCCATTGCTGCTTGGCCACCAGCATCCATCTTGGTGAGTCCTGTCTCCCTCTAAAAGACTCGAGCTGTGCTGTTCAATCCAGTAGCCCCTAGCTACATGTAGCTATTGTAATGAATTAAAATTAAGTAAAATTAAACATTCTGCTCCTCAGACACCAGTCACATTTCAAGTGCACAATAGTCACAAGTGGCCAGTAGCTAGTTTTGAACAGTGTGGAAAGATTTCTGTCATCACAGAGCATTCTATTATCACGTTGTAAAGCATTCTCTAGCTCTTGCAAACTTGTCAGATCCCTTAAAAGTTCTTAAAAATAATTCATCATTCGAATTTTGCTCAGACTAATTTTTAGGGAAGTCTTTTTCTGGAGGCGTGGACTTGTGATCTCCATAATTCATCCCTTCTACTATGTTAGTTACCTTGAGCTGCTGTAATAAAATACTATAGACTTAGTCGCTAAAAAAAAAATAACTTTCTCACAGTTCTGGAAGCTCAGAAGTCCAAGATCCAGGTGCTGGCCAATTCAGTTTCTAGGTGAACGCTCTCTTCCTGACTTGTTGGTGGCAGCAGCATTCTCACTATGTGCTCATGTGGTGTCCTTTTTGTGCTTGTAGGGCTTAGGCAGTGGAGAGAAGGAGGAGAGAAAAAGAGGTCTCACTGTTTTCTCCTTTTCCCGAGACAGGTTCTCGTGTAGCCCAGGCTGGACAGCAATGGCTCACTGCAGCCTCCTCCTGGGCTCAAGCAATCCTCCCACCTCAGCCTCCAGAGTAGCTGGAGCCTCAGATGTGTACCACCACACCCAGTTCATTTTTTAAATTTTTAGAAGTTGGGGGTCTCACTATTTTGTCCAAGCTGGTCTTGAACTCCTGGGCTAAAGCGAGCCTCCTGCTTCAGCCTCTCATAGTGTTGGAATTACAGGCATCAGCTGCAGCACCTGGCTCTATTGTCTTTTTTTTTTTTTTTTTTGAGATGGAGTCTCTATCACCCAGGCTAGAGTACAGTGGTGTGATCTCACTGCAACTTCCACCTCCTGGTTTCAAGGGATTCTCCTGCCTCAGCCTCCCAGGTAGCTGGGAGTACAAGCGTGCACCACCACACCTGGCCAATTTTTGTATTTTTAGTAGACATGGGGTTTTACCATGTTGGCCAGGCTGGTCTCAAACTCCCAACCTCAGGTGATCCATCCACCTCAGCCTCCCAAAGTGCTGGGATTACAGGCATGAGCCACTGCACCTGGCCTGTTGTCTCTTTTAATAAGGGCATGAATTTCATCATGAGAGACACATCCTGATGAGTTTGTCTAAATATAATGACTTCCCAAACGCCCCAGCTCCAAGTACCATCACACTGGGGGTTAGGGTTTCAACATATGAATTTTGCGACGGGGAGTCAATTCAGTCCATAGTACCTACTGTATTAGTTTTCTGGGGCTGCAGTAACAAAGTACCTCAAACTCGTTGGCTTAACAACAGATATTTATCGTCACACAGTCCTGGAAGCTGGAAGTCTGAAATCAAAGTATCATCAGGTTTGATTCCTTCTGAAGGCAATGAGGGATAATCTGTTCCAGGTTTCTCTCCCAGCTTCTGGTATCCCCAGACTCATTGCTTGACTTGAATGGTGATTCTCCCTGTGTCTACTCACCACATTTTCTCTCTATAGGTGTCAGTCTCTGTGTATGACATTTCTCCTTTTTATAAGGACACCCTTTATGTTGGGTTAGAGCCCACTCTTATCTTAACTGATGAAGTGCAAAGACCCTATTTCCAAATAAGGCCACATTCACAGGTCCTGATACAGGAGGGGGAAAGTGCTGGGAAGGGAAGGGCATGGTCCCTTTAAATGATATGGAAGTGGGGAAGGGAAGGGCGTGGTCCCCGGCTAGGGCTCCACCCCCAGGCCTGTGCCCAGGGACCACGGTGAGGACAGGCATTTTTGTTTTCCTGCCCAAATGTTGCATTTCCCAAGACCTCCCCTGGCCTGCCACAAGACACGAATAGCTGGACGTCCAGGGGAGCACACTGGCAGAAGAGCACACAACAAACGTTTGCCTGGCAAAATGAGGCGGAATTTGACTGGGGTGGTTGGAGGAGAGCCTGGGCCACTGAGTGGCTGACTCCAAGGGAAAACTTTCCCACTCCATCCACTTTTGGCTTTGCCCAACTGCTGAGAGCTACCTCCACTTAATAAAACCTTGCACTCTTTCTCTAAGCCCAGGTGTGGTCTGATTTATTCCGGTACACCAAGGCAAGAACCTGGGATACAGAAAGCCTTCTTCTGTCCTTGGGACAAGGTAGACGGTCTAATTGAGTTGGTTAACACCAGCTGCCTATAAATGGCAAAACTAAAAGAGCACCCTGTAACACACACCCACTGTGGCTTCAGGAGCTGTAAACATTCAACCCTAGACACTGTGGTGGGGTCATGGGGTTGGAGACCCACAACCTGCCCGTCTTAATGTTCCCCTAGAGGTTTGAGCAGCCAGGCACTGAAGAAATTAGCCACACTCCTATCACATGCCATGCGAGCGGGACAAGGGAACTTTTCCCATTTCAGTACTGGTGGTTAGGACTTCAACAACTTTATTTTTGTGGGAATGCATACTTCAACCCATATTATGAGGGTTCCTAGAATGTGGACTGCTGAGGCTGAAGCACTACCTAAGTGCCTGAGGCCAGCCTGCAGTTGGTTTCTGGCTCTCATGAGTTAGCTAACATCTCGGGAGAGAGGAAGACAGGCCTAGGAAGAGCAGAGCCCACGATTCATTCTTCATTCCACCTCTGCTCTTCAGAATCTCCTTCAGTCTATGTGATGAGCCATCAGACCTCTTGGTGGGAAATGGTGCTGCCGTGCCTAGCCCTTTTCGATTGTGCTACCATGCTGAGATTACTGAGGGACCAGGAAGGCCTGGACTCAGACCATATAGGGTGCCACCCTAGTGGGAATGGAACCTGTCAGTGCTGGGTGAATGTGACCGTCCCATGAGGAGAAGACAGATACTCTTGCCAAGCTGAGCATGGAGACCTGATGGGACACTCATTATCATGAGGGGATGAAGATCCAGGCTTCCAAAGTTGGTACCACAGGGTGGCTATGGCATGAACAGGGGGTTAGGATGAAGGACCCAGAATCTAACATGCTGGAGAGGTAGGGAAAGGAGTCAGAAATTCAGTCTTGTTGAACCCTAAATATTGCATCTCTCTCTCTCTTTATTTTTTTTTTCTGGAGATGGGGGTCTGGCTCTATCATCCAGGCTGGGGTGTAGTGGCATGATCTCTGCTCACTGCAGTCTCCGCCTTCTGGGTTCAAGAGATCCTCCCACCTCAGCTTCCTGAGTAGCTGGGACTACAGGTGCGCGCCACCACTCCCAGCTCATTTTTGTACGTTTTTGTAGAGACACGGTCTCACCATGTTGTCCAGACTGGTCTCGATCTCCTGAGCTTAAGCGATCTGTCGCCTCGGCCTCCCAAGAAGGATTGGGATTACAGGGCCTGAGCCACTGTGACCAGCCAACATTGCATCTAATTTTAGGGTATTCATCTGACTTTCCTGAACACTGCTTCTTGGGTGCTCATTTTAGCAGGCATTTGGCCATAGGTAGATTTAAAGTTTTGGTGGGTTTTGTTGTTGTTGTTGAGACAAAGTGTCACTCTGTTGCCCAGGCTGGAGTGCAGTGGCAAGATCTCAGCTAACTTCAACCTCCATCACTGTGCTTCAAGTGAGTCTCCTGCCTCAGGCTCCCGAGTAGCTGGGATGACAGGTGTGTGCCACCATGCCCTGCTAATTTTTTATATTTTTAGTAGAGATGGGGTTTCGCCATGTTGGCCAGGCTGGTCTGGAACTTCTGACCTCAGATGATCTGCCCGCCTCAGCCTCCCAAAGTGCTGGGATTACAGGTGTGAGCCACAACCCCTGGCCAACGTTTTCTGAAAAAGCTATTCTAATCAGGTAGGAAAGATGGGAAGCGGGGTGGCGGGGTGTACTTTTTTCTGCATATTCAGTTGCAGGGTCCCAGACCAGGGAACAATCTTCAATCTCTTACCTTCAATCTCCCTTCATGGAAGTCAGTGCTCAGCCTGGCCATTTACTGTGTGCAGTAGGTGTGATGTAGAAAGCCTCTAAACCTCCATGCCTACCTGCCAGGAACAATATACACAAAGGTGTGTGTGTGTGTGTGTGTGTGTGTGTATCTTACGGATTCTTCCACGTAACTATGTGGACATCTAATCCATTGCTTCCAACTCTATATTGTGCAGTGACTTCATTTTACCTCCACCTCTCTCAGTGAAGGATATCAGTCAGCCCACACTTTCCTGTCACCTTTATGGGATATGTTTGAGATGATATTTGGAAAATATTCCCAGGGAGTGGGCACTCCCATCAGCAGTGTATGAGGATTCCTGAGTCTCCATATCCACACCAATACTGAGCATTATTCAGCTCTCTAATTTGTTAATGCTCTCTTTTAAATGCAAAAGGACACATCACTTTACCTTTCTTTCATTACCAAGTGCTTTGGATTTTCCTGTATCTAAATTTCTTGTTCATTTATTTCATATATATATATATATATATATATATATATATATATATATATAATTTTTTTTTTTTTTGAGACAGAGTCTCACACTGTCACCCAGGCTGGAGTGCAATGGTGTGATCTCAGCTCACTGCAACCTCTGCCTCCTGAGTTTAAGTGATTCTCCTGCCTCAGCCTCCCAAGTAGCTGGGATTATAGGCACCCACCACCACGCCCGGCTAATTTTTTGTATTTTTTGTAGAGATGGGGTTTCACAATGTTGGCCAGCCTGGTCTCAAACTCCTGATCGGCCCGCCCTGGCCTCCCAAAGCGCTGGGATTACTGGCATGAGCCACCGCGCCCGGCCTCATACATTTTTTATGTGGAGTTTCTGTTTTGTTCTTCTTGGCCTTGTGCATTCTAATTACTCATCCTTTCGTCTGATTCAGACATTTAATTCTCTACCATCCTTACAGCAGTGTCTTAACTTTATCCATGGGATCCTTCATTGAACCGGAATTCTTAATTTTGACACAAACAAATTTATCAATTTCTTTTTTGTGTGTGTTTTTTTTTTCTGTGTGTGGTTTTTGTTTTTCACATTTCTGAGTATGACCTAGATTTATCCTTTGATAACTTCTTCTCTCTTCCCCATTTTCCTCCACTGGAGGTCAGCTATATGTGTGTGAGAGGGTTAGGTATATGTGGATATATAGAGAAAGTTTAGGTATACATATGTGGAGAGGTCAGATAAATATGTATATATGGGAGAGATATTGGGTATATATTTTGGGGAGGGGAGGTCAGGTATATGTGGACATATGGGGAGGGGAGACCACAGCTCTCCTGGAGTCACCCTCTTCCTCTTCCCTTCTGGGCAGGTAACGGTGGGGAGTGAGAGGGTGTTCCTCCCTTCTTATTATTAGCCCCTGGGTACTTTAGGGTCTCTAGTGGTTATTTTTCACAGAATTTTAACTGATAACTAATGAACAAATGTTTTCCCCACAGAAATATCTTTACGCCTTTTACAATCATTTTTATTTTCTATGCCATAACTTTATTAATATTTGCCAATTTACTTGGGGTAGGACTTTGAAAATTTTGTTTAAATTAAGGGAGGAGACCACCCCTCATATTGTCTTATGCCCAATTTCTGCCTCCAAAGAAAGAAAAAGTAAAAATTAAAAGGGAGAAATGAAATCCACAGGCAAACAGCCCGGCACCGCACCCTGGGTCTGGTTAAAGATCGACCTTTGACCTAACAGGTTATGTTATCTATAGATTCCAGACATTGTATGGAAAAGCATTGTGAAAATCCCTGTGCTGTTCTGTTCTGTTCTGATTACTGATGCATGCAGCCCCAGTCACGTACCCGCTGCTTGCTCAATCAATCACGACCCTCTCATGCAGACCCCCTTAGAGTTGTAAGCCCTTAAAAGGGACAGGAATTGCTCACTCAGGGAGCTGGTTTTTGGAGACAGAGGTGATTAACGGACGGTCAAGGCAGCCCCTTAGGCGACTTAGGCCT
Source organism: Homo sapiens (assembly GCF_000001405.40). Lineage (NCBI taxonomy): Eukaryota > Metazoa > Chordata > Mammalia > Primates > Hominidae > Homo > Homo sapiens. Next base: position 26,075,457 of record NC_000006.12, read on the forward strand.
GCCCTGTGGAGCATCCCTACGGGGAACTCCAGCCAGTTTGAGCGACACAGATCTGGAGAGCGCTCCCAGGTAGGCAATTGCCCCGGTGGAACGCCTCACCAGAGCAGCACGTGGCAGGCCCTCGTGGAGGATCAACGCAGTGGCTGAACACCGGGAAGGAACTGGCACTTTGTTGTCAGGGCATATTCCAAAAGCATTAAGGCCTTCCTATCAAAAATCCTTAACCCAGTAACCCGCGGATGGCCCAAATGCATTCAATCTGTAGCGGCAACTGCTTTGCTAACAGAAGAAAGTAAAAAAATAACTTTTACAGGAAACCTCATTGTGAGCACACCTCACCGGTTCAGAAGTATCCTAAGGAAAAAAGAAAAAAGAAGATGATTTAACATTAACCACTGAAAATTCTCTTAACCCGGCAGGTTTCCTAACAGGGGATCTAAATCTTAATTACCATACAAAGCTCTGACCAGACCTAGGAGGAACTCCCTTCAGGACAGGAGGATAGATGGTTCCTCCCAGGTAATTAAAAAAAAAAAAAAGCCATCTATACCAATTCTAAGTTAATTTGGACTAAATAAGGTCTTATTAATAGCAAAGGATAATTGAAATCCCAAACTTACAAGGTTTTCAACAAAAGTAAAGTTTGCTAAAAGTTAACAGTGTAACATGTATTATAGTAACTTCTAATCTTGTGGCCTTAGACAGTCTAGTCCACAGACATAAAAGAAGTTCGCTTTGGAAAAGAATGGTTATCATCCTCGGAAAAAAAAAAAAGGAAATAAAGAGGAGGCAGAATTTATATAAAAAAGAATGTTGTATGGAAAATCCTTGTCCTGAGATAAATTAACTAGTTGTTTAAAGAAAGGGATGTTTGCAATAAGTCAGAAAGTTGAGGCATGTCGAAGAATTGTCTGTGAAAGTCATGAAAAAAATGTGTGTTAGAAAAATAAATTTATGTAAGAAATGTTGTATAATTTAAAAGTAATTAGGCCTCCTTCTAAATGTAAAACTATTGAATAAACAGTTTATGTGCAAGGTATGTAAGGAAAGTAAAATATACCTTTGGTAAAAGGATTATGAGGATGCATAAGAATGTGGATTTTTACCTACATTAAAAGGTTACAAAAATTGTTTTGAAGGTTTAAGCAAGTTTTGAAACCTTAATTGTAAAGAAAATTCTGTGTCTAAACATATTGGCTAAAGTTAAGGGGTATCATACAGTTTTTCTGTGAACTGAACATTAAAATAAAAACACAACGGGTTTTTCTTAAAGCACTAACCTGTTCTTTAACAAAAATTATAAAAGGTTAAAGAAAAGTCTATAAAAATCTTACCTTATGGTCAGACATTAAAAATCAAATAAATATGTCTACAGAGTTTTATTAAAACTAAGTTTAACATTAATAACACACCAATATAAAGGTGAAATCTAGCTTATCTGGTATAAACATACAAGAAGCGTTGTCAAATATAAAATGGCATTTGACTTTCTTTGGTCTAAAAACTAATAAAAATAGGTGCTAAAGGAAATTTCTCAGTAAGAAGGCACCAAGGACTATAAAGTCCACTGCTGATGTCCCCACATTTAAAACAAAAGGTCAACTTCTTAAAAGTTATATACTTGGTTTATCTTCCACTTTCCTTTCCCTCAAAACTAAAAGTCTTTTAGCACATGTACCACCCCTAGAATTTTCTGTAAACCAGCACCAGCCTGAAGATCATGTTCTCATCAAAGGGTGGAAAGAAGGAAAACTTGAGCCAGCCTAGGAAGGACCCTACCTTGTGCTGCTAACCACCGAGACTGTTGTTCATACGGTGAAAAAGGGATGGACTCATCACACCCGAGTCAAGAAAGTGCCACCCCCTCCAGAGTCATGGGCCATAGTCCCAGGGGAAAACCCTACCAAACTAAAGCTAAGAAAAATTTAACTCCTTCATCTATTCTATTACTCTTTCTTCTTCCCTCACTCTATTTCTGACCATCTAGTTATTAACATAACCAAGTCAATTTTGCCTCAAACTATTGAATTTAATGCTTGCCTTGTTATACCCTGTGGGGACTTGCCAAGTCGAAGACATCTCTGTACTTCAGAAAAGTACCTCTGTCCCTCCTGACTCTCCTCAGACTGAGCCTTAGTAAACTGAGACCATTTATTCCAGAGAGATTTCAATAAAGACCCCAGTGTCAACGAGGAGTCTTGCCCCCCGATGTAGAGCTTTTATGCCATAGTTGGTCGAATGTTGTGTGGACCACTAAAGAGCAAGGATGGACTGCCCCAACCGGTTTTTGTAATTTCCTAAAATCATACATTCATTTTACTAGAGGGTCATAGAAGTTAAAGACTTAAAACAAACTTTGATAATTAAGCAGGATACCAAGATGCAAATGCCCAGTTGGAATGGATCAAATATTCTGTCCACACATTAAACAAAACCAATTGTTATGCTTGTGCACATGGCAGGCCAGAGGGCCAGATTATCCCCTTTCCACTAAGGTGGTCCTCCTGTTGACCAGGCATGGGCTGCATGGTAACTGTTTTCCAGGATTCTACAGCCTGGAGTAATAAGTCGTGCCAAGCTCTCTCTGCTATATCCCAAAGTCCAGCACCCTGCAGGTCAACCCCTGAGGGCCATCCAGCTTCCATCTCCCAAAACTAAGTTCACTTCTTGTCTCTCATGACAGGGAGGAAACTTAGCATTCCTTGGAGACCTGAAGGGATGCAGTGAGCTTAAGAATTTTCAGGAGCTTCTCAATCAGTCAGCCTTTGTTCATCCCCAAGCGGATGTGTGGTGGTATTGTGGTGGACCTTTACTGGGCACTCTGCCAAATAACTGGAGCGGCACTTGTACTTTAGTCCAATTGGCTATCCCTTTCACCCTAGCATTTCATCAACCAGAGGGAGGAAAAATAAGACATCGTAAAGCAAGAGAAGACCCTTATGTGTCTTTCAACTCTCACATCTATTTAGATGCAATTGGAGTCCCACAGGGAATAGCAGATCAATTTAAATCCCAAAATCAAATAGCTGCAGGATTTGAGTCAATATTTTGGTGGGTGACAGTTAATAAAAATGTAGATTGGATAAACTACATCTATTACAACCAACAGCAATGAGTTTTTCATGAGTTAAAAGAAAAACTCATGTCGGCCCCAGCCCTGGGGCTACCTGACCTGACAAAACCCTTTACACTCTATGTGTCAGAAAGAGAAAAAATGGCGGTTGGAGTTTTGACCCAGACTGTGGGGCCCTGGCCGAGGCTGGGCCTCCAAACAACTAGATGGAGTTTCTAAGGGTTGGCCTCCATGCTTAAGAGCCTTGGCAGCAACAGCCCTGCTAGCACAAGAGGCAGATAAGCTAACTCTTGGACAAAACCTAAACTTAAAGGCCCTCCATGCTGTGGTGACTTTAATAAATACATCATTGGCTAACAAATGCTAGATTAACCAAGTACCAAAGTTTGCTATGTGAAAATCCCTGCATAACCATTGAAATTTGCAACACCCTAAAACCTGCCACCTTGCTCCTGGTATCAGAAAGCCCAGTTGAAAGTGACTGAGTAGAGGTATTGGACTCAGTTAATTCTAGTGGGCCCAACTTCCAAGACCATCCTTGAACATCAGTAGACTGTGAGCTGTACGTGGCAGCTTCGCCAACGCCTGCAAAGTGACTGAAGAAGACAACAAGCCCTGCTCCAGTCACACCCGGAAGCTGACTGGTCCATGCATGGCCGAAACATGAGAAAACTCATCAAGGGACTCATTTTCCTTAAAATTTGGACTTGCACAGTAAAGACTTCAACTAACCTTCCTCAGACTGAGGGCTGTTCCCAGTGTATACATCAAGTCACTGAGGTAGGACAAAAAGTTGCTACAGTCTTATTATTTTATGGTTATTATAAGTGTACAAAGACTCTAAAAATAACTTGTTTGTATAATGCTATTCTATACAAGGTAGGTAGCCCAAGAAATGACCAACCTGATGTGTGTTATGACCCATCTGAGCCTCCCACGACCACAGTTTTTGAAATAAGATTGAGGACTGAGGACTGGTGGGGGTTCATAAACGATACGAGTAAAGTGTTAGCCAAAACAGAAGAAAAAGGAATGCCCAAACAAGTCACCTTGAAATTTGATGCCTGTGCTGTCATTAATAGTAATAAGTTAGAAATAGGATGTGGTTCTGTTCATTAGGAAAGAGGCTATATGGCAGAAAATAAGTACGCTTGTCATGAATTAAGACTGCGTGGAAATAAATGTAGATACTGGTCTTGTGTCATTTAGGCAACTTGGTTAAAAAATAAAAAGAATCCTGTCCACCTTCAGAAAGGGAAAAGTGGCCCTTCCTGTACCAGTGGTCAGTGTAACCCCTTAGAACTAGTAATAACCAACCCCCTTGATTCTCACTGGAAAAAAGGGGATCGTGTAACCTTAGAAATAGTTGGGGCTGGACTGGATCCTTGAGTAAATATGGTGGTTTGAGGAGAAGTTTATAAATGCTCCCCTGAGCCAGTATTTCAAACCTTCTTATGATGAACTGAATGTGCCAGTACTAGAAATTCCAGGAAAAACAAGAAATTTGTTTTTGCAATTAGCTGAGCATGTAGCCCAGTCTCTCAATGTCACTTCATGTTATGTATGTATGTGGAGGAACTGTAATGGGAGATCAATGGCCATGGGAAGCACGAGAATTAGTACCTACAGACCCAGTTCCTGATAAATTCCCAGCTCAAAAGACTCACCCTGATAACTTCTGGGTCCTAAAAGCCTCAATCATTAGACAATACTGTATAGCAAAAGTGGGGAAGGACTTCACCCTTCCTGTGGGAAGACTCAGCTGCCTTGGGCAAAAACTGTATAATAGTACTATAAAAACAGCCACCTAGTGGAGTTCAAACCACACTAAGAAAAATCTATTTAGTAAATTCCCAAAGTTGCAAACTGTGTGGACCCACCCAGAGTCCCACCGGGACTGGACAGCCCCCACTGGATTATACTGGATATGTGGGCATACAGCTTATGCCAAATTACCTGACCAGTGGGCAGGTAGTTGTGTTATTGACACTACTAAACCATCTTTCTTCCTACTGCCCATAAAGACAGGCAAACTCCTGGGCTTCCCTGTATATGCTTCCCGCAAAAAAAAAAAAAAAAAAAAAAAAAAAAAAAAAAAAAGCATAGCTATAGAAAATTGGAAAAATAATGAATGGCCCCCTGAGAGAATCATACAATATTATGGGCCTGCTACTTGGGCACAAGACGGCTTGTGGGGATATGGGACCCCCATTTACATGCTCAACTGAATCATACGGTTACAAGCTGTCTTAGAAATAATTACTAATAAGACCAGCAGAGCCCTGACTACTGTGGCCTGGCAAGAAACTCAGATGCAAAATGCTATCTATCAAAATGGATTGGCTCTCGACTACTTGCTAGCAACTGAAGGAGGGGTCTGTAGGAAATTTAACCTTACTAATTGCTGTCTACACATAGATGATTAAGGGCAAGTAGTTGAAGACATAGTTAGAAATATGACAAAAGTGGCACATGTGCCCATGTAGGTGTGGTATGGATTTGTTTCTGGGGCCATGTTTGAAAAATGGTTCCGAGTGCTAAGAAGATTTAAAACTCTTATAATAGGAGTTATAATATTAATAGAAACCTGCTTACTGCTTCCTTGTTTGCTACCTGTACTTCTCCAAATGATAAAAAGCTTCATCACTACCTTAGCTCACCAAAATGCTTCAGCACAAGTGTACTATATGAATCATTATCAATCTGTCTTTCAAGAAGACATAGGTAGTGAGAATAAAAGTGAGAACTCCCACTAATGAGTGAGATTCTCAAAGGGGGTGAATAAGTGAGGCGACCACCCCTCATATTGTCTTATGCCCAATTTCTGCCTCCAAAGAAAGAAAAAGTAAAAGCTAAAAGGCAGAAATGAAATCCACAGGCAGACAGCCTGGTGTTGCACCCTGGGTCTGGTTAAAGATTGACCCCCGACCTAACCGGTTATGTTATCTATAGATTCCAGACATTGTGTGGAAAAACACTGTGAAAATCCCTGTTCTGTTCTGATTACTGGTGCATGCAGCTGCCAGTCACATACCCCCACTTGCTCAGTCGATCATGACCCTCTCACACAGACCCCCTTAGAGTTGCAAGCCCTTAAAAGGGACAGGAATTGCTCACTCAGGGAGCTCGGTTTTTGGAGATGTGAGTCTTGCCAAAGCTCCCAGCTGAATAAAGCCCTTCCTTCTTTAACTCAGTGTCTGAGGGGTTTTGTCTGTAGCTTGTCCTGCTACAAAAATAAGTGTTAAACATGAGTTTTATATTACCTCATAGGTGGAAGAAGACAGGCCAAAAAAGCTGTTTTAACAACAACAAAATGCACAAATATTTATACTAACAAGACAGATATCCATTGCAGTATGACACGAGAAACAAATAAATGAGACAAGCAGTCAATTCAGACATTTTAGGAAGTGATTTTTACAGAACATAGTGACAATTGCTGAGATCTGGTAGCCTTGCAAGATTCCTTTGTTATAATAAAAATAACATTGGCAAAGACCATTTTATGATGCAGACTTCTGCTTTTTTAAAGTTTGGGGGGAAGGGGAAACATTTTTATTCTATAATGCTGAAATTTCATTTTTCTTTTCTCTTTTTTAAGACCAAGTCTTGCTCTCTCACCAAGGCTAGAGTGCAGTGGCGTGATCTCAGTTCACTGCAACCTCCACCTCCCGGGTTCAAGCAATTCTCCTGCCTCAGCCTCCTGAGTAGCTGGGACTACAGGCACCATGCCCGGCTAGGATAACATTTTTTGTTTTTAGTAGAGATGGGGTTTCACCATGTTGGCCAGAGTAGTCTAGAACTCCTGACCTCAAGTGATCTGCCCGCCTCATCCTCCCGAAGTGCTGAGATTACAGGTGTGAGGTACAGCATCTGGCCTCATGCTGAGATTTCTTTCATTACCAGTTCAAACACCTTTCACTTTTCAAGGCACAAGGAGAGGAATTCCATGTGTTGACACTGGGAGGAAGGGTACAGACCTACTTAAAAGATTCAAAACTTCTATGACAGTAAAAGAAATGTATATCAAGTTCCTTAGGGCTGCCGTAACAAAGTACTATCAACTGGGTGGCTTAGAACAAAAGAAATTTATTCTCTCACAGTTACGTAGGCCAGTTGAGATCAAGGTATTATCAGGGCCAAGATCCCTCTGTAGCCTCTGGGGAAGGATTCTTTCTTGCCTGTTTCCACTTCTAGCAGCTTCCTGTGTTTGGTTTGTGGCAGCATAACTCCAATCTCTGCCTCCATCTCTACCTGGCCATCATCCCTCTGTGTCTGTGAGGACCCCAGTCATTGGTTGGAGGACTCACCCTATTCCACTATAATCTCTTCTTAACCAGTGAACTCACCGTATTCCAGATAAGGTCAGGTTCACAGCTACTGAGGGTTAGGACAGAGTATCTTTTGGGGAGATGCAATTCATCCCATAAGTGGGTGGAAAAGGATGATTAACAAGTGGTATGTGGGGATGTATTGTTTTGCATCTACGTAGCTCTCACCCCATTTCTTTCCACAACACACATTTGTCACTCTATTCTTTATTAGGTTTACAGAGAAAAGTAGATCTTCAACCACTTTCCTGGGATGTGGATACAGCTCTTTTTTTGGAGACAGGGTCTCATTCTGTCACCTAGACTGGTGTGCAGTAGCACTATCATGGCTGACTACAGCCTCAATGTCCCAGGCTTAAGTGATCTTCCCAACCTCCTGAGTGGCTGGGACCACAAGTGTGTGCCACCACACCTGACTAATTTTATTTTTTAATTGTTTTGTGAAGACAGCATCTCCCTATGTTTCCCAGGCTGGTCTTGAATTCCTGGGCTCAAGCCATCCTCCTGCCTCGGCCTCCCAAAGTGCTGGGATTACAGGCAAGAGCCTCCATGCCTGGCCTTCAACTCTTGACCTTATGAACACAGCCCTATACCAGTTCCCTTCATGCATGTGCCTATAAGCTAAACCCTTTCCCAAGTGTACATGAAAATCTGAACCCCAACAAATATGGCCTAATTCTAAATCTGACTTTCCCAGGAGTAATTTTTGTCATTTCCAGCTTACCAGCCTTTGTGAGTGTTGAATTTCAGCATTTCTGTTTGCTTGCAGCAGAAGGTGGAGCCAGGATAGGGTGGCTCAAGATTAGAGTTTCTTCCTTAACAGTTCAGTCAACTTTTTAATCTTGGATTTATAGCTTCCTACCTGCTCTCTTAAAGGTGAAATGATCTATTCACCTTCAGACCATTTGCCCTCGGGGTCTCACTGAGCAATCTATGGCTTAAGTCTTCTAAGTCTCTTAATGGCCAAATACAATGGACAATTTTCAGGTATATCTGACACCATTTCTCTGCAGCCTTTGGCACCTATAACCACTCCATGGCTTCCACAATGTGATTGGTCATTTCTTTTTTGTTTATATGACAAGTTTTTATTCTTCTTCTGCCTGTTAAATGCGCCTGACCCCCAGTGTTCTGATTTTCACTATTTTTCTTAAAAAAAAAAGTTTAAATGAAAAAAGTTTCTTATGAAAATATTAAAACATATACAAAAATAGAATAGACATTGATAATAGATCCTAAAATTCCTAGGGAAATTCAGCAGACTGAGAATAGCTAATATAGTCTTCCAAAAAAAGATCAAATTTGAAGTTGAGAAACTTCTTGAATTCAATTTACTAAAAAGCTATAGTAATCAAGACAGTGTAGTCCTGACATAAAGATAGGATTATAGTCTGGGTGTGGTGGCTCATGCCTGTAATCCCAGCACTTTGGGAGGCTGAGGTGGGCAGATCACCTGAGGTCAGGAGTTCCAGACCAGCCTGACCAACATGGTGAAACCCCGTCTCTACTAAAAATACAAAAATTAACCAGGCATGGTGGCAGGTACCTGTAATCCCAGCTGCTTGGGAGGCTGAGGCAGGAGAATTGCTTGAACCTGGGAGGAGGAGCCAGTGGCCGGGATTGGGCCACTGCACTCCAACCTGGGCAATAGAGTGAGGCTCTGTCAAAAAAAAAAAAAGATAGGATTATAGATTATAGCATAATGGGATAAAATTGAGACTCCAGAAATAAACTCTCACATTTATGGTAGATTGATTTTTGATAAGGGTGCCAAAACACTTCAATGAAAAAAGAGTCTTCTCAACAAGTGATGGTGGAACAACTGAATAACCACATTTTTGTTCTATCTGGGGCCCTGATTCAAAAACCCAGGCAAAGATGGAGAGAAATCAGAACTCTCATACACTGCTGATAGGAGGATAAAATGCTTACTTTGGAAAAGAATGTGGCAATTCCTCAAAAGGTTAAACAGTGTTACCATATGACCCAGCAAACCCACTTCTAGATATATAACCAAAAGAAATCAAAACATAAGTCTACAAAAAAACTTGTACATAAATGTTTATAACAGCACTATTCCCAATAGCCATAAAGTAGAAACAAACCAATGTCCATCGGCTGATGAATGAATAAATAAAATATGTTGTGGTATGTCCTTATAATAGATATTATTGGTCCATGAAAAACATACATAAAAACATTATGCTAAATGAAAGAAGCCAGTCACGGCAAAGCAATATATTATATGCCTCTATGTATACTAAATGTTCCAAATAGAAAGAAAGTAGATTAAAGATTGTCTAGGGCTGGGAGGGGAGGAGGAGGAGAATGGAGGAATCTGGGAGGCGATGAATTAAGGGTACTGAATTAGGGGAACATGGTTTCTTTTTGGGGAGATAGAAATGTAAAATTTTGGTAATGGTTGCACATCTCTGTAAATATACTAAAATCCATTAATTTTTGCATTTTATTTTATTTATTTTATTTTTGAGACGGAGTTTCGCTCTTGTTGCCCAGGCTGGAGTGCAATGGCATGATCTCGGCTCACCACAACCTCCGCCTCCCAGGTTCAAGCGATTCTCCTGTCTCAGCTTCCCGAGTAGCTGGAATTACAGGTGCATGCCACCACACCCAGCTAATTTTTTTTTTTTGAGATGAAGTCTTGCTCTTGTCTCCCATGCTGGAGTGTGATGGCACGATCTTAGCTCACTGCAACCTACGCCTCCCGGGTTCAAGCGATTCTCCTGCCTCAGCCTCTAATGTAGCTGGGATTACAGTTGCCTGCTATCACGCCCGGCTAATTTTTGTATTTTTAGTAAAGACGGGGTTTCACCATGTTGGCCAGGCTGGTCTCGAACCCCTGATCTCAGGTGATCTGCCTTCCTCGGCCGCCCAAAGTGCTGGGATTACAAGCGTGAGCCACTGAGCCGGGCCAATTTTTGCATTTTACATAGATGAATTATATGGTATGCTAATTATATCTTACCAAAAATTGAAAAAAAGGAATAGTACTATCAGCCCCAATGTGCCCATCATCAATATTCTACATGTTTCCAATGTTATTGTATCTGTTTGCCTACAGTCGAGGCCCTGATATCCTGTTTGATTTTCTTGAATTGCCAAAATTTGCATACATGCTTACAAAAATAATGCCTGTTGAATTTGCTAGATATGTAAAGGTTTGGAGCAAATCAGGTGTATTAAATTTATTAATATTGTTTGAAATGTCTAAGGCAATAATTCCCAAACTTCGTTGAGGGAGAAGGAAAGCTTTTAAAATCCCATTGCCCAGGTGGCATCCCATACTGTTACTGGGAATTATGCATTGGGATGGATCCTTTAACCGAGGAGATTATTATAGCCGGAGCTCTGAACCAGCAATCTCAGTTCTTGTGATAGTGAGCAAAGAACTACAAACTAACACCAAAATGCAAGCTTAAAGCAAAGTTTATTGAAGCACAATAATACACTCTGAGGGACAGCGGGCTTATTTCTGCGAAGTGAACTCAGCACTTCTTTACAGAGCTCAAGGTGCTTTTATGGGGTTTGTGGGGAGGAGTTGAGGTTTGGGCTGTATCTGAGTGACAGGATGATGTTATTTGATTGAAGTGTATAGCTATACAATCTAAAATTAAACTGTGCATGGTCTTACCTATAATTTGTTAAGAAAAGCCTCCCAGGGATGGGGGGGCAAAACTGTATGTAAATTCTATTATAATGATGGCATGATGAACTTGGGGTGAACTTGAAGACAGGCTTTTGTGTTGTTGGGCATGTGCCACCTTAGGGAATTTCCACCTGTACCCTCCTTTCTCTTTCTCCAGGATATTTTGGCCACAGACTTTATCATAAACTCCATCCCTTAGGGTGGCATTAGGGTAGTCTTGGGCCTGAATTTAGGTGGGCCAGTGGCTGTCTTAGTGACAGCCTTTCCGCTCTCTTCTGTCATCCCCTCCCAACTGCTAATGTCTAACTACCTAACAATTACCCATTAAATCAGTGTGTCTGGGGTTAGGAGCAGGCCTCAATATGTTTAATCATTCTCCAGATAATCCCAATACTGTAAAGTTTGTGAAACACTTGTCAGATAATTCAATTATGAAGGCTGTGGAAGGTGTTTCAGTAGGATCTAATTGGTTAATGTTATGACTTAATTAATTTGAATCAAAAAACAAAATGAAAAAGCTTTATATTTCTAAGTCAAATAAGACATAAGTTGGTCTAAGGTTGAGATAAAATTTTTAAATGTATGATTGAATTTTGAAAATCATAAATATTTAAATATCTAAAGTTCAGATCAGAACATTGCGAAGCTACTTTCCCCAATCAACAACACCCCTTCAGGATTTAAAAACCAAGGGGGACACTGGATCACCTAGTGTTTCACAAGCAGGTACCTTCTGCTGTAGGAGAGAGAGAACTAAAGTTCTGAAAGACCTGTTGCTTTTCACCAGGAAGTTTTACTGGGCATCTCCTGAGCCTAGGCAATAGCTGTAGGGTGACTTCTGGAGCCATCCCCGTTTCCCCGCCCCCCAAAAGAAGCGGAGATTTAACGGGGACGTGCGGCCAGAGCTGGGGAAATGGGCCCGCGAGCCAGGCCGGCGCTTCTCCTCCTGATGCTTTTGCAGACCGCGGTCCTGCAGGGGCGCTTGCTGCGTGAGTCCGAGGGCTGCGGGCGAACTAGGGGCGCGGCGGGGGTGGAAAAATCGAAACTAGCTTTTTCTTTGCGCTTGGGAGTTTGCTAACTTTGGAGGACCTGCTCAACCCTATCCGCAAGCCCCTCTCCCTACTTTCTGCGTCCAGACCCCGTGAGGGAGTGCCTACCACTGAACTGCAGATAGGGGTCCCTCGCCCCAGGACCTGCCCCCTCCCCCGGCTGTCCCGGCTCTGCGGAGTGACTTTTGGAACCGCCCACTCCCTTCCCCCAACTAGAATGCTTTTAAATAAATCTCGTAGTTCCTCACTTGAGCTGAGCTAAGCCTGGGGCTCCTTGAACCTGGAACTCGGGTTTATTTCCAATGTCAGCTGTGCAGTTTTTTCCCCAGTCATCTCCAAACAGGAAGTTCTTCCCTGAGTGCTTGCCGAGAAGGCTGAGCAAACCCACAGCAGGATCCGCACGGGGTTTCCACCTCAGAACGAATGCGTTGGGCGGTGGGGGCGCGAAAGAGTGGCGTTGGGGATCTGAATTCTTCACCATTCCACCCACTTTTGGTGAGACCTGGGGTGGAGGTCTCTAGGGTGGGAGGCTCCTGAGAGAGGCCTACCTCGGGCCTTTCCCCACTCTTGGCAATTGTTCTTTTGCCTGGAAAATTAAGTATATGTTAGTTTTGAACGTTTGAACTGAACAATTCTCTTTTCGGCTAGGCTTTATTGATTTGCAATGTGCTGTGTAATTAAGAGGCCTCTCTACAAAGTACTGATAATGAACATGTAAGCAATGCACTCACTTCTAAGTTACATTCATATCTGATCTTATTTGATTTTCACTAGGCATAGGGAGGTAGGAGCTAATAATACGTTTATTTTACTAGAAGTTAACTGGAATTCAGATTATATAACTCTTTTCAGGTTACAAAGAACATAAATAATCTGGTTTTCTGATGTTATTTCAAGTACTACAGCTGCTTCTAATCTTAGTTGACAGTGATTTTGCCCTGTAGTGTAGCACAGTGTTCTGTGGGTCACACGCCGGCCTCAGCACAGCACTTTGAGTTTTGGTACTACGTGTATCCACATTTTACACATGACAAGAATGAGGCATGGCACGGCCTGCTTCCTGGCAAATTTATTCAATGGTACACTGGGCTTTGGTGGCAGAGCTCATGTCTCCACTTCATAGCTATGATTCTTAAACATCACACTGCATTAGAGGTTGAATAATAAAATTTCATGTTGAGCAGAAATATTCATTGTTTACAAGTGTAAATGAGTCCCAGCCATGTGTTGCACTGTTCAAGCCCCAAGGGAGAGAGCAGGGAAACAAGTCTTTACCCTTTGATATTTTGCATTCTAGTGGGAGAGATGACAATAAGCAAATGAGCAGAAAGATATACAACATCAGGAAATCATGGGTGTTGTGAGAAGCAGAGAAGTCAGGGCAAGTCACTCTGGGGCTGACACTTGAGCAGAGACATGAAGGAAATAAGAATGATATTGACTGGGAGCAGTATTTCCCAGGCAAACTGAGTGGGCCTGGCAAGTTGGATTAAAAAGCGGGTTTTCTCAGCACTACTCATGTGTGTGTGTGTGGGGGGGGGGGGCGGCGTGGGGGTGGGAAGGGGGACTACCATCTGCATGTAGGATGTCTAGCAGTATCCTGTCCTCCCTACTCACTAGGTGCTAGGAGCACTCCCCCAGTCTTGACAACCAAAAATGTCTCTAAACTTTGCCACATGTCACCTAGTAGACAAACTCCTGGTTAAGAAGCTCGGGTTGAAAAAAATAAACAAGTAGTGCTGGGGAGTAGAGGCCAAGAAGTAGGTAATGGGCTCAGAAGAGGAGCCACAAACAAGGTTGTGCAGGCGCCTGTAGGCTGTGGTGTGAATTCTAGCCAAGGAGTAACAGTGATCTGTCACAGGCTTTTAAAAGATTGCTCTGGCTGCTATGTGGAAAGCAGAATGAAGGGAGCAACAGTAAAAGCAGGGAGCCCAGCCAGGAAGCTGTTACACAGTCCAGGCAAGAGGTAGTGGAGTGGGCTGGGTGGGAACAGAAAAGGGAGTGACAAACCATTGTCTCCTGAATATATTCTGAAGGAAGTTGCTGAAGGATTCTATGTTGTGTGAGAGAAAGAGAAGAATTGGCTGGGTGTAGTAGCTCATGCCAAGGAGGAGGCCAAGGAGAGCAGATTCCTGAGCTCAGGAGTTCAAGACCAGCCTGGGCAACACAGCAAAACCCCTTCTCTACAAAAAATACAAAAATTAGCTGGGTGTGGTGGCATGCACCTGTGATCCTAGCTACTCGGGAGGCTGAGGTGGAGGGTATTGCTTGAGCCCAGGAAGTTGAGGCTGCAGTGAGCCATGACTGTGCCACTGTACTTCAGCCTAGGTGACAGAGCAAGACCCTGTCTCCCCTGACCCCCTGAAAAAGAGAAGAGTTAAAGTTGACTTTGTTCTTTATTTTAATTTTATTGGCCTGAGCAGTGGGGTAATTGGCAATGCCATTTCTGAGATGGTGAAGGCAGAGGAAAGAGCAGTTTGGGGTAAATCAAGGATCTGCATTTGGACATGTTAAGTTTGAGATTCCAGTCAGGCTTCCAAGTGGTGAGGCCACATAGGCAGTTCAGTGTAAGAATTCAGGACCAAGGCTGGGCACGGTGGCTCACTTCTGTAATCCCAGCACTTTGGTGGCTGAGGCAGGTAGATCATTTGAGGTCAGGAGTTTGAGACAAGCTTGGCCAACATGGTGAAACCCCATGTCTACTAAAAATACAAAAATTAGCCTGGTGTGGTGGCGCACGCCTATAGTCCCAGGTTTTCAGGAGGCTTAGGTAGGAGAATCCCTTGAACCCAGGAGGTGCAGGTTGCAGTGAGCTGAGATTGTGCCACTGCACTCCAGCCTGGGTGATAGAGTGAGACTCTGTCTCAAAAAAAAAAAAAAAAAAAAAAAAAAAAACTGAAGGAATTATTCCTCAGGATTTGGGTCTAATTTGCCCTGAGCACCAACTCCTGAGTTCAACTACCATGGCTAGACACACCTTAACATTTTCTAGAATCCACCAGCTTTAGTGGAGTCTGTCTAATCATGAGTATTGGAATAGGATCTGGGGGCAGTGAGGGGGTGGCAGCCACGTGTGGCAGAGAAAAGCACACAAGGAAAGAGCACCCAGGACTGTCATATGGAAGAAAGACAGGACTGCAACTCACCCTTCACAAAATGAGGACCAGACACAGCTGATGGTATGAGTTGATGCAGGTGTGTGGAGCCTCAACATCCTGCTCCCCTCCTACTACACATGGTTAAGGCCTGTTGCTCTGTCTCCAGGTTCACACTCTCTGCACTACCTCTTCATGGGTGCCTCAGAGCAGGACCTTGGTCTTTCCTTGTTTGAAGCTTTGGGCTACGTGGATGACCAGCTGTTCGTGTTCTATGATCATGAGAGTCGCCGTGTGGAGCCCCGAACTCCATGGGTTTCCAGTAGAATTTCAAGCCAGATGTGGCTGCAGCTGAGTCAGAGTCTGAAAGGGTGGGATCACATGTTCACTGTTGACTTCTGGACTATTATGGAAAATCACAACCACAGCAAGGGTATGTGGAGAGGGGGCCTCACCTTCCTGAGGTTGTCAGAGCTTTTCATCTTTTCATGCATCTTGAAGGAAACAGCTGGAAGTCTGAGGTCTTGTGGGAGCAGGGAAGAGGGAAGGAATTTGCTTCCTGAGATCATTTGGTCCTTGGGGATGGTGGAAATAGGGACCTATTCCTTTGGTTGCAGTTAACAAGGCTGGGGATTTTTCCAGAGTCCCACACCCTGCAGGTCATCCTGGGCTGTGAAATGCAAGAAGACAACAGTACCGAGGGCTACTGGAAGTACGGGTATGATGGGCAGGACCACCTTGAATTCTGCCCTGACACACTGGATTGGAGAGCAGCAGAACCCAGGGCCTGGCCCACCAAGCTGGAGTGGGAAAGGCACAAGATTCGGGCCAGGCAGAACAGGGCCTACCTGGAGAGGGACTGCCCTGCACAGCTGCAGCAGTTGCTGGAGCTGGGGAGAGGTGTTTTGGACCAACAAGGTATGGTGGAAACACACTTCTGCCCCTATACTCTAGTGGCAGAGTGGAGGAGGTTGCAGGGCACGGAATCCCTGGTTGGAGTTTCAGAGGTGGCTGAGGCTGTGTGCCTCTCCAAATTCTGGGAAGGGACTTTCTCAATCCTAGAGTCTCTACCTTATAATTGAGATGTATGAGACAGCCACAAGTCATGGGTTTAATTTCTTTTCTCCATGCATATGGCTCAAAGGGAAGTGTCTATGGCCCTTGCTTTTTATTTAACCAATAATCTTTTGTATATTTATACCTGTTAAAAATTCAGAAATGTCAAGGCCGGGCACGGTGGCTCACCCCTGTAATCCCAGCACTTTGGGAGGCCGAGGCGGGTGGTCACAAGGTCAGGAGTTTGAGACCAGCCTGACCAACATGGTGAAACCCGTCTCTAAAAAAATACAAAAATTAGCTGGTCACAGTCATGCGCACCTGTAGTCCCAGCTAATTGGAAGGCTGAGGCAGGAGCATCGCTTGAACCTGGGAAGCGGAAGTTGCACTGAGCCAAGATCGCGCCACTGCACTCCAGCCTAGGCAGCAGAGTGAGACTCCATCTTAAAAAAAAAAAAAAAAAAAAAAAGAGAATTCAGAGATCTCAGCTATCATATGAATACCAGGACAAAATATCAAGTGAGGCCACTTATCAGAGTAGAAGAATCCTTTAGGTTAAAAGTTTCTTTCATAGAACATAGCAATAATCACTGAAGCTACCTATCTTACAAGTCCGCTTCTTATAACAATGCCTCCTAGGTTGACCCAGGTGAAACTGACCATCTGTATTCAATCATTTTCAATGCACATAAAGGGCAATTTTATCTATCAGAACAAAGAACATGGGTAACAGATATGTATATTTACATGTGAGGAGAACAAGCTGATCTGACTGCTCTCCAAGTGACACTGTGTTAGAGTCCAATCTTAGGACACAAAATGGTGTCTCTCCTGTAGCTTGTTTTTTTCTGAAAAGGGTATTTCCTTCCTCCAACCTATAGAAGGAAGTGAAAGTTCCAGTCTTCCTGGCAAGGGTAAACAGATCCCCTCTCCTCATCCTTCCTCTTTCCTGTCAAGTGCCTCCTTTGGTGAAGGTGACACATCATGTGACCTCTTCAGTGACCACTCTACGGTGTCGGGCCTTGAACTACTACCCCCAGAACATCACCATGAAGTGGCTGAAGGATAAGCAGCCAATGGATGCCAAGGAGTTCGAACCTAAAGACGTATTGCCCAATGGGGATGGGACCTACCAGGGCTGGATAACCTTGGCTGTACCCCCTGGGGAAGAGCAGAGATATACGTGCCAGGTGGAGCACCCAGGCCTGGATCAGCCCCTCATTGTGATCTGGGGTATGTGACTGATGAGAGCCAGGAGCTGAGAAAATCTATTGGGGGTTGAGAGGAGTGCCTGAGGAGGTAATTATGGCAGTGAGATGAGGATCTGCTCTTTGTTAGGGGGTGGGCTGAGGGTGGCAATCAAAGGCTTTAACTTGCTTTTTCTGTTTTAGAGCCCTCACCGTCTGGCACCCTAGTCATTGGAGTCATCAGTGGAATTGCTGTTTTTGTCGTCATCTTGTTCATTGGAATTTTGTTCATAATATTAAGGAAGAGGCAGGGTTCAAGTGAGTAGGAACAAGGGGGAAGTCTCTTAGTACCTCTGCCCCAGGGCACAGTGGGAAGAGGGGCAGAGGGGATCTGGCATCCATGGGAAGCATTTTTCTCATTTATATTCTTTGGGGACACCAGCAGCTCCCTGGGAGACAGAAAATAATGGTTCTCCCCAGAATGAAAGTCTCTAATTCAACAAACATCTTCAGAGCACCTACTATTTTGCAAGAGCTGTTTAAGGTAGTACAGGGGCTTTGAGGTTGAGAAGTCACTGTGGCTATTCTCAGAACCCAAATCTGGTAGGGAATGAAATTGATAGCAAGTAAATGTAGTTAAAGAAGACCCCATGAGGTCCTAAAGCAGGCAGGAAGCAAATGCTTAGGGTGTCAAAGGAAAGAATGATCACATTCAGCTGGGGATCAAGATAGCCTTCTGGATCTTGAAGGAGAAGCTGGATTCCATTAGGTGAGGTTGAAGATGATGGGAGGTCTACACAGACGGAGCAACCATGCCAAGTAGGAGAGTATAAGGCATACTGGGAGATTAGAAATAATTACTGTACCTTAACCCTGAGTTTGCGTAGCTATCACTCACCAATTATGCATTTCTACCCCCTGAACATCTGTGGTGTAGGGAAAAGAGAATCAGAAAGAAGCCAGCTCATACAGAGTCCAAGGGTCTTTTGGGATATTGGGTTATGATCACTGGGGTGTCATTGAAGGATCCTAAGAAAGGAGGACCACGATCTCCCTTATATGGTGAATGTGTTGTTAAGAAGTTAGATGAGAGGTGAGGAGACCAGTTAGAAAGCCAATAAGCATTTCCAGATGAGAGATAATGGTTCTTGAAATCCAATAGTGCCCAGGTCTAAATTGAGATGGGTGAATGAGGAAAATAAGGAAGAGAGAAGAGGCAAGATGGTGCCTAGGTTTGTGATGCCTCTTTCCTGGGTCTCTTGTCTCCACAGGAGGAGCCATGGGGCACTACGTCTTAGCTGAACGTGAGTGACACGCAGCCTGCAGACTCACTGTGGGAAGGAGACAAAACTAGAGACTCAAAGAGGGAGTGCATTTATGAGCTCTTCATGTTTCAGGAGAGAGTTGAACCTAAACATAGAAATTGCCTGACGAACTCCTTGATTTTAGCCTTCTCTGTTCATTTCCTCAAAAAGATTTCCCCATTTAGGTTTCTGAGTTCCTGCATGCCGGTGATCCCTAGCTGTGACCTCTCCCCTGGAACTGTCTCTCATGAACCTCAAGCTGCATCTAGAGGCTTCCTTCATTTCCTCCGTCACCTCAGAGACATACACCTATGTCATTTCATTTCCTATTTTTGGAAGAGGACTCCTTAAATTTGGGGGACTTACATGATTCATTTTAACATCTGAGAAAAGCTTTGAACCCTGGGACGTGGCTAGTCATAACCTTACCAGATTTTTACACATGTATCTATGCATTTTCTGGACCCGTTCAACTTTTCCTTTGAATCCTCTCTCTGTGTTACCCAGTAACTCATCTGTCACCAAGCCTTGGGGATTCTTCCATCTGATTGTGATGTGAGTTGCACAGCTATGAAGGCTGTACACTGCACGAATGGAAGAGGCACCTGTCCCAGAAAAAGCATCATGGCTATCTGTGGGTAGTATGATGGGTGTTTTTAGCAGGTAGGAGGCAAATATCTTGAAAGGGGTTGTGAAGAGGTGTTTTTTCTAATTGGCATGAAGGTGTCATACAGATTTGCAAAGTTTAATGGTGCCTTCATTTGGGATGCTACTCTAGTATTCCAGACCTGAAGAATCACAATAATTTTCTACCTGGTCTCTCCTTGTTCTGATAATGAAAATTATGATAAGGATGATAAAAGCACTTACTTCGTGTCCGACTCTTCTGAGCACCTACTTACATGCATTACTGCATGCACTTCTTACAATAATTCTATGAGATAGGTACTATTATCCCCATTTCTTTTTTAAATGAAGAAAGTGAAGTAGGCCGGGCACGGTGGCTCACGCCTGTAATCCCAGCACTTTGGGAGGCCAAAGCGGGTGGATCACGAGGTCAGGAGATCGAGACCATCCTGGCTAACATGGTGAAACCCCATCTCTAATAAAAATACAAAAAATTAGCTGGGCGTGGTGGCAGACGCCTGTAGTCCCAGCTACTCGGAAGGCTGAGGCAGGAGAATGGCATGAACCCAGGAGGCAGAGCTTGCAGTGAGCCGAGTTTGCGCCACTGCACTCCAGCCTAGGTGACAGAGTGAGACTCCATCTCAAAAAAATAAAAATAAAAATAAAAAAATGAAAAAAAAAAGAAAGTGAAGTATAGAGTATCTCATAGTTTGTCAGTGATAGAAACAGGTTTCAAACTCAGTCAATCTGACCGTTTGATACATCTCAGACACCACTACATTCAGTAGTTTAGATGCCTAGAATAAATAGAGAAGGAAGGAGATGGCTCTTCTCTTGTCTCATTGTGTTTCTTCTGAGTGAGCTTGAATCACATGAAGGGGAACAGCAGAAAACAACCAACTGATCCTCAGCTGTCATGTTTCCTTTAAAAGTCCCTGAAGGAAGGTCCTGGAATGTGACTCCCTTGCTCCTCTGTTGCTCTCTTTGGCATTCATTTCTTTGGACCCTACGCAAGGACTGTAATTGGTGGGGACAGCTAGTGGCCCTGCTGGGCTTCACACACGGTGTCCTCCCTAGGCCAGTGCCTCTGGAGTCAGAACTCTGGTGGTATTTCCCTCAATGAAGTGGAGTAAGCTCTCTCATTTTGAGATGGTATAATGGAAGCCACCAAGTGGCTTAGAGGATGCCCAGGTCCTTCCATGGAGCCACTGGGGTTCCGGTGCACATTAAAAAAAAAATCTAACCAGGACATTCAGGAATTGCTAGATTCTGGGAAATCAGTTCACCATGTTCAAAAGAGTCTTTTTTTTTTTTTTGAGACTCTATTGCCCAGGCTGGAGTGCAATGGCATGATCTCGGCTCACTGTAACCTCTGCCTCCCAGGTTCAAGCGATTCTCCTGTCTCAGCCTCCCAAGTAGCTGGGATTACAGGCGTGCACCACCATGCCCGGCTAATTTTTGTATTTTTAGTAGAGACAGGGTTTCACCATGTTGGCCAGGCTGGTCTCGAACTCTCCTGACCTCGTGATCCGCCTGCCTCGGCCTCCCAAAGTGCTGAGATTACAGGTGTGAGCCACCCTGCCCAGCCGTCAAAAGAGTCTTAATATATATATCCAGATGGCATGTGTTTACTTTATGTTACTACATGCACTTGGCTGCATAAATGTGGTACAAGCATTCTGTCTTGAAGGGCAGGTGCTTCAGGATACCATATACAGCTCAGAAGTTTCTTCTTTAGGCATTAAATTTTAGCAAAGATATCTCATCTCTTCTTTTAAACCATTTTCTTTTTTTGTGGTTAGAAAAGTTATGTAGAAAAAAGTAAATGTGATTTACGCTCATTGTAGAAAAGCTATAAAATGAATACAATTAAAGCTGTTATTTAATTAGCCAGTGAAAAACTATTAACAACTTGTCTATTACCTGTTAGTATTATTGTTGCATTAAAAATGCATATACTTTAATAAATGTATATTGTATTGTATACTGCATGATTTTATTGAAGTTCTTGTTCATCTTGTGTATATACTTAATCGCTTTGTCATTTTGGAGACATTTATTTTGCTTCTAATTTCTTTACATTTTGTCTTACGGAATATTTTCATTCAACTGTGGTAGCCGAATTAATCGTGTTTCTTCACTCTAGGGACATTGTCGTCTAAGTTGTAAGACATTGGTTATTTTACCAGCAAACCATTCTGAAAGCATATGACAAATTATTTCTCTCTTAATATCTTACTATACTGAAAGCAGACTGCTATAAGGCTTCACTTACTCTTCTACCTCATAAGGAATATGTTACAATTAATTTATTAGGTAAGCATTTGTTTTATATTGGTTTTATTTCACCTGGGCTGAGATTTCAAGAAACACCCCAGTCTTCACAGTAACACATTTCACTAACACATTTACTAAACATCAGCAACTGTGGCCTGTTAATTTTTTTAATAGAAATTTTAAGTCCTCATTTTCTTTCGGTGTTTTTTAAGCTTAATTTTTCTGGCTTTATTCATAAATTCTTAAGGTCAACTACATTTGAAAAATCAAAGACCTGCATTTTAAATTCTTATTCACCTCTGGCAAAACCATTCACAAACCATGGTAGTAAAGAGAAGGGTGACACCTGGTGGCCATAGGTAAATGTACCACGGTGGTCCGGTGACCAGAGATGCAGCGCTGAGGGTTTTCCTGAAGGTAAAGGAATAAAGAATGGGTGGAGGGGCGTGCACTGGAAATCACTTGTAGAGAAAAGCCCCTGAAAATTTGAGAAAACAAACAAGAAACTACTTACCAGCTATTTGAATTGCTGGAATCACAGGCCATTGCTGAGCTGCCTGAACTGGGAACACAACAGAAGGAAAACAAACCACTCTGATAATCATTGAGTCAAGTACAGCAGGTGATTGAGGACTGCTGAGAGGTACAGGCCAAAATTCTTATGTTGTATTATAATAATGTCATCTTATAATACTGTCAGTATTTTATAAAACATTCTTCACAAACTCACACACATTTAAAAACAAAACACTGTCTCTAAAATCCCCAAATTTTTCATAAACTCAGTTTTAAACTAACTTTTTTTCAAACCACAATCTGATTTAACAATGACTATCATTTAAATATTTCTGACTTTCAAATTAAAGATTTTCACATGCAGGCTGATATTTGTAATTGTGATTCTCTCTGTAGGCTTTGGGTATAATGTGTTCTTTTCCTTTTTTGCATCAGCGATTAACTTCTACACTCTAACATGTAGAATGTTACTACAATATTAAAGTATTTTGTATGACAATTTTATTTGAAAGCCTAGGATGCGTTGACATCCTGCATGCATTTATTACTTGATATGCATGCATTCTGGTATCTCAAGCATTCTATTTCTGAGTAATTGTTTAAGGTGTAGAAGAGATAGATATGGTGGATTTGGAGTTGATACTTATATATTTTCTATTTCTTGGATGGATGAATTTGTACATTAAAAGTTTTCCATGGCAGAAATCTTTTCAAAAACTTTTTTTTTCCGGGATGGATTGAAGGCCCTGATTTCACCACAATGCAATATATTAATGTAGCAAAATTGTACTTGTACCCCATGAATATATATAATCTTAAGAAAATTTTTTTAGCCAATTATTATTACTTACTAGATATTAGGCTGTGTTCTGAATCTTAATTTAATTCCTCCAAAGAATCTTATGAGGTAGGTAGGAGCTATTGCTGCTATTCTGTTATGCTTATGTTGCTGTTATGAAACCAAGGCACAGAGAGGTTAGTTAACTTGCTGAAGAAAATGATGTGCTGGATTTTTATTCTAGCTATTCTGGAATAACAACTACACAACCTTATGTCTGAGCCAAGGAAACATACGGTGTGGCAACAGTTACCATGTTTTTAGGAACAGCAGCACTCCTAATGTTTGCTGCAGGGAAAAAGGAATCTCAGAATTTGCCTGATCCCTATAATTTTTTTCCTAAATATTTTGAAATATCTTTCAGATGTATTTTAAAATTTAAGGATATTTTGTTCAGTTCATACAGAATTTTTTTTTTTTTCTCGAGATGGAGTCTCACTCTATCACCCAGGCTGGAATGCAGTGGCATGATCTCGGCTCACTGCAACCTCTGCCTCCTGGGTTCAAGCAATTTTCCTGCCTCAGCCTCCCAAGTGGCTGAGACTACAGGCGCATGCCACCATGCACGGCTAATTTTTTTTGTATTTTTAGTAGAGATGGAGTTTCACCATGTTGGCCAGGCTGGTCTCGAACTCCTGACCTCAAATGATCCGCCCTTTTTGGCCTCCCAAAGTGCTGGGATTACAGGCGTGAGCTACCGCGCCCAGCCAAATTTCTAACTTGTTTTGTTGTTGTTGAGACAGGGTCTCAGTCTGACACCAAGGCTGGTGTGCAGTACTGCGATCACGGCTCACTGCAGTCTCGACCTCCTGAGCTCAAGTGATCCTCCCACCTCAGCCTACTGAGTAGCTGGGACCACCACGCCTGGCTCATTTTTTTCTATTATTTATTGAAACGGGTTCTGGCTATGTTGCCCAGGTTGGTCTTGAACTCCGGAGCTCATGCGATCCACCCACCTCAGCGTCCGAAAGGATTATCAGGAGTGAGCCACCGTGCCCGGCCAAATTTCTAACTTTTGAATTGACATATTCATTTATTCTCTTTATCATTCAGGGAGAAATTTGGGGATGGATAGCCTTGAAGCATCATCCACCAAGTTATTTTATACACCAGATTTAGATACAAAGTATTTTTTTATTATTTAAAAAAATCAAATTCTAGCTTTTACTCTGAAGATTCTAAAAAGAATTTTGGAGTCTTTAATTCATACTTCAGGGGCAGGGGAATAAGTACCAATATTCGTATAACTTTCAGTGCAAGTCACGTTAGCTAACTGTAGTCTATTGAGTTAAATATCCTTGATTTATTCCTTAAAACTGAGTCACTATGACGGCACTTTTTTGTTTTTTTTTTTCGAGACGGAGCTCGCCCTGTCTCCCAGGCTGGAGTGCGGTGGTGCGATCTCGGCTCACTGCAATCTCCGCCTCCCAGGTTCAAGCGATTCTCCTGCCCCAGCCTCCTGAGTAGCTGGGACTACAGGCACACACCACCACGCCCAGCTAATGTTTGTATTTTTAGTAGAGACAGGGTTTCATCATTTTGGTCAGGCTGGTCTTGAACTCCTGACCTCGTGATCAGCCTGCCTCGACCTCCCAAAGTGCTGGGATTACAGTCATGAGCCACTGCACCCGGCTGAATGGCACTTTCATAAAACAGTAAATAACCAACTTCACTACTGCCCCCAAGAGTTTTACTATGTATATGAGGGCATCTGTTTTAAGTATGGGTATAATGTTACGGGTTTTTCTTTGTGTAAGTTTGGGTTCACAATTTCATCATTAAAACAAATGTAAAATACTTTGTGCTTTCTGTGTGCTATTAAGAAAGTATTCAAGGGAATTTTGAAAATCAAATTTAATTACTCTCATGTTTGTAAAATTTTTGAAACAAATGTTTAAGAGAGGATAATGTTAGAAATTATCTTTCCAGCCAGACCTGGTGGCTCACGCCAGTAATCCTAGCATTTTGGGAGGACAAGGTGGGCAGATCACTTAAGCCCAGGAATTCAAGACCAGCCTGGACAACACAGGGAAAGCCCATCTCTACAAAATATACAAAATTAGTGGCCGAGCGTGGTGGCTCACGCCTGTAATCCCAGCACTTTGGGAGGCCGAGGCGGGCAGATCACCTGAGGTCAGGAGTTCCAGACCAGCCTCAACATGGAGAAACCCCGTCTCTACTAAAAATACAAAATTAGCTGGGCGTGGTGATGCATGCCTGTAATCCCAGCTACTCGGGAGGCTGAGGCAGGAGAATTGCTTGAACCTGGGAGGTAGAGGTTGCGGTGAGCCGAGATCCCGCCATTGCACTCCAGCCTGGGCAACAAGAGCGAAACTCCATCTCAAAAAACAAAACAAACAAATAAACAAAATTAGTCAGGTGTGGTTGTGCACACCTGTAGTCCCAGCTACTTGGGAGGCTGAGGTGGGAGGATCACTTGAGCCCGGGGAAGTGTAGGCTACCATGAGCCATCATGGTGCCACTGTACTCCAGTCTAGGAAAAAAATAAACATTAAAAATTTTAAAATCTTAAAAAAAGAAAAGAAATTTTCTGTCCAGATATCTTTATTTTTAACAAATCGAAGTGTATTAATAGTGTTTATGGGAGCGTGCCCACACAAGGACAGCAAGCCTAGGAAGTGCAAGTCAAGAAAACTTTTTGTGAAATAATTTAAACTGAAAAGAAAAAGCAGAGATTTTTTTCTAGAAAAGTAAGGAGTGGAGGTAAAAAAAAAACACAGCAGAGACACAGGTATGCTACGGAACCAAAGGTGTGCCAATGGTACTGACAGTTTAATTCAGAAAAAAATGAATCAGAAAATGGATATTTTTAAATAAGTTAGGTTGCTGAAAAAGAGAAATGCAGTGAAGCCTTAGATGGGAGTGAGATAAATCAGCCATTGGCTAGAGGAGTTTCTTGCCCAAGACCAGTGGTGATGTCCCCAAATGCCTGGAAACAACTGTTGTGACATTATAAAGCCCCCATAGTCTAAGTTGGGTGAGACTATACTTATGCATTTTCTCACCTGTAATATAGCTTAAAAGTATTTCTACTCTGGGATTTCTTTACATTTTACTAAAGCGCAATTATATACTTAAAACTGATAGTGTATGCTGGGCTGCTAGTCATTCTCAACCCTGGCCAATTATCAGAATTGTTTGTTGAATATATAGGTGCCATATATAGGTGCATACACACACACACACACACACATACACACACACACACACACACACACACCATATTTCATTCCTCATATCGAATATTCTGAGAGAGTTAGTTTGTGGAGGGTAGTTCTGGACAATTTATATTTTCATAACACCTCTGGTTATTTTTTTTTAAGTAGAGATGAAGACTTGCTATGTTGCCCAAAATGGTCTTGAACTCCTGAGCTCAAGCGATTCTCCCAACTCAGCCTCCTGAAGTGCTGGGATTACAGCCGTGAGCCACTGCATTAACCTCTGATTAATATCATAGATTAACCTCTGATTAATATCATAGATTTATTTGTTTGAATGCTTCATGTATCCTCTCAACCACAACTTGTTTGCAGAGTTTTAATCTGAAGGGCTTAGGTCTCTTGTTCAATGAATGAGTTTGATCTGATGGGTGAGAGGAAGGTGAAATGGAAAGCGAACGAGAAGCCATACAGATTAGGCGAGTGAGCCTAATCTCTCCCTAACCATAAGATTGAGTATGCCTGAATTCTTCGCAGAGTGGAAGAATCCATTTTAAATATATATATCTACATGTACAGATCCTTTAAATATTTGTTCTGACATTCATTGTTTTTGAGTCACTGTCATTGAGAAAAGTTTAGAAAGGAGATATTAGGAGCAGGAAATAGAAAGTAAATAAAATATCAAAATAAAAATGGGGTTTTATAAATGATATAATAGGCAAAATAAAGGAAAGGCATCCTAGACCTCTGGTTAAAATGAAGATGGCACTTGGCGAGATGTGTTCCAGGGTAGTTCACATGATGTATGTTTTCAGAGAATTGTCATATTGCATATGCTGCTATATTTTTTATTTTCATGAATTAAAAGGCATGTTGAGATTTCAGAGTTTTACTTATGATCTCAGACTCTGCATTTTTTCTCTGTAATGTTTGACATTTCTTCCTAGCTAAGTCTCTAGTTATAAGGTCTGTGTTGTGGCATGTGGACAGTGAGTGGAAGAACCTAAGAACTCAATTTGGGGCAGAAGAATGTAATCAATTATTTCAGAAGTGATACAAACAATATGACATGTAGAGCATTCTGGCCTTTCCTGGGTCTTTTTTCTCCATTCCTGGATTTCTTCTCTTCATGTGAGCAAGTCTGAGGTTACTATATAATGTCTCTCACAGGCCACAGCCCCATTCTAAATATTCCCAATAGAAATTCATTTATTAACCAGAGAGTGGTGGGTGGGGTTGTTTTTGTTTTTTAAACAAAAGTGGATCTTATGGGCATTCTGGAAAGCTCCCGCAGGAAGCTAAGAATAAAATTTTGAATTGAGAAGTCCCTTTCTTCAAACCACATTCAGACCCAATTCTGCTATTCTATTTATTTTTCAAGGGGATTAGCCTTATTTTAACACCAATAATCTTATCACAAAAACCTCCCAGAGGAAGACCCTGTAGATTTTGTAATGACCTTAATCAAGTATTAGCCCTACACTTCAATTAATCCCCAACTGTACAAAACGAATGTTCTTTTCTCTAAAGCTGTAGCAAGTTGAAAGGGGATTAAAAACGGAGGGAAGGGAAGAGTGTTTGGAATTTCAGGCACAGCAAACAGGCACAGCAGACCAGGAAGAGCGTCCCGGGAAAACATATTATCCAGACTTAAGTTTATATTCCCTGTCTCTCTCAGACTTTTGCAGAAAAATGAGTCATTCAACAAATATTTGAATCGAGATAGGGAAAGTGACGAGGAAGAAGTTTGCACTTATGAGGTTTTAATTTGCAATTATTTGGCTACCTTTTTGCCTTCCCAAAACATAGGGTCTTTAGGAGTGAAACTTCATAGCCAAACTTATACCTTGTCCAGCACAGAGAAGGCCATCAAAATGCCTGGTTTAAATAAAAATATTAAAATGATTGGGAGGGTAAATCCCTTGACCTATAAATCTGACCTCCTTTAAACATTATTTGTATGTTCCCCAATAAACTATTCCGTAATTTATTAGTTAGCAAGTGGAAATAAAAAGAAATGTGGAATGGGGCTATGCTTAGCGTCATTAAGCTGACAGGAATACAGCGCATTCAACTTGCAAACACCCTTCCACTCCCACAAAGAGCAAGCTGTCACTGGCCAATCAAAACAATGAACCATAATGAAACAGTTTTTCTTGCTCCACCCACTTGGTGACCAAATTTGAAAAAAAAAAAAAACCGCGCCAACTCATGTTGTTTTCAATCAGGTCCGCCAAGTTTGTATTTAAGGAACTGTTTCAGTTCATACCTTCCACTGCGATAGGAATCATGTCTGGTCGCGGCAAAGGCGGAAAAGGCTTGGGGAAGGGTGGTGCTAAGCGCCATCGTAAGGTGCTCCGGGATAACATCCAGGGCATTACAAAACCGGCTATTCGCCGT
Source organism: Homo sapiens (assembly GCF_000001405.40). Lineage (NCBI taxonomy): Eukaryota > Metazoa > Chordata > Mammalia > Primates > Hominidae > Homo > Homo sapiens. The sequence continues at coordinate 26,104,059 of NC_000006.12, forward strand.
TTGGCTCGGCGCGGTGGCGTCAAGCGCATTTCCGGTCTTATCTATGAGGAGACTCGAGGTGTGCTTAAGGTTTTCTTAGAGAACGTTATTCGAGACGCCGTCACCTATACGGAGCACGCCAAGCGCAAAACTGTCACAGCCATGGATGTAGTATATGCCCTAAAACGTCAGGGGCGCACTCTGTATGGCTTCGGCGGCTGAATCTAAGAATACGCGGTCTCCTGAGAACTTCAAAAAACAAAAACAAAAAAACCCAAAGGCCCTTTTCAGGGCCGCTCACAAAGTCGTTTAAAGAGCTGAAATGCGTTGCGAGAATGAGTTTGGATGACAGAAATAACCGTGACATCCTGCATAAGAATGAATTGTGTTTGCCATGACCGGCCACACTGTGACAAAATTTCAAAGCATAAAGTAGGCATAGAGAGGTAAGCGCTAATAAAGTGATTGGCTCCACAAAAAGCATTTTGCTGGGCGCAGTGGCTCACGACTGTAATCCCAGCACTTTGGGAGGCCAAAGCTAGTGTATCACTTGAGATCAAGAATCCGAGACCAGCCTGGCCAAAATGGTGAAACCCCCTCTACCAAAAAAAATACAAAACTTAGCCGGGCGTGGTGGTCTGCACCTGTAGGCCCAGCTAGCCCGGAAGCAGAGATTGCAGTGAGCCGAGATCGCGCCACTCCCCTCCAGCCTGGGAGACAGAGAGAGACTCCTCAAAAAAAAAAAAAAAAAAAAAAAAAAAAATTATGTATTTTAGAGCATTCTAAGAATGGTACTTTGGACTTAACCGAAGGGCTGGAGGCGCGTGTTGAACAAAGGTTATCACCTTTTGGCTCATGCGGCACACAGCTATGTAAATAAAGCATCTTTAGGGACAAGCTCTCATTTGCGGAGGGTTCTATGGCTGTTGTCCTATTGGCCAAAACAAAGTGGTCTAAGTCCGGGCGCGGTGGCTCACGCCTGTATTCCCAGCAGTTTGGTAGGCCAAGGTGGGTGGATCACGAGGTCTGGCGTTCAAGACCAGCCTGGCCAAGATGGTGAAACCCCGTCTACTAAAAATACAAAAATTAGCCGGGCGTGGTGGCGGGCACCTGTAATCCCAGCTACGTGGGAGGCTGAGCCAGAGAACTGCTTGAACCCAGGAGGCAGAGGTTGCAGTGAACCGAGATTGTGCCACTGCACTCTAGCCTGGGTGACAGAGCGAGGCTCCATCCAAAACAAAACAAAACAAAAAAGTGGTCTAATAATCCCCAGAACTGGAGGAAGAACCATAACTTATTGATTTTGTTTTTAACCTTATGTATGCCAGGCATGCTAGCCTTGTATACATACAAGGCTAGAGGAGCAAAGGTGCAGGAAGCCATCTTGAGGGAGTCCCATATTATTGAGAGACCGGCCAGCTGCTGGGAGAGGCTAGTTGTTCATCCTCACTGTATGTGATGAGAATCTGGTGACAGTCCATTGCTGGGCACAGCATTTAGGCAAAATGGCTCTCTGCTATGTCAGGCAAGTGAGGCATATTTTTGCACAATCCTAGTAATTCCGAACTCATTGGGAAACAATGGCAATTACATCCAAGCAAGGAAAGGTCTGTGGTTGATTTTATCTATACAAATTTAAAACATAATGTTTACAACCTTTCATTATAGGACACAATTTTTAAAAAGATGCCAAACTATACAAATAAGTTCAGAAAAGTGAGGTACTATTGAACCGTCTGGAAAACATAAATGTATGTGAAATAATGCAATGCATAGTTTTGCAGGGGACTTTGTTCAAAGTTTCTCGAAATACCATGGTCCAAAGTAGACTAACATTAGCATTGGTTATTTATGATGATCAGTAAGAATACTAAATCAAAAATCAAAGGAAAATTAAACTATGTCTGTTTAAAGAGAAACGTAGTTTACCTCAGACTGAGAGTTAAAACAAGTTTGTGATTCAGGAAGGTGGAATTCAGAACCTAATTGGGCAGCCTCCAACATTTCCATTAAGGTTTGGATTCTTAAAATTTTTCAGTCTTCGGTATGCTCTGGTAGTCTGATGAAACTTACAGATTCTTTTCATAAATAAGATACTTAAAGTAATTCATAGGGTTACAATTGTATTAGACCAATAATATTAAAATAATTATCAAACCACTTGACCGTAATATGTGTGTTTTTGTTGATATACCTAATAGTACTTCGGAAATAAGCAAGCACGATTTCCAGATTCTTGCAACAACTATAACCTACAAATTTGTTATTTCTATCAGTCACACACAATGGAAGAAAATTCTAAATTTCAGCTACAGGATAATGAATAGATGAAAAACAACAACAACAACAACAACAAAAAAACTCCCCTAATCCATATTCTGGGACACCTTGATTCCTATTTATTGATCCCTTGAAGTCAGTGGATAGCATATTAAGAAACAATAGTTACAATGACACCACAGAAAGACTAGAATGTAGTACTTGTGTTAAAAAAAAAAAAAGTATCAGCAAGTTATGTTTGGATGCCAAATTGCTCTCCACTTCCCTTCCCTGACACTGGCATTTCCAGAACTTAGATGCTCTTACATGTAAAAGCCTCCTCTAGTGCACCATCGAGCTTTTCAGGATTGGACATCAGACTTTTTAGTTCCTGGACCTCTAGATATACGGCAGTCTCTGACAAGAAGCCCTTTTTCTGTTTTAACTTTTTTTTTTTTTAAGTTTTGAGACAACGTCTGACTCGCTGTCACCCAGGCTGGAGTGAGGTAGCACCATCATAGCTCACTGTATCCTTAAACGCCTGGGTGCAGGGACTAAGGGAGCGTGCCAACCATGCTTGACTAATTTACTTTTTTGTAAAACCAGTAGTCTCCAACCTTTTTGACACAAGAGACCGTTTTGTGTAAGACAATTATACCACGGACCAGGGGGTGCAGGGGCTGGGAGCAATGATTTCCGGACTAAAACTGCTCCAACCTCAGATCATCAGGCATTAGATTGTCACAAGGAGCCTGAAACCTAGATCCCTTGCATGTGCCATTCACAATACAGTTTGAGCTTATGAGAATCTATCTAATGCTGCAGCTAACCTGACAGGCGGTGGAGCTCAGTTGGTTAATGTTCGCTCACCCCTCAGCTGTGCGGCTCAATTCATAACGTGCCATGGACAGGGACCGGTTACCGGTCGGTGGCCGGGGAAATGAGGACCCCTGGTATAGATGGTAGTCTGGCTATGTTGCCCAGGATGGTCTTGAAGCCTGGCCTGAATTAATTCTCCAATCTCAAGCCTTTTCAACTCAGCTGCATCACAACTTAAACCTATAGATAACTGTCACAGAAACTTGTTTCCAGTGTTACGCCATCTTAAAATAATGTGGGTGGCTCTTAAAAGAGCCTTTGGGTTCTTTCCAAATTGGCCTCCCGGAAAGCTCTTTACTTCTTAGATGTGGCCTTTCTAACATTAACTTCATGATGTTGGGTCAATTTTGACTTCGAAGCCCTTGCCTTCACTGGGCTCTTCTGCTGTTGCTTACCCTTGGCTCCTTTAGCCTTTCTCCCGCTCCTAACAGTTTTAGGAGTTGTCGCTCTCGGCTTCTTGGCTCTCTTATTGGTTTTAGCAGTCTTTGGTGACTTGGAGTCCCTGGATAAAACCAGCTTCTTGGTCTTGGCAGAAACTGACTTTTTAGCCTTGCTTCTGGTAGATTTAGGAATCACCTTCTTACTAAGCTTAAAGGAACCGGAAGCACCAGTACCCCTGGTTTGCACCAGGATTCCCTTGTTCACTAAGCTCTTGAGGGACAGTTTGATGCGGCTGTTATTCTTCTCTACGTCGTAGCCAGCAGCGGCCAATGCCTTCTTGAGCGCAACCAAAGACATACCTACTCGTTCCTGTGACACTGAAAGGGCCTCGGTGATCAACTTGGACACAGAGAGGTTCGGCACTTTGCGACTTGCACTTATCAAGCCAGCCGGCTTCCTCCCTCGCTTCTTGGTTGGAAGTTTCTCCATAGCGGCTACACCAGCACTGGCAGAAGCTGCAGGCACGGTTTCAGACATAACAACAGAGAAACGCAAGATGTAATAACCAGCGAAAAGCATGAAACACCCGGGCGGCCTCGGGGCCTTATATAGGGTAGGGCGCGCTGTGATTGGTGCATCACCTAGGCACCGCCCCCGCCCCTTGGAGGAGGAGTATTTGTGTTTGTTTTACCCGGAAAAGTTGAGTATAACAAAACCCCTCTTTACAGAATCTCCCAGGGTCTAGTGCTGAATAATCTGCGGAAATTCATATTTGACATGACTTTTCTCTTTTTAATGAAAAATGACCCTGGATGCCAAAACTATTCGAGAAAGCCCTCGATTTTCAATCAAATTCACGGAGAGGAACAAAACTTCCCCTTTTCCTTGTAAATTAATAAGTAATCTTTGGCAGAAGACTTATTTCATCTCTTCAGAGTGGTCTTCCAAATGGATAGCTTCAAATCGGTAGAGGAAAGAAATTATTCACGCCATGATTTTTATTTAAAATTATTTATATATGTGAGGGAAGTAACACAGATCTCTTAGCTGTCTAATTGCGGAGTCAGAAGATGCTTATAGAATTGTCAAAAGACTGCAGAGGATGTCTTTATTTAGGCATGTGCAATCTAATAAATCATAATCCACAGGAACATGGGTTGTCTGTAATTAAAGGTGCTCCCAAGTCCCTGTAGCTTTATAGAGGACTCTCAAGGATGGGGTAATATCAAGATCTCACACATTATGTAAGATTGGCCATAATCAGGCCACTCTCATGACCGGTGTCCTCAACTGAGTTTTGCTTCTGGTTTCATTAATTGAAGTCCCCTCTATCCCCCTGCCCACCCCTACATCCCCAGATAAACAGACACAGTCCCTCCCCTAAATTAACTATAAAACATGAGGTAGGAACCCTAGACTCAAGAACCTACTAGAAACTACAGACCCCATGTCTAACAAGACTGGGCGGGTTGGCTGGGCGCAGTGATTCATGCCTGTAATTACAGCACTTCGGAAGGCTGGAGGCCAGGAGTTCAAGACTAGGTTGGCCTGGTCCCTACTGAAAAAAAAAAAAATTAGCTGGGTGTGGTGGCACATGCCTGCAGTCCCAGCTTCTGGGTAGACTGAAGAGGATCACTTAGAGCCCAGGAGCTTGAGGTCGCAGCTACTGCACTCCAGCCTGGGCAGACCCTCATCTCTGAATTGCTTAATTAATTAACTGAGCTGGCAGATTTGGCTGCATAGCTGTGGGGAAAGGGTTGTTGGAATAATGTCCAGTGTGCTCCCCTGAGCTTCTACTGGAACAGGTCTTTGTGAGAGGCCTGGAGATAAGAGCTTGCTCACAAAGGCTGAGGCCTTTCTGGGATGCTGAATGAGTTTAGTGTGGCCAGAGCATAGGGTCTCAGCAAAGGAAAACTCCATAAGGGCCATTTGTGAAGATCCCCAAATACTTGTGTGAAACATTTGGTAGATATTAGAAGTTTTGTTTTGGTTTGGTTTGAGACAGAGTTTTGCTCTTGTTGCCCAGGCTGGAGTGCAATGGTGTGATCTTGGCTCAGTGCAACCTCCACCTCCCAGGTTCAGGCAATTCTCCTGCCTCAGCCTCCCAATTAGCTGGGATTATAGGCGCCCACCACCATGCCTGGCTAATTTTTTGTATTTTTAGTAGAGATGGGGTTTCATCATGTTGGCCAGGCTAGTCTCGAACTCCCCACCTCAAGTGATCTGCCCGCCTCTGCCTCCAAAGTGCTGGGAATACATGCGTGAGCCGCCGCGCCCGGCAGACATTGGAAGTTTTTAAGCAGAGAATTTGTTGTATTGTTGTAGTTGTCTTGGGTTTAGATTTATTGCATAAACAATCATTTTTGAGAAGGGCCCACAGTCAGAAGTTGGGAGTCTGTTGCAATAGTCTCAGAAGAATGGCAAAGACCTTGCCTAAGGGGACAGTGTGGTAAAGGAGAGAGTCTACATTTGAAATATTTCTGAAACAAAAGCCAAAAGATAAGACTTCAAACTTCTGATTGCAAAGTGAGATAGAAAAGTTTCTTTCTCTCTGTCTCTCTGTTATACCCATACACACACACATATGCACAAACACCTGAAAGAAAAAAAAATTCAGGGAACAGGCCAGGTAGGGTGGCTCATGCCTATAATCCCATAAATTTGGGAGGCTGAGGCTAGTGGATCACTAGAGCCCAGGAGTTCACAAGGCCAGCCTAAGCACATAGCAAGACCCTGTCTCTACAATTAAAAAATTACCCGGGTGTGGTGGCACGTACCTGTGGTCCCAGTTACTCAAAAGGCTGAGGTGGGAGAATCACTTGGGCCCAGGAGGTCAAGGCTGCAGTGAGCATGATTGTGCCACTGCACTTCAGCCTGGGCAAGAGCGAGACCCTGTCTCAAAAAAAAAAAATTTTTTTTTTTTTTCCAGAAAACAATACTATCTTAAGCACCAGCACTTTAGTATATTCTACTGTGGACTAGTTCATTTTTAAAAGAACACTAGGTTGGAAATCATGAGATTGATTCCACAACTCACTAAAGCACCGTGTCACTCAGTTTGGAAAATATTTCTCCTTAGAGAGATTACAGGTGCATCTTTCTGAGCACCTGTATGTTTTTACATTTGTTTGGCTTCTCTGACCTTTGATAATTTCTGAGTGTTGTACTATTAAATATTAGTGGCTAGGGGTCAAATTGTGGATCAGGTTGATCCTTATATTTACAAGTTGACAGATACGTTACTCCATTGCTTTAAAACTAACACAGAATTAGAGAATTTAGAAAATTCTTACATTCCATAATTTAAGACCCAGAAAAAAAAGATTCATATTTTGCATTAGATAGCTAAAATGGTACCATAAAAACAAATGATATCCACATATATATAGTATATAGTGCTTCTTCTGTGCCAGTCACTATCCTAAGTTTTTCTCTCCCTTCCCCAAAAATGTAGGAATTAACTTTATAGATGAAGAAACTGAGGCACAGGAATGTCACATGACTTGCCCAAAGGAAATTCAGTCTTCCTTTTTCAATTCTTTTTTCTTTTTACTTTGCTGCAGGGTCTCGCTGTGTTGCCCAGGATGCTCTTGAACTCCCGGACTCAAGCGATCCTCCTTCTTCAGCCTCTCAAAGTGCTGGGATTACAGGCATGAGCCACTGCGCCCAGTCAGGAAATTCAGTCTTCTAAACATTCATTATTGAAATAATATTTCCATAAACATTTTCTTAGATAAACTTTGGCATCTCTAACTTCTAAGTAGCAAAGTCATGGAAACAGTCACAGAGAAAATAACTTTATTTTAAAAATAATAAATTCTTATCTCCGGTGATAAGAAAAGTATACAGCCCATTTTTTAAAGTATTAATTTTACATTCTAATTTGGTTTTTTTAATGTTTACCATATATTTCTCTTTCTACATATGTGTGTGAGTGAATAAAATAAAGGCATCTACAGATTTTTACATGTTCAGTGAGATTAGCAGGGTTTCACTTGACAGCACTCTTACCATACTCACTTCTTGGCTTTTCCTGATATCTAACATTTTTAAAATGAGTAGTCCCTTTTCATATGATTCTTCCTTTTTCAAGCACTATTTTTGAACTTTATATTTGATTGGCAATAATTTTTACAGACATTATTTTACGATTAACTTTAACTCTGTTCAAATGATTTCTTCATTTTCAAGTATTTTATTTGAACTGCTTTTTTTGGTTCAACTACTGAGTATTTAATTTGTCTGTTTTGTAGAAAGGGTATGTAGATAATTCCATGTTTTGTAAAAGTTGTCTCTAAAAATCTAACAAGTGTAAGTACGATGCTATTACAGGGCTGAGAGACACAGAAAAAACACACACACACACACAAAATTTTTTTTTAAGTATTACTTGGTCTCTAAACTAAAGAATTTACCATCTATTTTGGGAGATGAAATCCAAACATAAGCAATGACAACAATTATTATGTGCTTAAATCAATGTCCAAGACAATAATTGACCCCAAGGCAGGGAAATCACTGAGAGAGTATAGCAGAGAAGGTGTCCTCTCTGTTCAGATGAGCCTGAATAATTTGTTCAGTAGGTTTCTGCTACTCATTTATAAACTGCACATCTTCTGTAGTCCTGGAAAATGTCTAAGAGGAGAGAGGAACTAAGATCAGGGCCACCATTTAATTAGGAAGTTCTGGGAGTACCTGACCCAGAAGAAAGATCAGCATAGCTGAAAATCACCCATAGGAGAAACATCTAGGTAATCTTATTTCTGTTCCACCTGACATTTCAACCTCTCTTTTCAGCTATAAGTATATAAGTACTTATATGTAAGTAAAGAAATTTACCCACATCATGTTGTTTTTTATTCAATGCTTAACATGTATAATGCTAACAACACAGACTTGATGTCCAAAACATTTCTATGAACAGCTCATTACTGGATGACTGAAATAATTTTTCCAAGCCACGTGGAGGTTAATGAGTCAGTTTTTGAAAGCAAGGAGAGAAAAACATTAGAATTTAAGGTGACGTTTCTGTTGCGTTGTAATCCAGAATACAGAATAGTCAGAGAAAAGCAGAAAGTCTTTCTTCTTAAATTTTCTGAAAACCAAGGTGTGCATTAAAATGGTACATGCCTACTTCCCTTTCCCTTTACCCTTTTTTCCTGCATGGAACATAGATATGACCCCTAGACATGCTGCAGATGACCATGAGGTTGAAAGATACATGGAAGATGGTTAACACAGGATGATAGAAGAGACCTGCATACTTGGGCAGCCTAGACAGCTCCTGCCAGCCCCCAACAAAACAGCCTAGCCTTCTTGCCAATCAAGAAAAAAAATCCCTTCTGGTAACCCACTGTAAGTGAATTTCTGTAAATGTGGCCCAATGTATCCATAATTGATATACAAATATTAGTTTAGTGGGTAGCACCTCTCCATGAGCATGTCGACTTCATGAGACTGAGATTTTTGACTGTCATGTGCAGTTGTCCCATTACAGTGCCTGGTGCATGGGAACAGCTCAACTGTGCATACCCATTGAAGAAATAGATGCATGGTCAATCGAATTTCCAGGTATATCATATGTTTCCATAAAAAAAGTAAACATACAGCATATCTCCTTCCAGTTTATTTATTTTTCTCTCTAGGACCAATTTACAGTCTATCAGCAGTGCGTGAGCACCTGTTTCACCACATATACAAACCCCTCCAAGACTATAAGGATATCATTAAGCTTTTTATCACTGTCAGTTAAGTGGTAAACATAGTTTTCTACATACTTTGCATTTTTGTTTCTCATGAGATTCAATGTTTTACATGGGTAAGTTGTTAGATCATATTTATTCAAGATGAGGCATTTGTCTCCTGGTAAGACATCTTGGTCTAATGCTGACTCTGGGGTGTGGACATTTGGCTGTTGACTGTGAGGTGGCTATCTACATGTGGAGTGGAGGAGTCCTGGCCTTGGATTGAGGAGAACAAGGTCAACTTCTCACCTCACTTGTTTCTGGCTTTTGTGACCTTGGACAAGTTTAACTTTTCTCTCTCCTAGTCTTAGTTTTCTTGTCTGTAAGTGACAGCAATGATGCTGTCTTTGTTGGCTTGGGCTGCCATAAAAAAATACCATAGATTGTGTGGTTTAAACAACAAAATTTTATCACAGTTCTGGAGGCTGGAAGTCTCAGAGCAGGGTATAGCATGGCTGGATTCTGTTGAGGGCTCTCTTGCTGGCTTGTAGAGTGCTACCTTCTCACTGTGAGAGCTCACATAGCCTTTCCTCAGTATATGTGCAGAGCTCCCTCTCTTCCTCTTTTTTTTTTTTCTTTTAAATAAATTATTTAATTTGGAAGACCAAGTGCAGAATCTTCCTCTTCTTATAAGGCCACCAATCCTATCCAGTTAGGAACCCATCCTAATGACCTCATTTAACCTTAATTACCTCTTATAAGTCCTGTCTAGGAATAGAGTCATATTGGGGTTTATGGCTTCAATATATGAATTTGGGGGGATGGGGAGACAATTCAGTCCATAGTAAACACTTTCTCAAAGAGTAGTTATAATGTTTATAAGAGACAATGTAGGTAAAAGTAGTTTCAGTTGCATGCAGCTAAATGCAGTTTAGTATCCCTTCAGAGTCCTCCGCAGAAAAGGCACCTGATAAATATTTATGTGGCCTTAACCTAAGGTATTATTCTTTATATAGTGCCTTCCCATGTAATGATTGATGTCATGTTTATCATTTTGCAGTGCAGTTTATTTCTTATAGGGTCATGGCTAACAAGAAACATGGGAAGAATGACCCTCACTAATAGAGTCATTAAAATAATGTAATTTCAATTTTTTTTTCTTTTGAAGGACTATTAGGTTAACAGTGATTTTTAAAATTTATTGTAAATATGAGTGCTATAAAACAGGAATTTCCATATTATTTTGGGATTATAAATTGGTATGATCCTGAATAGCAATTTGGCAATGTATATGTTAAGAACCTTAGAAAATGTTTTTCACTTTTGATTTAGTATTTCCACTTCATGAAGTCTATCCTTAGGAAATAATATTTGAACAAAGATTTATGTACAAAGATGTGTGAGCTATATAATCTATAATATAATGCATAAAAATGGGAATCAATTGAAGTAGTCAATAACAAATACATAATTATCAATATATCCATAAATTATACATCCATAAAAAAGTTTCTAAGTATATTTATCTAAATATATATCATGACACCTAAATTTATTTTATATATGATACATGATGTGAGATATATGTATATATGAATATGAGTATATATAATATACATATAAAAAGAATAGGAGATACTAGGAGTTATTTTAATTTTGTCTTTATGTTTCCTGTGTCATAAATTTCTATGAAGAATATTTTAATAGTTTTATGCATAGAAAAAAGAGCTAATTTTTCTCAGCCAGGTGTTCATTTGTCCTTCTTTGATTGTTCAAAATACCTCCATTTATCTTCTTCTAGGATCACTCATTTTCATTGGTTTATTTGCAAGATGAAACAGTGTCCAGCAGTGACGACTGTTGGAAAAGATATGTCTAAAAGCTGTTGTCTCCCCCTGGAGAAAAGAGAGAGAGTGATTGATTCACTTCTGTAATTTATCAGATATGAGATATTGTATTTGACTCTGAGAACAATGATAATGATGATGGCTAAAGTTCACTGGATGTTTGCTCTGTGCCAGGCAGTGTTTTAAGCACTTTACACAATAGATACCAATGCATTTAGTTGTTCCAACAACCTTATGAGATACCTACTGTCATTCTCCCTGCGTTATAGATGAGGAAATTAAGGCACAGAGAGGTTAAGTTTCCCAGGTAGCACAGCTGTTGGATAATGAGCCTGTGCAGTAAACCCACATCCTCTAGCCCTTGAATGTCTGTACGCTCTTAAAAGATGAATGTAACCTAGTCAGTGTCCTAAAGTTCCATTTGATCTAAACTTGAAGGATAAAAATTTATCCAGTGAGGAAAAAGACTTAGTGTTTTTCATAAAGAAGATACAGCGACGAAGGCCAGGCCGTGGGGACTGTCTGATTTTTAGAGCCTAGAACCCTGAGCACACTCTCTAAACCCTCCAACATGCTCTTACTCTGTTGCCTGCTGAGCATCTTTGATCCACTCTTGAGGCTAGCAGTTTTCCTTCCATTCAAGATCTCACAACGTGTATTGTTCTCTGCAGATTTTTTAAACATGCAATTTTATTTTTTAATTGTTAAAAATATATTTATTTCAGTGCACTGAAGCTCAAATGTGTGTGTTTTAAAATCTAGTGTCCAAGGTTCATTACCCCAATTGTTTAAGCAAGTCTAACAACAAAAGGGGCACATTTTAATTTTCAATTTTTTTTTGTTCTAGCCTACAGTTGAGTTTGGGCAAATAATAGTAGACAAAAAAGTGAAAAGAAAACTAAGGACAAGAAAATAAAGGAAGGGAGAATGGGGGGAGAGGAGGGAGAAAAGTGAAAACAAAAGTTTATTCATATTTCTCTTGAATCCAATTCTTTTACCATTTGAAAACTTGATATGGTCAGAGAATAAGCCTAGAATTTTAAGTGATGAGGATAAGGTTTTACCACAGGTAGCCTCCTCTACATAGGTCTATTTCCTCATAGAATGAGAGAAGCCCCATCATTTCTGCTCTTTTACCCTTCTGAGCCAGCAGCAAGGAGATCTACTATCAAGGCATGAGCAACTGTAGAAACATGAGACCAGATGTCTCTATTAATTATTCTACAAATTGCGCATTGGATGATAAGGTTACATGAATCTTTAAATCAGCAAACCAAAGTCCCATTATTATTACATATTTTTTCCTCCTCAGAACTGAAGTGGGGCGGGGTACAGTGACTCACACTAGTAATCCCAACAATTTGGGAGGCTGAGGCAGGAGGATCACTTAAGCCCAGGAGTTTGAGACCAGCCTGGGCAACATAGTAAGACCCCATCTCTACAAAAAACTTTTTAAAAAATTAGCTTGGCATGGTGGTGTGCACCTGCTGTGGTTCCAGATACTCAGGATGCTGAGGCAGGAGGATGGCTTCAGCCCAGAAGGTGGAGGTTACAATGAGATGCGATTGCGCCACTACACTCCAGCCTGGCAGCCTGGGCAACAAAGTGAGACCCTGTCTCTGAAAAAAAGAACTGAGGTCAAGGAGTAGTAAGAAAGTGGCTCATTCTCCAGATTTACTCTCTTTTTCTTAATTATAATGAACTCATGATACTTGAGGATATGTCAAACTGATCTTCAGACCCCAAAGAAATTACTCAGAGCCTAGAATACCTTTCAGGAAATGTTACAGTGGTATACTCTACTCAATTTAATTTTATGCTTGGTCATCCAGGATTACACAGGCTAAAGGTAGGAAAAGTTTCACTAATTTTTAATGTCTTTTAATTTAGGACTACTGGGATTGTCTGTCAATGTGCTGAATATATATATCCTTCCAAATCTGGAAGATTTAAGAGAAATGATAGTTATCATTCTTTAAGTCCTTAGGAATATGCCTAGAGAGCTAATTTCATATGTTCAGGGAAAAAAAGTGTATTTTTTCTCAACCTGTTGGACCCCGGTAAACATACTATGATCAACTGGCATTTTCATATCAAATAATTTATGAAATTCTTATAATTTATAGAAGGCCAACTCCTACCAAAGTCTTCAGTCATAAGCTGCTTCAAGTCCTTTTAGGAGCGTAAAGATGGTTATAAATAAAATTTGTCAAACAGCAGTAAACACAGTGGTTTATATGCATTAAGGATCTTTAATCTTCACATACTTCTAGAAGGTAGGTGCTATTACCATCACTGTAAAGGTATAGAGAAGGATACTAATGCACAGAGAGATTAAATGACCTGCCTCAGAGTCCCACATCTTATATGTGGTGATCTGGGAGTCAAACTTGGAGTCTGTCTCCAGAAGCTTCACTTTTTGTCATCATTGAGCAGTGCTGTGCAGCCATTTTACTAGCATGATACCACGTCTGGAACTAGTGTTCTATAGGTGCTATTTCATTTAATCTTCACCCCATCTTTATGAGTAGGGCAATTATTACCACTCTATAGGCTCAGGGTAGTTGAGTTTGTCAAACTGTGACTGAAAGACATTTAATTTTTGGCATACTATTTACTTGTGCTCAAGGTATATCAAGCAATGGACTGATTTCACTCAACAAAGTATTTTAAAAAGATGATTTATAAAATAGAAATGGGAGAAAAAAACTACAAACTGTCTAGGAATAGGATGTTATGTTTGCACATTATTTTCAGTAGAAAAGAGTTTAGTATGGATACTCTCTTCTTGTATAAACCAAGAATGTTAAAAGAAAACAATTAGTGATTCTCTAGAAACAATTAGTGATTCTCTAGAAACACTTAAGATTGGCTGTGCAGCACTATGGCTATCTCTGTGTAGTATTTTCCACTGACAACCAACATTTCCATGTTAGGTAGGCCATGTCTTCACGATTTCTGGCACCAGAGTTTTTCAACTCCTCCATTTTTGGTAAAAATATCTCATAAAGGAGCAAGTCTAACCATGTGAGTTTGTTTAGTTTTTTGTTTTTTGTTTTTTTGACAATGGCTTTGTAACAACATTTAATAATCTGCATATTAGAGAAGCACAGAAGTAGGGCAAAAAAAAAAGTTATGAGGGTAATTACAAATATTATAAGAATTCCTTAAAGTACAAATTGTCTCCAAGAATTTAATTGGCTTGTCTTAGATGAATAGGTCTCAAAGATCAGTTTGGTCAAAGATCAGTTTGGTCAACTTTAGTTAAACAAGTTCATTTTTCCTAATTGATTATTTTGACTCAAATGTGGGCCACAGGCAGAAATAAATTTTCTAGTAAATATTCTTATTTAGGAACTTTTAGTCAAGTTATAAAGGTCCTTGTTACAAACCTGCAAAAAGTTAGCATGCCAATATCTTAGTAAAATATAACTGAGATTTGTTTATTTGCTTGTTTTTTAATACTTGGGAGGGCCAGATCAAAATTTCATCACTGGAAAGACAGATAATGGAGAAAAGGACAAAACAGAATAATACCACAGGTAAAAGAAGGAAGAAGCTGTCTATTTCAGACCTCATCTTCCTCTGTAGACTTTGAAGAGGAAACTTCCTACTTCCAGAATTCTGGAGGTCTTTTAATGAATCTCAGAACTGTATTTTTAGTGATAGTGTATTTCTCAGTGAGATTCCAAATGTGTTTACACTGGGAAGCACATATCCATCTGCTCTGAAGTATAAAAGCAGTATTTGTTGTTTGAAGTACTGAAAATGGAGGTTCCAGCATTGTTATAATGTTGTCAGAGAAGATTGGTTATTACATTAAGATATGAATATAAATCATGGCTATATAAAAATAAGAAAAAGATTGAAGTCTTATTTTAGAGTGACAATCCATAGTAAATTGAATGTACCACATTAACAAACAGTAACAACTTTTTAAATAAGTAAAGGCTCAAGGTAGTCATTATCTCGAATGCTTACTTGTGTTTCTCTGTAGCTATAGTACTTGATAGAGTCAGAGCTGTTTGGATTAACCATAGCCCTTAAACAAAGCAGGCAATTGTGTTCCCGCATAGGCATGACGAAAACAGAGGCAGTCATCCAAAACCTGCATGGTCCTCTACGCCCACACGTATACAGTACGTGATTTACAAATCTAAAGTGGCGAAAGCAACAGTATCTATTCTAAGGCAATCATATGTTCTCTTATCTGTTTATCAATGGTTATTCTAAACTGTGTAAAAATGTTATTTGCATAAAACTACACTGTTTCTTGTGATTTGTATTTTGTACCCTCCAATTTAGAAATTGTCCAGGTATCCAAAGATTGAGAATTAATTTACTCAATTTAATAATATTCACCTAAATTCTTAAAGTTATCATACACTGTGAACTCAGTACTTAAGCTCACACATTGAATCCTTATAATTAGTAACATAAAATTTAATTCCATTTTTAAAAATGACATTATCTATTATCATTTAATTTGGTTCAATGAATAATTTACAATTTTAGAATAATAAATAAAGTGATGTTAACTCATGTAACCAGTACAACTAGTGGAAGAAATTTAGTAAATGCAAGTTAAATTAGCTTTTGTTTTTGTTTTTTAGAATATGAACCCTAAACTTGTGTATACTATAATATTCTGCTAATATTATTTTTACAGTATAAGAATAAAGAAGCCATTTTTAAAATGAAATTATTAAGCCAATTTGTCCAAAAAAAATCTTGATTAGATGTATTATATATTTTCCTTATTAAAAAAACCTAATAAAAGAGGTATTAATATTTTTAAGTTATTTAAAAATTGTGAAGTATTTTTTTTACAAAATACTTTAAGCTGTTAACTAAGACCACTAATGAAACTCACAGTTAAACTTTTTTTCTCTTAATTAGAACTTAAAGAGGTAGCACATTTAAAGCACAAGGAAAATTTTTGATTTTTTTTTAGACAAATGAGTTTTTATTTAAATTGATGTATTTTAAGTCTTTATGTAAGCCAACTAAAATTTAAGATTACATTATAATTTATTAATTCCCTTAAGTGGATAATTTCACAATTATTTAAATTCATAAAATAAGATAGTCTTTTCTGGGCACGGTGGCTCACGCCTGTAATCTCATCACTTTGGGAGGCCGAGGTGGATCACCTGAGTTCGAGACCAGTTTGGCCAACATGGCGAAACCCCATCTCTACTAAAAATGCACAAATTAGCCAGGCGTGGTGGTGCACCTGTAATCCCAGCTACTGGGGAGGCTGAGGCAGGAAAATTGCTAGAACCCTGGAGGCAGAGGTTGCAGTGAGCCGAGATTGTGCCACTGCACCCCAGCCTGGGCCACAGAGCAAAATTCTGTCTCAAAAAAAAAAAAAAGATAGTCTCAATCTTATTGCCAATTAGGAAAGCTAACCGTGCTAATAGAACAGAATTTAAAGTGGGTAAAAACAGAGCCATAGGTTATCTATTTAGCATGTTGATCAGTTAAAGAAATAAAAGTATGTAATTAAGATCAGAAGT